>NC_000008.11:44874137-45196658 GCF_000001405.40 Homo sapiens
ATCTGGAAGTGGATATTTGGAAAGCTTTGAGGATTTCGTTGGAAACGGGAATATCTTCAAATAAAATCTAGCCAGAAGCATTCTAAGAAACATCTTAGGGATGTTTACATTCAAGTCACAGAGTTGAACATTCCCTTTCACAGAGCAGGTTTGAAACAATCTTCTCGTACTATCTGGCAGTGGACATTTTGAGCTCCTTGGGGCCTATGCTGAAAAAGGAAATATCTTCCGACAAAAACTAGACAGAAGCATTCGCAGAATCACGTTTGTGATGTGTGCACTCAACTGTCAGAATTGAACCTTGGTTTGGACAGAGCACTTTTGAAACACTCTTTTTGTAGAATCTGCAGGTGGATATTTGGCTAGCTTTGAGGATTTCGTTGGAAACGGTAATGTCTTCAAAGAAAATCTAGACAGAAGCATTCTCAGAAACACCTTCGTGATGTTTGCAATCAAGTCACAGAGTTGAACCTTCCGTTTCATAGAGCAGGTTGGAAACACTCTTTTTGTAGTATCTGGAAGTGGACATTTGGAGCGCTTTCAGGCCTATGGTGAAAAAGGAAATATCTTCCCATAAAAACGACATAGAAGCTATCTCAGGAACTTGTTTATGATGCATCTAATCAACTAACAGTGTTGAACCTTTGTACTGACAGAGCAGTTTGAAACACTCTTTTTTTGGAATCTGCAAGTGGATATTTGGATCGCTTTGAGGATTTCGTTGGAAACGGGATGCAATATAAAACGTACACAGCAGCATACTCAGAAAATACTTTGCCATATTTCCATTCAAGTCACAGAGTGGAATATTCCCATTCATAGAGCAGGTTTGAAACACTCTTTTTGGAGTATCTGGAAGTGGACATTTGGAGCGCTTTCTGAACTATGGTGAAAAAGGAAATATCTTCCAATGAAAACAAGACAGAAGCATTCTGAGAAACTTATTTGTGATGTGTGTCCTCAACAAACGGACTTGAACCTTTCGTTTCATGCAGTACTTCTGGAACACTCTTTTTGAAGATTCTGCATGCGGATATTTGGATAGCTTTGAGGATTTTGTTGGAAACGGGCTTACATGTAAAAATTAGACAGCAGCATTCTCAGAAACTTCTTTGTGGTGTCTGCATTCAAGTCACAGAATTGAACATCCCCTCACATAGAGCAGTTGTGCAGCACTCTATTTGTAGTATCTGGAAGTGGACATTTGGAGGGCTTTGTAGCTTATCTGGAAAAAGGAAATATCTTCCCATGAATGCGAGATAGAAGTAATCTCAGAAAGATGTTTATGCTGTATCTACTCAACTAACTGTGCTGAACATTTCTATTGATAGAGCAGTTTTGAGACACTCTTCTTTTGGAATCTGCAAGTGGATATTTGGATAGATTTGAGGATTTCGTTGGAAACGGGATTATATATAAAAAGTAGACAGCAGCATTCTCAGAAACTTCTTTGTGATGTTTGCATCCAGCTCTCAGAGTTGAACATTCCCTTTCATAGAGTAGGTTTGAAACCTTCTTTTTATAGTGTCTGGAAGCGGGCATTTGGAGCGCTTTCAGGCCTATGCTGAAAAAGGAAATATCTACCTATAGAAACTAGACAGAAGCATTCTGAGAATCACGTTTGTGATGTGGGTACTCAACTAACAGTGTTGATCCATTCTTTTGATACAGCAGTTTTGAACCACACTTTTTGTAGAATCTGCAAGTAGATATTTGGATAGCTGTGAAGATTTCGTTGGAAACGGGAATGTCTTCATAGAAAATTTAGACAGAAGCATTCTCAGAACCTTGATTGTGATGTGTGTTCTCCACTAACAGAGTTGAACCTTTCTTTTGACAGAACTGTTCTGAAACATTCTTGTTATAGAATCTGGAAGTGGATATTTGGAAAGCTTTGAGGATTTCGTTGGAAACGGGAATATCTTCAAATCAAATCTAGCCAGAAGCATTCTAAGAAACATCTTAGGGATGTTTACATTCAAGTCACAGAGTTGAACATTCCCTTTCACAGAGCAGGTTTGAAACAATCTTCTCGTACTATCTGGCAGTGGACATTTTGAGCTCCTTGGGGCCTATGCTGAAAAAGGAAATATCTTCCGACAAAAACTAGACAGAAGCATTCGCAGAATCACGTTTGTGATGTGTGCACTCAACTGTCAGAATTGAACCTTGGTTTGGACAGAGCACTTTTGAAACACTCTTTTTGTAGAATCTGCAGGTGGATATTTGGCTAGCTTTGAGGATTTCGTTGGAAACGGTAATGTCTTCAAAGAAAATCTAGACAGAAGCATTCTCAGAAACACCTTCGTGATGTTTGCAATCAAGTCACAGAGTTGAACCTTCCGTTTCATAGAGCAGGTTGGAAACACTCTTTTTGTAGTATCTGGAAGTGGACATTTGGAGGGCTTTGTAGCCTATCTGGAAAAAGGAAATATCTTCCCATGAATGCGAGATAGAAGTAATCTCAGAAACATGTTTATGCTGTATCTACTCAACTAACTGTGCTGAACATTTCTATTGATAGAGCAGTTTTGAGACACTCTTCTTTTGGAATCTGCAAGTGGATATTTGGATAGATTTGAGGATTTCGTTGGAAACGGGATTATATATAAAAAGTAGACAGCAGCATTCTCAGAAACTTCTTTGTGATGTTTGCATCCAGCTCTCAGAGTTGAACATTCCCTTTCATAGAGTAGGTTTGAAACCCTCTTTTTATAGTGTCTGGAAGCGGGCATTTGGAGCGCTTTCAGGCCTATGCTTAAAATAGGAAATATCTACCTACAGAAACTAGACAGAAGCATTCTGAGAATCACGTTTGTGATGTGGGTACTCAACTAACAGTGTTGATCCATTCTTTTGATACAGCAGTTTTGAACCACACTTTTTGTAGAATCTGCAAGAGGATATTTGGCTAGCTTTGAGGATTTCGTTGGAAACGGTAATGTCTTCAAAGAAAATCTACACAGAAGCATTCTCAGAAACACCTTCGTGATGTTTGCAATCAAGTCACAGAGTTGAACCTTCCGTCTCATAGAGCAGGTTGGAAACACTCTTTTTGTAGTATCTGGAAGTGGACATTTGGAGGGCTTTGTAGCCTATCTGGAAAAAGGAAATATCTTCCCATGAATGCGAGATAGAAGTAATCTCAGAAACATGTTTATGCTGTATCTACTCAACTAACTGTGCTGAACATTTCTATTGATAGAGCAGTTTTGAGACACTCTTCTTTTGGAATCTGCAAGTGGATATTTGGAGAGATTTGAGGATTTCGTTGGAAACGGGATTATATATAAAAAGTAGACAGCAGCATTCTCAGAAACTTCTTTGTGATGTTTGCATCCAGCTCTCAGAGTTGAACATTCCCTTTCATAGAGTAGGTTTGAAACCCTCTTTTTATAGTGTCTGGAAGCGGGCATTTGGAGCGCTTTCAGACCTATGCTTAAAATAGGAAATATCTACCTACAGAAACTAGACAGAAGCATTCTGAGAATCACGTTTGTGATGTGGGTACTCAACTAACAGTGTTGATCCATTCTTTTGATACAGCAGTTTTGAACCACACTTTTTGTAGAATCTGCAAGAGGATATTTGGATAGCTGTGAGGATTTCGTTGGAAACGGGAATGTCTTCAAAGAAAATCTAGACAGAAACATTCTCAGAAACACCTTCGTGATGTTTGCAATCAAGTCACAGAGTTGAACCTTCCGTTTCATAGAGCAGGTTGGAAACACTCTTATTGTAGTATCTGGAAGTGGACATTTGGAGCGCTTTCAGGCCTATGGTGAAAAAGGAAATATCTTCCCATAAAAACGACATAGAAGCTATCTCAGGAACTTGTTTATGAGGCATCTAATCAACTAACAGTGTTGAACCTTTGTACTGACAGAGCAGTTTGAAACACTCTTTTTTTGGAATCTGCAAGTGGATATTTGGATCGCTTTGAGGATTTCGTTGGAAACGGGATGCAATATAAAACGTACACAGCAGCATACTCAGAAAATACTTTGCCATATTTCCATTCAAGTCACAGAGTGGAACATTCCCATTCATAGAGCAGGTTGGAAACACTCTTTTTGGAGTATCTGGAAGTGGACATTTGGAGCGCTTTCTGAACTATGGTGAAAAAGGAAATATCTTCCAATGAAAACAAGACAGAAGCATTCTGAGAAACTTATTTGTGATGTGTGTCCTCAACAAACGGACTTGAACCTTTCGTTTCATGCAGTACTTCTGGAACACTCTTTTTGAAGATTCTGCATGCGGATATTTGGATAGCTTTGAGGATTTCGTTGGAAACGGGCTTACATGTAAAAATTAGACAGCAGCATTCTCAGAAACTTCTTTGTGGTGTCTGCATTCAAGTCACAGAATTGAACTTCCCCTCACATAGAGCAGTTGTGCAGCACTCTATTTGTAGTATCTGGAAGTGGACATTTGGAGGGCTTTGTAGCCTATCTGGAAAAAGGAAATATCTTCCCATGAATGCGAGATAGAAGTAATCTCAGAAACATGTTTATGCTGTATCTACTCAACTAACTGTGCTGAACATTTCTATTGATAGAGCAGTTTTGAGACACTCTTCTTTTGGAATCTGCAAGTGGATATTTGGATAGATTTGAGGATTTCGTTGGAAACGGGATTATATATAAAAAGTAGACAGCAGCATTCTCAGAAACTTCTTTGTGATGTTTGCATCCAGCTCTCAGAGTTGAACATTCCCTTTCATAGAGTAGGTTTGAAACCCTCTTTTTATAGTGTCTGCAAGCGGGCATTTGGAGCGCTTTCAGGCCTATGCTTAAAATAGGAAATATCTACCTACAGAAACTAGACAGAAGCATTCTGAGAATCACGTTTGTGATGTGGGTACTCAACTAACAGTGTTGATCCATTCTTTTGATACAGCAGTTTTGAACCACACTTTTTGTAGAATCTGCAAGAGGATATTTGGATAGCTGTGAGGATTTCGTTGGAAACGGGAATGTCTTCAAAGAAAATCTAGACAGAAGCATTCTCAGAAACACCTTCGTGATGTTTGCAATCAAGTCACAGAGTTGAACCTTCCGTTTCATAGAGCAGGTTGGAAACACTCTTATTGTAGTATCTGGAAGTGGACATTTGAGCGCTTTCAGGCCTATGGTGAAAAAGGAAATATCTTCCCATAAAAACGACATAGAAGCTATCTCAGGAACTTGTTTATGATGCATCTAATCAACTAACAGTGTTGAACCTTTGTACTGACAGAGCAGTTTGAAACACTCTTTTTTTGGAATCTGCAAGTGGATATTTGGATCGCTTTGAGGATTTCGTTGGAAACGGGATGCAATATAAAACGTACACAGCAGCATACTCAGAAAATACTTTGCCATATTTCCATTCAAGTCACAGAGTGGAACATTCCCATTCATAGAGCAGGTTTGAAACACTCTTTTTGGAGTATCTGGAAGTGGACATTTGGAGCGCTTTCTGAACTATGGTGAAAAAGGAAATATCTTCCAATGAAAACAAGACAGAAGTATTCTGAGAAACTTATTTGTGATGTGTGTCCTCAACAAACGGACTTGAACCTTTCGTTTCATGCAGTACTTCTTGAACACTCTTTTTGAAGATTCTGCATGCGGATATTTGGATAGCTTTGAGGATTTCGTTGGAAACGGGCTTACATGTAAAAATTAGACAGCAGCATTCTCAGAAACTTCTTTGTGGTGTCTGCATTCAAGTCACAGAATTGAACTTCCCCTCACATAGAGCAGTTGTGCAGCACTCTATTTGTAGTATCTGGAAGTGGACATTTGGAGGGCTTTGTAGCCTATCTGGAAAAAGGAAATATCTTCCCATGAATGCGAGATAGAAGTAATCTCAGAAACATGTTTATGCTGTATCTACTCAACTAACTCTGCTGAACATTTCTATTGATAGAGCAGTTTTGAGACACTCTTCTTTTGGAATCTGCAAGTGGATATTTGGATAGATTTGAGGATTTCGTTGGAAACGGGATTATATATCAAAAGTAGACAGCAGCATTCTCAGAAACTTCTTTGTGATGTTTGCATCCAGCTCTCAGAGTTGAACATTCCCTTTCATAGAGTAGGTTTGAAACCCTCTTTTTATAGTGTCTGGAAGCGGGCATTTGGAGCGCTTTCAGGCCTATGCTTAAAATAGGAAATATCTACCTACAGAAACTAGACAGAAGCATTCTGAGAATCACGTTTGTGATGTGGGTACTCAACTAACAGTGTTGATCCATTCTTTTGATACAGCAGTTTTGAACCACACTTTTTGTAGAATCTGCAAGAGGATATTTGGATAGCTGTGAGGATTTCGTTGGAAACGGGAATGTCTTCAAAGAAAATCTAGACAGAAGCATTCTCAGAAATACCTTCGTGATGTTTGCAATCAAGTCACAGAGTTGAACCTTCCGTTTCATAGAGCAGGTTGGAAACACTCTTTTTGTACTATCTGGAAGTGGACATTTGGAGCGCTTTCTGGCCTATGGTGAAAAAGGAAATATCTTCCCATAAAAACGATATAGAAGCTATCTCAGGAACTTGTTTATGATGCATCTAATCAACTAACAGTGTTGAACCTTTGTACTGACAGAGCAGTTTGAAACACTCTTTTTTTGGAATCTGCAAGTGGATATTTGGATCGCTTTGAGGATTTCGTTGGAAACGGGATGCAATATAAAACGTACACAGCAGCATACTCAGAAAATACTTTGCCATATTTCCATTCAAGTCACAGAGTGGAACATTCCCATTCATAGAGCAGGTTGGAAACACTCTTTTTGGAGTATCTGGAAGTGGACATTTGGAGCGCTTTCTGAACTATGGTGAAAAAGGAAATATCTTCCAATGAAAACAAGACAGAAGCATTCTGAGAAACTTATTTGTGATGTGTGTCCTCAACAAACGGACTTGAACCTTTCGTTTCATGCAGTACTTCTGGAACACTCTTTTTGAAGATTCTGCATGCGGATATTTGGATAGCTTTGAGGATTTCGTTGGAAACGGGCTTACATGTAAAAATTAGACAGCAGCATTCTCAGAAACTTCTTTGTGGTGTCTGCATTCAAGTCACAGAATTGAACATCCCCTCACATAGAGCAGTTGTGCAGCACTCTATTTGTAGTATCTGGAAGTGGACATTTGGAGGGCTTTGTAGCCTATCTGGAAAAAGGAAATATCTTCCCATGAATGCGAGATAGAAGTAATCTCAGAAACATGTTTATGCTGTATCTACTCAACTAACTGTGCTGAACATTTCTATTGATAGAGCAGTTTTGAGACACTCTTCTTTTGGAATCTGCAAGTGGATATTTGGATAGATTTGAGGATTTCGTTGGAAACGGGATTATATATAAAAAGTAGACAGCAGCATTCTCAGAAACTTCTTTGTGATGTTTGCATCCAGCTCTCAGAGTTGAACATTCCCTTTCATAGAGTAGGTTTGAAACCCTCTTTTTATAGTGTCTGGAAGCGGGCATTTGGAGCGCTTTCAGGCCTATGCTGAAAAAGGAAATATCTACCTATAGAAACTAGACAGAAGCATTCTGAGAATCACGTTTGTGATGTGGGTACTCAACTAACAGTGTTGATCCATTCTTTTGATACAGCAGTTTTGAACCACACTTTTTGTAGAATCTGCAAGTGGATATTTGGATAGCTGTGAGGATTTCGTTGGAAACGGGAATGTCTTCATAGAAAATTTAGACAGAAGCATTCTCAGAACCTTGATTGTGGTGTGTGTTCTCCACTAACAGAGTTGAACCTTTCTTTTGACAGAACTGTTCTGAAACATTCTTTTTATAGAATCTGGAAGTGGATATTTGGAAAGCTTTGAGGATTTCATTGGAAACGGGAATATCTTCAAATAAAATCTAGCCAGAAGCATTCTAAGAAACATCTTAGGGATGTTTACATTCAAGTCACAGAGTTGAACATTCCCTTTCACAGAGCAGATTTGAAACAATCTTCTCGTACTATCTGGCAGTGGACATTGTGAGCTCCTTGGGGCCTATGCTGAAAAAGGAAATATCTTCCGACAAAAACTAGACAGAAGCATTCGCAGAATCACGTTTGTGATGTGTGCACTCAACTGTCAGAATTGAACCTTGGTTTGGACAGAGCACTTTTGAAACACTCTTTTTGTAGAATCTGCAGGTGGATATTTGGCTAGCTTTGAGGATTTCGTTGGAAACGGTAATGTCTTCAAAGAAAATCTAGACAGAAGCATTCTCAGAAACACCTTCGTGATGTTTGCAATCAAGTCACAGAGTTGAACCTTCCGTTTCATAGAGCAGGTTGGAAACACTCTTTTTGTAGTATCTGGAAGTGGACATTTGGAGGGCTTTGTAGCCTATCTGGAAAAAGGAAATATCTTCCCATGAATGCGAGATAGAAGTAATCTCAGAAACATGTTTATGCTGTATCTACTCAACTAACTGTGCTGAACATTTCTATTGATAGAGCAGTTTTGAGACACTCTTCTTTTGGAATCTGCAAGTGGATATTTGGATAGATTTGAGGATTTCGTTGGAAACGGGATTATATATCAAAAGTAGACAGCAGCATTCTCAGAAACTTCTTTGTGATGTTTGCATCCAGCTCTCAGAGTTGAACATTCCCTTTCATAGAGTAGGTTTGAAACCCTCTTTTTATAGTGTCTGGAAGCGGGCATTTGGAGCGCTTTCAGGCCTATGCTGAAAAAGGAAATATCTACCTATAGAAACTAGACAGAAGCATTCTGAGAATCACGTTTGTGATGTGGGTACTCAACTAACAGTGTTGATCCATTCTTTTGATACAGCAGTTTTGAACCACACTTTTTGTAGAATCTGCAAGTGGATATTTGGATAGCTGTGAGGATTTCGTTGGAAACGGGAATGTCTTCATAGAAAATTTAGACAGAAGCATTCTCAGAACCTTGATTGTGATGTGTGTTCTCCACTAACAGAGTTGAACCTTTCTTTTGACAGAACTGTTCTGAAACATTCTTGTTATAGAATCTGGAAGTGGATATTTGGAAAGCTTTGAGGATTTCGTTGGAAACGGGAATATCTTCAAATCAAATCTAGCCAGAAGCATTCTAAGAAACATCTTAGGGATGTTTACATTCAAGTCACAGAGTTGAACATTCCCTTTCACAGAGCAGGTTTGACACAATCTTCTCGTAGTATCTGGAAGTGGACATTTTGAGCTCCTTGGGGCCTATGCTGAAAAAGGAAATATCTTCCGACAAAAACTAGACAGAAGCATTCGCAGAATCACGTTTGTGATGTGTGCACTCAACTGTCAGAATTGAACCTTGGTTTGGACAGAGCACTTTTGAAACACTCTTTTTGTAGAATCTGCAGGTGGATATTTGGCTAGCTTTGAGGATTTCGTTGGAAACGGTAATGTCTTCAAAGAAAATCTAGACAGAAGCATTCTCAGAAACACCTTCGTGATGTTTGCAATCAAGTCACAGAGTTGAACCTTCCGTTTCATAGAGCAGGTTGGAAACACTCTTTTTGTAGTATCTGGAAGTGGACATTTGGAGGGCTTTGTAGCCTATGTGGAAAAAGGAAATATCTTCCCATGAATGCGAGATAGAAGTAATCTCAGAAACATGTTTATGCTGTATCTACTCAACTAACTGTGCTGAACATTTCTATTGATAGAGCAGTTTTGAGACACTCTTCTTTTGGAATCTGCAAGTGGATATTTGGAGAGATTTGAGGATTTCGTTGGAAACGGGATTATATATAAAAAGTAGACAGCAGCATTCTCAGAAACTTCTTTGTGATGTTTGCATCCAGCTCTCAGAGTTGAACATTCCCTTTCATAGAGTAGGTTTGAAACCCTCTTTTTATAGTGTCTGGAAGCGGGCATTTGGAGCGCTTTCAGGCCTATGCTTAAAATAGGAAATATCTACCTACAGAAACTAGACAGAAGCATTCTGAGAATCTCGTTTGTGATGTGGGTACTCAACTAACAGTGTTGATCCATTCTTTTGATACAGCAGTTTTGAACCACACTTTTTGTAGAATCTGCAAGAGTATATTTGGATAGCTGTGAGGATTTCGTTGGAAACGGGAATGTCTTCAAAGAAAATCTAGACAGAAACATTCTCAGAAACACCTTCGTGATGTTTGCAATCAAGTCACAGAGTTGAACCTTCCGTTTCATAGAGCAGGTTGGAAACACTCTTATTGTAGTATCTGGAAGTGGACATTTGGAGCGCTTTCAGGCCTATGGTGAAAAAGGAAATATCTTCCCATAAAAACGACATAGAAGCTATCTCAGGAACTTGTTTATGAGGCATCTAATCAACTAACAGTGTTGAACCTTTGTACTGACAGAGCAGTTTGAAACACTCTTTTTTTGGAATCTGCAAGTGGATATTTGGATCGCTTTGAGGATTTCGTTGGAAACGGGATGCAATATAAAACGTACACAGCAGCATACTCAGAAAATACTTTGCCATATTTCCATTCAAGTCACAGAGTGGAACATTCCCATTCATAGAGCAGGTTGGAAACACTCTTTTTGGAGTATCTGGAAGTGGACATTTGGAGCGCTTTCTGAACTATGGTGAAAAAGGAAATATCTTCCAATGAAAACAAGACAGAAGCATTCTGAGAAACTTATTTTTGATGTGTGTCCTCAACAAACGGACTTGAACCTTTCGTTTCATGCAGTACTTCTGGAACACTCTTTTTGAAGATTCTGCATGCGGATATTTGGATAGCTTTGAGGATTTCGTTGGAAACGGGCTTACATGTAAAAATTAGACAGCAGCATTCTCAGAAACTTCTTTGTGGTGTCTGCATTCAAGTCACAGAATTGAACATCCCCTCACATAGAGCAGTTGTGCAGCACTCTATTTGTAGTATCTGGAAGTGGACATTTGGAGGGCTTTGTAGCCTATGTGGAAAAAGGAAATATCTTCCCATGAATGCGAGATAGAAGTAATCTCAGAAACATGTTTATGCTGTATCTACTCAACTAACTGTGCTGAACATTTCTATTGATAGAGCAGTTTTGAGACACTCTTCTTTTGGAATCTGCAAGTGGATATTTGGATAGATTTGAGGATTTCGTTGGAAACGGGATTATATATAAAAAGTAGACAGCAGCATTCTCAGAAACTTCTTTGTGATGTTTGCATCCAGCTCTCAGAGTTGAACATTCCCTTTCATAGAGTAGGTTTGAAACCCTCTTTTTATAGTGTCTGGAAGCGGGCATTTGGAGCGCTTTCAGGCCTATGCTTAAAATAGGAAATATCTACCTACAGAAACTAGACAGAAGCATTCTGAGAATCACGTTTGTGATGTGGGTACTCAACTAACAGTGTTGATCCATTCTTTTGATACAGCAGTTTTGAACCACACTTTTTGTAGAATCTGCAAGAGGATATTTGGATAGCTGTGAGGATTTCGTTGGAAACGGGAATGTCTTCAAAGAAAATCTAGACAGAAACATTCTCAGAAACACCTTCGTGATGTTTGCAATCAAGTCACAGAGTTGAACCTTCCGTTTCATAGAGCAGGTTGGAAACACTCTTATTGTAGTATCTGGAAGTGGACATTTGGAGCGCTTTCAGGCCTATGGTGAAAAAGGAAATATCTTCCCATAAAAACAACATAGAAGCTATCTCAGGAACTTGTTTATGATGCATCTAATCAAACTAAAAGTGTTGAACCTTTGTACTGACAGAGCAGTTTGAAACACTCTTTTTTTGGAATCTGCAAGTGGATATTTGGATCGCTTTGAGGATTTCGTTGGAAACGGGATGCAATATAAAACGTACACAGCAGCATACTCAGAAAATACTTTGCCATATTTCCATTCAAGTCACAGAGTGGAACATTCCCATTCATAGAGCAGGTTTGAAACACTCTTTTTGGAGTATCTGGAAGTGGACATTTGGAGCGCTTTCTGAACTATGGTGAAAAAGGAAATATCTTCCAATGAAAACAAGACAGAAGCATTCTGAGAAACTTATTTGTGATGTGTGTCCTCAACAAACGGACTTGAACCTTTCGTTTCATGCAGTACTTCTGGAACACTCTTTTTGAAGATTCTGCATGCGGATATTTGGATAGCTTTGAGGATTTCGTTGGAAACGGGCTTACATGTAAAAATTAGACAGCAGCATTCTCAGAAACTTCTTTGTGGTGTCTGCATTCAAGTCACAGAATTGAACTTCCCCTCACATAGAGCAGTTGTGCAGCACTCTATTTGTAGTATCTGGAAGTGGACATTTGGAGGGCTTTGTAGCCTATCTGGAAAAAGGAAATATCTTCCCATGAATGCGAGATAGAAGTAATCTGAGAAACATGTTTATGCTGTATCTACTCAACTAACTGTGCTGAACATTTCTATTGATAGAGCAGTTTTGAGACACTCTTCTTTTGGAATCTGCAAGTGGATATTTGGATAGATTTGAGGATTTCGTTGGAAACGGGATTATATATAAAAAGTAGACAGCAGCATTCTCAGAAACTTCTTTGTGATGTTTGCATCCAGCTCTCAGAGTTGAACATTCCCTTTCATAGAGTAGGTTTGAAACCCTCTTTTTATAGTGTCTGGAAGCGGGCATTTGGAGCGCTTTCAGGCCTATGCTGAAAAAGGAAATATCTACCTATAGAAACTAGACAGAAGCATTCTGAGAATCACGTTTGTGATGTGGGTACTCAACTAACAGTGTTGATCCATTCTTTTGATACAGCAGTTTTGAACCACACTTTTTGTAGAATCTGGAAGTGGATATTTGGAAAGCTTTGAGGATTTCGTTGGAAACGGGAATATCTTCAAATCAAATCTAGCCAGAAGCATTCTAAGAAACATCTTAGGGATGTTTACATTCAAGTCACCGAGTTGAACATTCCCTTTCACAGAGCAGGTTTGAAACAATCTTCTCGTACTATCTGGCAGTGGACATTTTGAGCTCCTTGGGGCCTATGCTGAAAAAGGAAATATCTTCCGACAAAAACTAGACAGAAGCATTCGCAGAATCACGTTTGTGATGTGTGCACTCAACTGTCAGAATTGAACCTTGGTTTGGAGAGAGCACTTTTGAAACACTCTTTTTGTAGAATCTGCAGGTGGATATTTGGCTAGCTTTGAGGATTTCGTTGGAAACGGTAATGTCTTCAAAGAAAATCTAGACAGAAGCATTCTCAGAAACACCTTCGTGATGTTTGCAATCAAGTCACAGAGTTGAACCTTCCGTTTCATAGAGCAGGTTGGAAACACTCTTTTTGTAGTATCTGGAAGTGGACATTTGGAGGGCTTTGTAGCCTATCTGGAAAAAGGAAATATCTTCCCATGAATGCGAGATAGAAGTAATCTCAGAAACATGTTTATGCTGTATCTACTCAACTAACTGTGCTGAACATTTCTATTGATAGAGCAGTTTTGAGACACTCTTCTTTTGGAATCTGCAAGTGGATATTTGGATAGATTTGAGGATTTCGTTGGAAACGGGATTATATATAAAAAGTAGACAGCAGCATTCTCAGAAACTTCTTTGTGATGTTTGCATCCAGCTCTCAGAGTTGAACATTCCCTTTCATAGAGTAGGTTTGAAACCCTCTTTTTATAGTGTCTGGAAGCGGACATTTGGAGCGCTTTCAGGCCTATGCTTAAAATAGGAAATATCTACCTACAGAAACTAGACAGAAGCATTCTGAGAATCACGTTGGTGATGTGGGTACTCAACTAACAGTGTTGATCCATTCTTTTGATACAGCAGTTTTGAACCACACTTTTTGTAGAATCTGCAAGTGGATATTTGGATAGCTGTGAGGATTTCCTTGGAAACGGGAATGTCTTCATAGAAAATTTAGACAGAAGCATTCTCAGAACCTTGATTGTGATGTGTGTTCTCCACTAACAGAGTTGAACCTTTCTTTTGACAGAACTGTTCTGAAACATTCTTTTTATAGAATCTGGAAGTGGATATTTGGAAAGCTTTGAGGATTTCGTTGGAAACGGGAATATCTTCAAATCAAATCTAGCCAGAAGCATTCTAAGAAACATCTCAGGGATGTTTACATTCAAGTCACAGAGTTGAACATTCCCTTTCACAGAGCAGGTTTGAAACAATCTTCTCGTACTATCTGGCAGTGGACATTTTGAGCTCCTTGGGGCCTATGCTGAAAAAGGAAATATCTTCCGACAAAAACTAGACAGAAGCATTCGCAGAATCACGTTTGTGATGTGTGCACTCAACTGTCAGAATTGAACCTTGGTTTGGACAGAGCACTTTTGAAACACTCTTTTTGTAGAATCTGCAGGTGGATATTTGGCTAGCTTTGAGGATTTCGTTGGAAACGGTAATGTCTTCAAAGAAAATCTAGACAGAAGCATTCTCAGAAACACCTTCGTGATGTTTGCAATCAAGTCACAGAGTTGAACCTTCCGTTTCATAGAGCAGGTTGGAAACACTCTTTTTGTAGTATCTGGAAGTGGACATTTGGAGGGCTTTGTAGCCTATGTGGAAAAAGGAAATATCTTCCCATGAATGCGAGATAGAAGTAATCTCAGAAACATGTTTATGCTGTATCTACTCAACTAACTGTGCTGAACATTTCTATTGATAGAGCAGTTTTGAGACACTCTTCTTTTGGAATCTGCAAGTGGATATTTGGAGAGATTTGAGGATTTCGTTGGAAACGGGATTATATATAAAAAGTAGACAGCAGCATTCTCAGAAACTTCTTTGTGATGTTTGCATCCAGCTCTCAGAGTTGAACATTCCCTTTCATAGAGTAGGTTTGAAACCCTCTTTTTATAGTGTCTGGAAGCGGGCATTTGGAGCGCTTTCAGACCTATGCTTAAAATAGGAAATATCTACCTACAGAAACTAGACAGAAGCATTCTGAGAATCTCGTTTGTGATGTGGGTACTCAACTAACAGTGTTGATCCATTCTTTTGATACAGCAGTTTTGAACCACACTTTTTGTAGAATCTGCAAGAGGATATTTGGATAGCTGTGAGGATTTCGTTGGAAACGGGAATGTCTTCAAAGAAAATCTAGACAGAAACATTCTCAGAAACACCTTCGTGATGTTTGCAATCAAGTCACAGAGTTGAACCTTCCGTTTCATAGAGCAGGTTGGAAACACTCTTATTGTAGTATCTGGAAGTGGACATTTGGAGCGCTTTCAGGCCTATGGTGAAAAAGGAAATATCTTCCCATAAAAACAACATAGAAGCTATCTCAGGAACTTGTTTATGAGGCATCTAATCAACTAACAGTGTTGAACCTTTGTACTGACAGAGCAGTTTGAAACACTCTTTTTTTGGAATCTGCAAGTGGATATTTGGATCGCTTTGAGGATTTCGTTGGAAACGGGATGCAATATAAAACGTACACAGCAGCATACTCAGAAAATACTTTGCCATATTTCCATTCAAGTCACAGAGTGGAACATTCCCATTCATAGAGCAGGTTGGAAACACTCTTTTTGGAGTATCTGGAAGTGGACATTTGGAGCGCTTTCTGAACTATGGTGAAAAAGGAAATATCTTCCAATGAAAACAAGACAGAAGCATTCTGAGAAACTTATTTGTGATGTGTGTCCTCAACAAACGGACTTGAACCTTTCGTTTCATGCAGTACTTCTGGAACACTCTTTTTGAAGATTCTGCATGCGGATATTTGGATAGCTTTGAGGATTTCGTTGGAAACGGGCTTACATGTAAAAATTAGACAGCAGCATTCTCAGAAACTTCTTTGTGGTGTCTGCATTCAAGTCACAGAATTGAACTTCCCCTCACATAGAGCAGTTGTGCAGCACTCTATTTGTAGTATCTGGAAGTGGACATTTGGAGGGCTTTGTAGCCTATCTGGAAAAAGGAAATATCTTCCCATGAATGCGAGATAGAAGTAATCTCAGAAACATGTTTATGCTGTATCTACTCAACTAACTGTGCTGAACATTTCTATTGATAGAGCAGTTTTGAGACACTCTTCTTTTGGAATCTGCAAGTGGATATTTGGATAGATTTGAGGATTTCGTTGGAAACGGGATTATATATAAAAAGTAGACAGCAGCATTCTCAGAAACTTCTTTGTGATGTTTGCATCCAGCTCTCAGAGTTGAACATTCCCTTTCATAGAGTAGGTTTGAAACCCTCTTTTTATAGTGTCTGGAAGCGGGCATTTTGAGCGCATTCAGGCCTATGCTTAAAATAGGAAATATCTACCTACAGAAACTAGACAGAAGCATTCTGAGAATCACGTTTGTGATGTGGGTACTCAACTAACAGTGTTGATCCATTCTTTTGATACAGCAGTTTTGAACCACACTTTTTGTAGAATCTGCAAGAGGATATTTGGATAGCTGTGAGGATTTCGTTGGAAACGGGAATGTCTTCAAAGAAAATCTAGACAGAAGCATTCTCAGAAACACCTTCGTGATGTTTGCAATCAAGTCACAGAGTTGAACCTTCCGTTTCATAGAGCAGGTTGGAAACACTCTTATTGTAGTATCTGGAAGTGGACATTTGGAGCGCTTTCAGGCCTATGGTGAAAAAGGAAATATCTTCCCATAAAAACGACATAGAAGCTATCTCAGGAACTTGTTTATGATGCATCTAATCAACTAACAGTGTTGAACCTTTGTACTGACAGAGCAGTTTGAAACACTCTTTTTTTGGAATCTGCAAGTGGATATTTGGATCGCTTTGAGGATTTCGTTGGAAACGGGATGCAATATAAAACGTACACAGCAGCATACTCAGAAAATACTTTGCCATATTTCCATTCAAGTCACAGAGTGGAACATTCCCATTCATAGAGCAGGTTTGAAACACTCTTTTTGGAGTATCTGGAAGTGGACATTTGGAGCGCTTTCTGAACTATGGTGAAAAAGGAAATATCTTCCAATGAAAACAAGACAGAAGCATTCTGAGAAACTTATTTGTGATGTGTGTCCTCAACAAACGGACTTGAACCTTTCGTTTCATGCAGTACTTCTGGAACACTCTTTTTGAAGATTCTGCATGCGGATATTTGCATAGCTTTGAGGATTTCGTTGGAAACGGGCTTACATGTAAAAATTAGACAGCAGCATTCTCAGAAACTTCTTTGTGGTGTCTGCATTCAAGTCACAGAATTGAACTTCCCCTCACATAGAGCAGTTGTGCAGCACTCTATTTGTAGTATCTGGAAGTGGACATTTGGAGGGCTTTGTAGCCTATCTGGAAAAAGGAAATATCTTCCCATGAATGCGAGATAGAAGTAATCTCAGAAACATGTTTATACTGTATCTACTCAACTAACTGTGCTGAACATTTCTATTGATAGAGCAGTTTTGAGACACTCTTCTTTTGGAATCTGCAAGTGGATATTTGGATAGATTTGAGGATTTCGTTGGAAACGGGATTATATATCAAAAGTAGACAGCAGCATTCTCAGAAACTTCTTTGTGATGTTTGCATCCAGCTCTCAGAGTTGAACATTCCCTTTCATAGAGTAGGTTTGAAACCCTCTTTTTATAGTGTCTGGAAGCGGGCATTTGGAGCGCTTTCAGGCCTATGCTTAAAATAGGAAATATCTACCTACAGAAACTAGACAGAAGCATTCTGAGAATCACGTTTGTGATGTGGGTACTCAACTAACAGTGTTGATCCATTCTTTTGATACAGCAGTTTTGAACCACACTTTTTGTAGAATCTGCAAGAGGATATTTGGATAGCTGTGAGGATTTCGTTGGAAACGGGAATGTCTTCAAAGAAAATCTAGACAGAAGCATTCTCAGAAACACCTTCGTGATGTTTGCAATCAAGTCACAGAGTTGAACCTTCCGTTTCATAGAGCAGGTTGGAAACACTCTTATTGTAGTATCTGGAAGTGGACATTTGGAGCGCTTTCAGGCCTATGGTGAAAAAGGAAATATCTTCCCATAAAAACGACATAGAAGCTATCTCAGGAACTTGTTTATGATGCATCTAATCAACTAACAGTGTTGAACCTTTGTACTGACAGAGCAGTTTGAAACACTCTTTTTTTGGAATCTGCAAGTGGATATTTGGATCGCTTTGAGGATTTCGTTGGAAACGGGATGCAATATAAAACGTACACAGCAGCATACTCAGAAAATACTTTGCCATATTTCCATTCAAGTCACAGAGTGGAACATTCCCATTCATAGAGCAGGTTGGAAACACTCTTTTTGGAGTATCTGGAAGTGGACATTTGGAGCGCTTTCTGAACTATGGTGAAAAAGGAAATATCTTCCAATGAAAACAAGACAGAAGCATTCTGAGAAACTTATTTGTGATGTGTGTCCTCAACAAACGGACTTGAACCTTTCGTTTCATGCAGTACTTCTGGAACACTCTTTTTGAAGATTCTGCATGCGGATATTTGGATAGCTTTGAGGATTTCGTTGGAAACGGGCTTACATGTAAAAATTAGACAGCAGCATTCTCAGAAACTTCTTTGTGGTGTCTGCATTCAAGTCACAGAATTGAACTTCCCCTCACATAGAGCAGTTGTGCAGCACTCTATTTGTAGTATCTCGAAGTGGACATTTGGAGGGCTTTGTAGCCTACTTGGAAAAAGGAAATATCTTCCCATGAATGCGAGATAGAAGTAATCTCAGAAACATGTTTATGCTGTATCTACTCAACTAACTGTGCTGAACATTTCTATTGATAGAGCAGTTTTGAGACACTCTTCTTTTGAAATCTGCAAGTGGATATTTGGATAGATTTGAGGATTTCGTTGGAAACGGGATTATATATAAAAAGTAGACAGCAGCATTCTCAGAAACTTCTTTGTGATGTTTGCATCCAGCTCTCAGAGTTGAACATTCCCTTTCATAGAGTAGGTTTGAAACCCTCTTTTTATAGTGTCTGGAAGCGGGCATTTGGAGCGCTTTCAGGCCTATGCTTAAAATAGGAAATATCTACCTACAGAAACTAGACAGAAGCATTCTGAGAATCACGTTTGTGATGTGGGTACTCAACTAACAGTGTTGATCCATTCTTTTGATACAGCAGTTTTGAACCACACTTTTTGTAGAATCTGCAAGAGGATATTTGGATAGCTGTGAGGATTTCGTTGGAAACGGGAATGTCTTCAAAGAAAATCTAGACAGAAGCATTCTCAGAAACACCTTCGTGATGTTTGCAATCAAGTCACAGAGTTGAACCTTCCGTTTCATAGAGCAGGTTGGAAACACTCTTATTGTAGTATCTGGAAGTGGACATTTGGAGCGCTTTCAGGCCTATGGTGAAAAAGGAAATATCTTCCCATAAAAACGACATAGAAGCTATCTCAGGAACTTGTTTATGATGCATCTAATCAACTAACAGTGTTGAACCTTTGTACTGACAGAGCAGTTTGAAACACTCTTTTTTTGGAATCTGCAAGTGGATATTTGGATCGCTTTGAGGATTTCGTTGGAAACGGGATGCAATATAAAACGTACACAGCAGCATACTCAGAAAATACTTTGCCATATTTCCATTCAAGTCAGAGAGTGGAACATTCCCATTCATAGAGCAGGTTTGAAACACTCTTTTTGGAGTATCTGGAAGTGGACATTTGGAGCGCTTTCTGAACTATGGTGAAAAAGGAAATATCTTCCAATGAAAACAAGACAGAAGCATTCTGAGAAACTTATTTGTGATGTGTGTCCTCAACAAACGGACTTGAACCTTTCGTTTCATGCAGTACTTCTGGAACACTCTTTTTGAAGATTCTGCATGCGGATATTTGGATAGCTTTGAGGATTTCGTTGGAAACGGGCTTACATGTAAAAATTAGACAGCAGCATTCTCAGAAACTTCTTTGTGGTGTCTGCATTCAAGTCACAGAATTGAACTTCCCCTCACATAGAGCAGTTGTGCAGCACTCTATTTGTAGTATCTGGAAGTGGACATTTGGAGGGCTTTGTAGCCTATCTGGAAAAAGGAAATATCTTCCCATGAATGCGAGATAGAAGTAATCTCAGAAACATGTTTATGCTGTATCTACTCAACTAACTGTGCTGAACATTTCTATTGATAGAGCAGTTTTGAGACCCTCTTCTTTTGGAATCTGCAAGTGGATATTTGGATAGATTTGAGGATTTCGTTGGAAACGGGATTATATATAAAAAGTAGACAGCAGCATTCTCAGAAACTTCTTTGTGATGTTTGCATCCAGCTCTCAGAGTTGAACATTCCCTTTCATAGAGTAGGTTTGAAACCCTCTTTTTATAGTGTCTGGAAGCGGGCATTTGGAGCGCTTTCAGGCCTATGCTGAAAAAGGAGATATCTACCTATAGAAACTAGACAGAAGCATTCTGAGAATCACGTTTGTGATGTGGGTACTCAACTAACAGTGTTGATCCATTCTTTTGATACAGCAGTTTTGAACCACACTTTTTGTAGAATCTGCAAGTGGATATTTGGATAGCTGTGAGGATTTCGTTGGAAACGGGAATGTCTTCATAGAAAATTTAGACAGAAGCATTCTCAGAACCTTGATTGTGATGTGTGTTCTCCACTAACAGAGTTGAACCTTTCTTTTGACAGAACTGTTCTGAAACATTCTTTTTATAGAATCTGGAAGTGGATATTTGGAAAGCTTTGAGGATTTCGTTGGAAACGGGAATATCTTCAAATCAAATCTAGCCAGAAGCATTCTAAGAAACATCTTAGGGATGTTTACATTCAAGTCACAGAGTTGAACATTCCCTTTCACAGAGCAGGTTTGAAACAATCTTCTCGTACTATCTGGCAGTGGACATTTTGAGCTCCTTGGGGCCTATGCTGAAAAAGGAAATATCTTCCGACAAAAACTAGACAGAAGCATTCGCAGAATCACGTTTGTGATGTGTGCACTCAACTGTCAGAATTGAACCTTGGTTTGGACAGAGCACTTTTGAAACACTCTTTTTGTAGAATCTGCAGGTGGATATTTGGCTAGCTTTGAGGATTTCGTTGGAAACGGTAATGTCTTCAAAGAAAATGTAGACAGAAGCATTCTCAGAAACACCTTCGTGATGTTTGCAATCAAGTCACAGAGTTGAACCTTCCGTTTCATAGAGCAGGTTGGAAACACTCTTTTTGTAGTATCTGGAAGTGGACATTTGGAGGGCTTTGTAGCCTATCTGGAAAAAGGAAATATCTTCCCATGAATGCGAGATAGAAGTAATCTCAGAAAGATGTTTATGCTGTATCTACTCAACTAACTGTGCTGAACATTTCTATTGATAGAGCAGTTTTGAGACACTCTTCTTTTGGAATCTGCAAGTGGATATTTGGATAGATTTGAGGATTTCGTTGGAAACGGGATTATATATAAAAAGTAGACAGCAGCATTCTCAGAAACTTCTTTGTGATGTTTGCATCCAGCTCTCAGAGTTGAACATTCCCTTTCATAGAGTAGGTTTGAAACCCTCTTTTTATAGTGTCTGGAAGCGGGCATTTGGAGCGCTTTCAGGCCTATGCTGAAAAAGGAAATATCTACCTATAGAAACTAGACAGAAGCATTCTGAGAATCACGTTTGTGATGTGGGTACTCAACTAACAGTGTTGATCCATTCTTTTGATACAGCAGTTTTGAACCACACTTTTTGTAGAATCTGCAAGTGGATATTTGGATAGCTGTGAGGATTTCGTTGGAAACGGGAATGTCTTCATAGAAAATTTAGACAGAAGCATTCTCAGAACCTTGATTGTGATGTGTGTTCTCCACTAACAGAGTTGAACCTTTCTTTTGACAGAACTGTTCTGAAACATTCTTTTTATAGAATCTGGAAGTGGATATTTGGAAAGCTTTGAGGATTTCGTTGGAAACGGGAATATCTTCAAATAAAATCTAGCCAGAAGCATTCCAAGAAACATCTTAGGGATGTTTACATTCAAGTCACAGAGTTGAACATTCCCTTTCACAGAGCAGGTTTGAAACAATCTTCTCGTACTATCTGGCAGTGGACATTTTGAGCTCCTTGGGGTCTATGCTGAAAAAGGAAATATCTTCCGACAAAAACTAGACAGAAGCATTCGCAGAATCACGTTTGTGATGTGTGCACTCAACTGTCAGAATTGAACCTTGGTTTGGACAGAGCACTTTTGAAACACTCTTTTTGTAGAATCTGCAGGTGGATATTTGGCTAGCTTTGAGGATTTCGTTGGAAATGGTAATGTCTTCAAAGAAAATCTAGACAGAAGCATTCTCAGAAACACCTTCGTGATGTTTGCAATCAAGTCACAGAGTTGAACCTTCCGTTTCATAGAGCAGGTTGGAAACACTCTTTTTGTAGTATCTGGAAGTGGACATTTGGAGGGCTTTGTAGCCTATCTGGAAAAAGGAAATATCTTCCCATGAATGCGAGATAGAAGTAATCTCAGAAACATGTTTATGCTGTATCTACTCAACTAACTGTGCTGAACATTTCTATTGATAGAGCAGTTTTGAGACACTCTTCTTTTGGAATCTGCAAGTGGATATTTGGATAGATTTGAGGATTTCGTTGGAAACGGGATTATATATAAAAAGTAGACAGCAGCATTCTCAGAAACTTCTTTGTGATGTTTGCATCCAGCTCTCAGAGTTGAACATTCCCTTTCATAGAGTAGGTTTGAAACCCTCTTTTTATAGTGTCTGGAAGCGGGCATTTGGAGCGCTTTCAGGCCTATGCTTAAAATAGGAAATATCTACCTATAGAAACTAGACAGAAGCATTCTGCGAATCACGTTTGTGATGTGGGTACTCAACTAACAGTGTTGATCCATTCTTTTGATACAGCAGTTTTGAACCACACTTTTTGTAGAATCTGCAAGTGGATATTTGGATAGCTGTGAGGATTTCGTTGGAAACGGGAATGTCTTCATAGAAAATTTAGACAGAAGCATTCTCAGAACCTTGATTGTGATGTGTGTTCTCCACTAACAGAGTTGAACCTTTCTTTTGACAGAACTGTTCTGAAACATTCTTTTTATAGAATCTGGAAGTGGATATTTGGAAAGCTTTGAGGATTTCGTTGGAAACGGGAATATCTTCAAATAAAATCTAGCCAGAAGCATTCTAAGAAACATCTTAGGGATGTTTACATTCAAGTCACAGAGTTGAACATTCCCTTTCACAGAGCAGGTTTGAAACAATCTTCTCGTACTATCTGGCAGTGGACATTTTGAGCTCCTTGGGGCCTATGCTGAAAAAGGAAATATCTTCCGACAAAAACTAGACAGAAGCATTCGCAGAATCACGTTTGTGATGTGTGCACTCAACTGTCAGAATTGAACCTTGGTTTGGAGAGAGCACTTTTGAAACACTCTTTTTGTAGAATCTGCAGGTGGATATTTGGCTAGCTTTGAGGATTTCGTTGGAAACGGTAATGTCTTCAAAGAAAATCTAGACAGAAGCATTCTCAGAAACAGCTTCGTGATGTTTGCAATCAAGTCACAGAGTTGAACCTTCCGTTTCATAGAGCAGGTTGGAAACACTCTTTTTGTAGTATCTGGAAGTGGACATTTGGAGGGCTTTGTAGCCTATCTGGAAAAAGGAAATATCTTCCCATGAATGCGAGATAGAAGTAATCTCAGAAACATGTTTATGCTGTATCTACTCAACTAACTGTGCTGAACATTTCTATTGATAGAGCAGTTTTGAGACACTCTTCTTTTGGAATCTGCAAGTGGATATTTGCATAGATTTGAGGATTTCGTTGGAAACGGGATTATATATAAAAAGTAGACAGCAGCATTCTCAGAAACTTCTTTGTGATGTTTGCATCCAGCTCTCAGAGTTGAGCATTCCCTTTCATAGAGTAGGTTTGAAACCCTCTTTTTATAGTGTCTGGAAGCGGGCATTTGGAGCGCTTTCAGGCCTATGCTTAAAATAGGAAATATCTACCTACAGAAACTAGACAGAAGCATTCTGAGAATCACGTTTGTGATGTGGGTACTCAACTAACAGTGTTGATCCATTCTTTTGATACAGCAGTTTTGAACCACACTTTTTGTAGAATCTGCAAGAGGATATTTGGATAGCTGTGAGGATTTCGTTGGAAACGGGAATGTCTTCAAAGAAAATCTAGACAGAAGCATTCTCAGAAACACCTTCGTGATGTTTGCAATCAAGTCACAGAGTTGAACCTTCCGTTTCATAGAGCAGGTTGGAAACACTCTTATTGTAGTATCTGGAAGTGGACATTTGGAGCGCTTTCAGGCCTATGGTGAAAAAGGAAATATCTTCCCATAAAAACGACATAGAAGCTATCTCAGGAACTTGTTTATGATGCATCTAATCAACCAACAGTGTTGAACCTTTGTACTGACAGAGCACTTTGAAACACTCTTTTTTTGGAATCTGCAAGTGGATATTTGGATCGCTTTGAGGATTTCGTTGGAAACGGGATGCAATATAAAACGTACACAGCAGCATACTCAGAAAATACTTTGCCATATTTCCATTCAAGTCACAGAGTGGAACATTCCCATTCATAGAGCAGGTTGGAAACACTCTTTTTGGAGTATCTGGAAGTGGACATTTGGAGCGCTTTCTGAACTATGGTGAAAAAGGAAATATCTTCCAATGAAAACAAGACAGAAGCATTCTGAGAAACTTATTTGTGATGTGTGTCCTCAACAAACGGACTTGAACCTTTCGTTTCATGCAGTACTTCTGGAACACTCTTTTTGAAGATTCTGCATGCGGATATTTGGATAGCTTTGAGGATTTCGTTGGAAACGGGCTTACATGTAAAAATTAGACAGCAGCATTCTCAGAAACTTCTTTGTGGTGTCTGCATTCAAGTCACAGAATTGAACTTCCCCTCACATAGAGCAGTTGTGCAGCACTCTATTTGTAGTATCTGGAAGTGGACATTTGGAGGGCTTTGTAGCCTATCTGGAAAAAGGAAATATCTTCCCATGAATGCGAGATAGAAGTAATCTCAGAAACATGTTTATGCTGTATCTACTCAACTAACTGTGCTGAACATTTCTATTGATAGAGCAGTTTTGAGACACTCTTCTTTTGGAATCTGCAAGTGGATATTTGGATAGATTTGAGGATTTCGTTGGAAACGGGATTATATATAAAAAGTAGACAGCAGCATTCTCAGAAACTTCTTTGTGATGTTTGCATCCAGCTCTCAGAGTTGAACATTCCCTTTCATAGAGTAGGTTTGAAACCCTCTTTTTATAGTGTCTGGAAGCGGGCATTTGGAGCGCTTTCAGGCCTATGCTGAAAAAGGAGATATCTACCTATAGAAACTAGACAGAAGCATTCTGAGAATCACGTTTGTGATGTGGGTACTCAACTAACAGTGTTGATCCATTCTTTTGATACAGCAGTTTTGAACCACACTTTTTGTAGAATCTGCAAGTGGATATTTGGATAGCTGTGAGGATTTCGTTGGAAACGGGAATGTCTTCATAGAAAATTTAGACAGAAGCATTCTCAGAACCTTGATTGTGATGTGTGTTCTCCACTAACAGAGTTGAACCTTTCTTTTGACAGAACTGTTCTGAAACATTCTTTTTATAGAATCTGGAAGTGGATATTTGGAAAGCTTTGAGGATTTCGTTGGAAACGGGAATATCTTCAAATCAAATCTAGCCAGAAGCATTCTAAGAAACATCTTAGGGATGTTTACATTCAAGTCACAGAGTTGAACATTCCCTTTCACAGAGCAGGTTTGAAACAATCTTCTCGTACTATCTGGCAGTGGACATTTTGAGCTCCTTGGGGCCTATGCTGAAAAAGGAAATATCTTCCGACAAAAACTAGACAGAAGCATTCGCAGAATCACGTTTGTGATGTGTGCACTCAACTGTCAGAATTGAACCTTGGTTTGGACAGAGCACTTTTGAAACACTCTTTTTGTAGAATCTGCAGGTGGATATTTGGCTAGCTTTGAGGATTTCGTTGGAAACGGTAATGTCTTCAAAGAAAATCTAGACAGAAGCATTCTCAGAAACACCTTCGTGATGTTTGCAATCAAGTCACAGAGTTGAACCTTCCGTTTCATAGAGCAGGTTGGAAACACTCTTTTTGTAGTATCTGGAAGTGGACATTTGGAGGGCTTTGTAGCCTATCTGGAAAAAGGAAATATCTTCCCATGAATGCGAGATAGAAGTAATCTCAGAAACATGTTTATGCTGTATCTACTCAACTAACTGTGCTGAACATTTCTATTGATAGAGCAGTTTTGAGACACTCTTCTTTTGGAATCTGCAAGTGGATATTTGGATAGATTTGAGGATTTCGTTGGAAACGGGATTATATATAAAAAGTAGACAGCAGCATTCTCAGAAACTTCTTTGTGATGTTTGCATCCAGCTCTCAGAGTTGAACATTCCCTTTCATAGAGTAGGTTTGAAACCCTCTTTTTATAGTGTCTGGAAGCGGGCATTTGGAGCGCTTTCAGGCCTATGCTGAAAAAGGAAATATCTACCTATAGAAACTAGACAGAAGCATTCTGAGAATCACGTTTGTGATGTGGGTACTCAACTAACAGTGTTGATCCATTCTTTTGATACAGCAGTTTTGAACCACACTTTTTGTAGAATCTGCAAGTGGATATTTGGATAGCTGTGAGGATTTCGTTGGAAACGGGAATGTCTTCATAGAAAATTTAGACAGAAGCATTCTCAGAACCTTGATTGTGATGTGTGTTCTCCACTAACAGAGTTGAACCTTTCTTTTGACAGAACTGTTCTGAAACATTCTTTTTATAGAATCTGGAAGTGGATATTTGGAAAGCTTTGAGGATTTCGTTGGAAACGGGAATATCTTCAAATCAAATCTAGCCAGAAGCATTCTAAGAAACATCTTAGGGATGTTTACATTCAAGTCACAGAGTTGAACATTCCCTTTCACAGAGCAGGTTTGAAACAATCTTCTCGTACTATCTGGCAGTGGACATTTTGAGCTCTTTGGGGCCTATGCTGAAAAAGGAAATATCTTCCGACAAAAACTAGACAGAAGCATTCGCAGAATCACGTTTGTGATGTGTGCACTCAACTGTCAGAATTGAACCTTGGTTTGGAGAGAGCACTTTTGAAACACTCTTTTTGTAGAATCTGCAGGTGGATATTTGGCTAGCTTTGAGGATTTCGTTGGAAACGGTAATGTCTTCAAAGAAAATCTAGACAGAAGCATTCTCAGAAACACCTTCGTGATGTTTGCAATCAAGTCACAGAGTTGAACCTTCCGTTTCATAGAGCAGGTTGGAAACACACTTTTTGTAGTATCTGGAAGTGGACATTTGGAGGGCTTTGTAGCCTATCTGGAAAAAGGAAATATCTTCCCATGAATGCGAGATAGAAGTAATCTCAGAAACATGTTTATGCTGTATCTACTCAACTAACTGTGCTGAACATTTCTATTGATAGAGCAGTTTTGAGACACTCTTCTTTTGGAATCTGCAAGTGGATATTTGGATAGATTTGAGGATTTCGTTGGAAACGGGATTATATATAAAAAGTAGACAGCAGCATTCTCAGAAACTTCTTTGTGATGTTTGCATCCAGCTCTCAGAGTTGAACATTCCCTTTCATAGAGTAGGTTTGAAACCCTCTTTTTATAGTGTCTGGAAGCGGGCATTTGGAGCGCTTTCAGGCCTATGCTTAAAATAGGAAATATCTACCTACAGAAACTAGACAGAAGCATTCTGAGAATCACGTTTGTGATGTGGGTACTCAACTAACAGTGTTGATCCATTCTTTTGATACAGCAGTTTTGAACCACACTTTTTGTAGAATCTGCAAGAGGATATTTGGCTAGCTTTGAGGATTTCGTTGGAAACGGTAATGTCTTCAAAGAAAATCTACACAGAAGCATTCTCAGAACCTTGATTGTGATGTGTGTTCTCCACTAACAGAGTTGAACCTTTCTTTTGACAGAACTGTTCTGAAACATTCTTTTTATAGAATCTGGAAGTGGATATTTGGAAAGCTTTGAGGATTTCGTTGGAAACGGGAATATCTTCAAATAAAATCTAGCCAGAAGCATTCTAAGAAACATCTTAGGGATGTTTACATGCAAGTCACAGAGTTGAACATTCCCTTTCACAGAGCAGGTTTGAAACAATCTTCTCGTACTATCTGGCAGTGGACATTTTGAGCTCTTTGGGGCCTATGCTGAAAAAGGAAATATCTTCCGACAAAAACTAGACAGAAGCATTCGCAGAATCACGTTTGTGATGTGTGCACTCAACTGTCAGAATTGAACCTTGGTTTGGACAGAGCACTTTTGAAACACTCTTTTTGTAGAATCTGCAGGTGGATATTTGGCTAGCTTTGAGGATTTCGTTGGAAACGGTAATGTCTTCAAAGAAAATCTAGACAGAAACATTCTCAGAAACACCTTCGTGATGTTTGCAATCAAGTCACAGAGTTGAACCTTCCGTTTCATAGAGCAGGTTGGAAACACTCTTTTTGTAGTATCTGGAAGTGGACATTTGGAGCGCTTTCAGGCCTACGGTGAAAAAGGAAATATCTTCCCATAAAAATGACATAGAAGCTATCTCAGGAACTTGTTTATGATGCATCCAATCAACTAACAGTGTTGAACCTTTGTAGTGACAGAGCAGTGTGAAACACTCTTTTTTTTGGAATCTGCAAGTGGATATTTGGATCGCTTTGAGGATTTCGTTGGAAACGGGATGCAATATAAAACGTACACAGCAGCATACTCAGAAAATACTTTGCCATATTTCCATTCAAGTCAGAGAGTGGAACATTCCCATTCATAGAGCAGGTTTGAAACACTCTTTTTGGAGTATCTGGAAGTGGACATTTGGAGCGCTTTCTGAACTATGGTGAAAAAGGAAATATCTTCCAATGAAAACAAGACAGAAGCATTCTGAGAAACTTATTTGTGATGTGTGTCCTCAACAAACGGACTTGAACCTTTCGTTTCATGCAGTACTTCTGGAACACTCTTTTTGAAGATTCTGCATGCGGATATTTGGATAGCTTTGAGGATTTCGTTGGAAACGGGCTTACATGTAAAAATTAGACAGCAGCATTCTCAGAAACTACTTTGTGGTGTCTGCTTTCAAGTCAGAGAATTGAACATCCCCTCACACAGAGCAGTTGTGCAGCACTCTATTTGTAGTATCTCGAAGTGGACATTTGGAGGGCTTTGTTTTCTATCTGGAAAAAGGAAATATCTTCCCATGAATGCGACATAGAAGTAATCTCAGAAACATGTTTATGCTGTATCTACTCAACTAAGTGTGCTGAACATTTCTATTGATAGAGCAGTTTTGAGACACTCTTCATTTGGAATCTGCAAGTGGATATTTGGATAGATTTGAGGATTTCTTTGGAAACGGGATTATACATAAAAAGTAGACAGCAGCATTCTCAGAAACTTCTTTGTGGTGTCTGCATTCAAGTCACAGAATTGAACATCCCCTCACATAGAGCAGCTGTGCAGCACTCTATTTGTAGTATCTCGAAGTGGACATTTGGAGGGCTTTGTAGCCTATCTGGAAAAAGGAAATATCTTCCCATGAATGCGAGATAGAAGTAATCTCAGAAACATGTTTATGCTGTATCTACTCAACTAACTGTGCTGAACATTTCTATTGATAGAGCAGTTTTGAGACACTCTTCTTTTGGAATCTGCAAGTGGATATTTGGATAGATTTGAGGATTTCCTTGGAAACGGGATTATATATCAAAAGTAGACAGCAGCATTCTCAGAAACTTCTTTGTGATGTTTGCATCCAGCTCTCAGAGTTGAACATTCCCTTTCGTAGAGTAGGTTTGAAACCCTCTTTTTATAGTGTCTGGAAGCGGGCATTTGGAGCGCTTTCAGGCCTATGCTGAAAAAGGAAATATCTACCTATAGAAACTAGACAGAAGCATTCTGAGAATCACGTTGGTGATGTGGGTACTCAACTAACAGTGTTGATCCATTCTTTTGATACAGCAGTTTTGAACCACACTTTTTGTAGAATCTGCAAGTGGATATTTGGATAGCTGTGAGGATTTCCTTGGAAACGGGAATGTCTTCATAGAAAATTTAGACAGAAGCATTCTCAGAACCTTGATTGTGATGTGTGTTCTCCACTAACAGAGTTGAACCTTTCTTTTGACAGAACTGTTCTGAAACATTCTTTTTATAGAATCTGGAAGTGGATATTTGGAAAGCTTTGAGGATTTCGTTGGAAACGGGAATATCTTCAAATCAAATCTAGCCAGAAGCATTCTAAGAAACATCTTAGGGATGTTTACATTCAAGTCACAGAGTTGAACATTCCCTTTCACAGAGCAGGTTTGAAACAATCTTCTCGTACTATCTGGCAGGGGACATTTTGAGCTCCTTGGGGCCTATGCTGAAAAAGGAAATATCTTCCGACAAAAACTAGACAGAAGCATTCGCAGAATCACGTTTGTGATGTGTGCACTCAACTGTCAGAATTGAACCTTGGTTTGGACAGAGCACTTTTGAAACACTCTTTTTGTAGAATCTGCAGGTGGATATTTGGCTAGCTTTGAGGATTTCGTTTGAAACGGTAATGTCTTCAAAGAAAATCTAGACAGAAGCATTCTCAGAAACACCTTCGTGATGTTTGCAATCAAGTCACAGAGTTGAACCTTCCGTTTCATAGAGCAGGTTGGAAACACTCTTTTTGTAGTATCTGGAAGTGGACATTTGGAGGGCTTTGTAGCCTATGTGGAAAAAGGAAATATCTTCCCATGAATGCGAGATAGAAGTAATCTCAGAAACATGTTTATGCTGTATCTACTCAACTAACTGTGCTGAACATTTCTATTGATAGAGCAGTTTTCAGACACTCTTCTTTTGGAATCTGCAAGTGGATATTTGGATAGATTTGAGGATTTCGTTGGAAACGGGATTATATATAAAAAGTAGACAGCAGCATTCTCAGAAACTTCTTTGTGATGTTTGCATCCAGCTCTCAGAGTTGAACATTCCCTTTCATAGAGTAGGTTTGAAACCCTCTTTTTATAGTGTCTGGAAGCGGGCATTTGGAGCGCTTTCAGGCCTATGCTGAAAAAGGAAATATCTACCTATAGAAACTAGACAGAAGCATTCTGAGAATCACGTTTGTGATGTGGGTACTCAACTAACAGTGTTGATCCATTCTTTTGATACAGCAGTTTTGAACCACACTTTTTGTAGAATCTGCAAGTGGATATTTGGATAGCTGTGAGGATTTCGTTGGAAACGGGAATGTCTTCATAGAAAATTTAGACAGAAGCATTCTCAGAACCTTGATTGTGATGTGTGTTCTCCACTAACAGAGTTGAACCTTTCTTTTGACAGAACTGTTCTGAAACATTCTTTATATAGAATCTGGAAGTGGATATTTGGAAAGCTTTGAGGATTTCGTTGGAAACGGGAATATCTTCAAATCAAATCTAGCCAGAAGCATTCTAAGAAACATCTTAGGGATGTTTACATTCAAGTCACAGAGTTGAACATTCCCTTTCACAGAGCAGGTTTGAAACAATCTTCTCGTACTATCTGGCAGTGGACATTTTGAGCTCCTTGGGGCCTATGCTGAAAAAGGAAATATCTTCCGACAAAAACTAGACAGAAGCATTCGCAGAATCACGTTTGTGATGTGTGCACTCAACTGTCAGAATTGAACCTTGGTTTGGACAGAGCACTTTTGAAACACTCTTTTTGTAGAATCTGCAGGTGGATATTTGGCTAGCTTTGAGGATTTCGTTGGAAACGGTAATGTCTTCAAAGAAAATCTAGACAGAAGCATTCTCAGAAACACCTTCGTGATGTTTGCAATCAAGTCACAGAGTTGAACCTTCCGTTTCATAGAGCAGGTTGGAAACACTCTTTTTGTAGTATCTGGAAGTGGACATTTGGAGGGCTTTGTAGCCTATCTGGAAAAAGGAAATATCTTCCCATGAATGCGAGATAGAAGTAATCTCAGAAACATGTTTATGCTGTATCTACTCAACTAACTGTGCTGAACATTTCTATTGATAGAGCAGTTTTGAGACACTCTTCTTTTGGAATCTGCAAGTGGATATTTGGATAGATTTGAGGATTTCGTTGGAAACGGGATTATATATAAAAAGTAGACAGCAGCATTCTCAGAAACTTCTTTGTGATGTTTGCATCCAGCTCTCAGAGTTGAACATTCCCTTTCATAGAGTAGGTTTGAAACCCTCTTTTTATAGTGTCTGGAAGCAGGCATTTGGAGCGTTTTCAGGCCTATGCTTAAAATAGGAAATATCTACCTACAGAAACTAGACAGAAGCATTCTGAGAATCACGTTTGTGATGTGGGTACTCAACTAACAGTGTTGATCCATTCTTTTGATACAGCAGTTTTGAACCACACTTTTTGTAGAATCTGCAAGAGGATATTTGGATAGCTGTGAGGATTTCGTTGGAAACGGGAATGTCTTCAAAGAAAATCTAGACAGAAGCATTCTCAGAAACACCTTCGTGATGTTTGCAATCAAGTCACAGAGTTGAACCTTCCGTTTCATAGAGCAGGTTGGAAACACTCTTATTGTAGTATCTGGAAGTGGACATTTGGAGCGCTTTCAGGCCTATGGTGAAAAAGGAAATATCTTCCCATAAAAACGACATAGAAGCTATCTCAGGAAATTGTTTATGATGCATCTAATCAACTAACAGTGTTGAACCTTTGTACTGACAGAGCACTTTGAAACACTCTTTTTTTGGAATCTGCAAGTGGATATTTGGATCGCTTTGAGGATTTCGTTGGAAACGGGATGCAATATAAAACGTACACAGCAGCATACTCAGAAAATACTTTGCCATATTTCCATTCAAGTCACAGAGTGGAACATTCCCATTCATAGAGCAGGTTGGAAACACTCTTTTTGGAGTATCTGGAAGTGGACATTTGGAGCGCTTTCTGAACTATGGTGAAAAAGGAAATATCTTCCAATGAAAACAAGACAGAAGCATTCTGAGAAACTTATTTGTGATGTGTGTCCTCAACAAACGGACTTGAACCTTTCGTTTCATGCAGTACTTCTGGAACACTCTTTTTGAAGATTCTGCATTCGGATATTTGGATAGCTTTGAGGATTTCGTTGGAAACGGGCTTACATGTAAAAATTAGACAGCAGCATTCTCAGAAACTTCTTTGTGGTGTCTGCATTCAAGTCACAGAATTGAACATCCCCTCACATAGAGCAGTTGTGCAGCACTCTATTTGTAGTATCTGGAAGTGGACATTTGGAGGGCTTTGTAGCCTATCTGGAAAAAGGAAATATCTTCCCATGAATGCGAGATAGAAGTAATCTCAGAAACATGTTTATGCTGTACCTACTCAACTAACTGTGCTGAACATTTCTATTGATAGAGCAGTTTTGAGACACTCTTCTTTTGGAATCTGCAAGTGGATATTTGGATAGATTTGAGGATTTCGTTGGAAACGGGATTATATATAAAAAGTAGACAGCAGCATTCTCAGAAACTTCTTTGTGATGTTTGCATCCAGCTCTCAGAGTTGAACATTCCCTTTCATAGAGTAGGTTTGAAACCCTCTTTTTATAGTGTCTGGAAGCGGGCATTTGGAGCGCTTTCAGGCCTATGCTGAAAAAGGAAATATCTACCTATAGAAACTAGACAGAAGCATTCTGAGAATCACGTTTGTGATGTGGGTACTCAACTAACAGTGTTGATCCATTTTTTTGATACAGAAGTTTTGAACCACACTTTTTGTAGAATCTGCAAGTGGATATTTGGATAGCTGTGAGGATTTCGTTGGAAACGGGAATGTCTTCATAGAAAATTTAGACGGAAGCATTCTCAGAACCTTGATTGTGATGTGTGTTCTCCACTAACAGAGTTGAACCTTTCTTTTGACAGAACTGTTCTGAAACATTCTTTTTATAGAATCTGGAAGTGGATATTTGGAAAGCTTTGAGGATTTCGTTGGAAACGGGAATATCTTCAAATCAAATCTAGCCAGAAGCATTCTAAGAAACAGCTTAGGGATGTTTACATTCAAGTCACAGAGTTGAACATTCCCTTTCACAGAGCAGGTTTGAAACAATCTTCTCGTACTATCTGGCAGTGGACATTTTGAGCTCCTTGGGGCCTATGCTGAAAAAGGAAATATCTTCCGACAAAAACTAGACAGAAGCATTCGCAGAATCACGTTTGTGATGTGTGCACTCAACTGTCAGAATTGAACCTTGGTTTGGAGAGAGCACTCTTGAAACACTCTTTTTGTAGAATCTGCAGGTGGATATTTGGCTAGCTTTGAGGATTTCGTTGGAAACGGTAATGTCTTCAAAGAAAATCTAGACAGAAGCATTCTCCGAAACACCTTCGTGATGTTTGCAATCAAGTCACAGAGTTGAACCTTCCGTTTCATAGAGCAGGTTGGAAACACTCTTTTTGTAGTATCTGGAAGTGGACATTTGGAGTGCTTTCAGGCCTATGGTGAAAAAGGAAATATCTTCCCATAAAAACGACATAGAAGCTATCTCAGGAACTTGTTTATGATGCATCTAATCAACTAACAGTGTTGAACCTTTGTACTGACAGAGCAGTTTGAAACACTCTTTTTTTGGAATCTGCAAGTGGATATTTGGATCGCTTTGAGGATTTCGTTGGAAACGGGATGCAATATAAAACGTACACAGCAGCATACTCAGAAAATACTTTGCCATATTTCCATTCAAGTCACAGAGTGGAACATTCCCATTCATAGAGCAGGTTGGAAACACTCTTTTTGGAGTATCTGGAAGTGGACATTTGGAGCGCTTTCTGAACTATGGTGAAAAAGGAAATATCTTCCAATGAAAACAAGACAGAAGCATTCTGAGAAACTTATTTGTGATGTGTGTCCTCAACAAACGGACTTGAACCTTTCGTTTCATGCAGTACTTCTGGAACACTCTTTTTGAAGATTCTGCATGCGGATATTTGGATAGCTTTGAGGATTTCGTTGGAAACGGGCTTACATGTAAAAATTAGACAGCAGCATTCTCAGAAACTTCTTTGTGGTGTCTGCATTCAAGTCACAGAATTGAACTTCCCCTCACATAGAGCAGTTGTGCAGCACTCTATTTGTAGTATCTGGAAGTGGACATTTGGAGGGCTTTGTAGCCTATCTGGAAAAAGGAAATATCTTCCCATGAATGCGAGATAGAAGTAATCTCAGAAACATGTTTATGCTGTATCTACTCAACTAACTGTGCTGAACATTTCTATTGATAGAGCAGTTTTCAGACACTCTTCTTTTGGAATCTGCAAGTGGATATTTGGATAGATTTGAGGATTTCGTTGGAAACGGGATTATATATAAAAAGTAGACAGCAGCATTCTCAGAAACTTCTTTGTGATGTTTGCATCCAGCTCTCAGAGTTGAACATTCCCTTTCATAGAGTAGGTTTCAAACCCTCTTTTTATAGTGTCTGGAAGCGGGCATTTGGAGCGCTTTCAGGCCTATGCTTAAAATAGGAAATATCTACCTACAGAAACTAGACAGAAGCATTCTGAGAATCACGTTTGTGATGTGGGTACTCAACTAACAGTGTTGATCCATTCTTTTGATACAGCAGTTTTGAACCACACTTTTTGTAGAATCTGCAAGAGGATATTTGGATAGCTGTGAGGATTTCGTTGGAAACGGGAATGTCTTCAAAGAAAATCTAGACAGAAGCATTCTCAGAAACACCTTCGTGATGTTTGCAATCAAGTCACAGAGTTGAACCTTCCGTTTCATAGAGCAGGTTGGAAACACTCTTTTTGTAGTATCTGGAAGTGGACATTTGGAGGGCTTTGTAGCCTATCTGGAAAAAGGAAATATCTTCCCATGAATGCGAGATAGAAGTAATCTCAGAAACATGTTTATGCTGTATCTACTCAACTAACTGTGCTGAACATTTCTATTGATAGAGCAGTTTTCAGACACTCTTCTTTTGGAATCTGCAAGTGGATATTTGGATAGATTTGAGGATTTCGTTGGAAACGGGATTATATATAAAAAGTAGACAGCAGCATTCTCAGAAACTTCTTTGTGATGTTTGCATCCAGCTCTCAGAGTTGAACATTCCCTTTCATAGAGTAGGTTTGAAACCCTCTTTTTATAGTGTCTGGAAGCGGGCATTTGGAGCGCTTTCAGGCCTATGCTTAAAATAGGAAATATCTACCTACAGAAACTAGACAGAAGCATTCTGAGAATCACGTTTGTGATGTGGGTACTCAACTAACAGTGTTGATCCATTCTTTTGATACAGCAGTTTTGAACCACACTTTTTGTAGAATCTGCAAGAGGATATTTGGATAGCTGTGAGGATTTCGTTGGAAACGGGAATGTCTTCAAAGAAAATCTAGACAGAAGCATTCTCAGAAACACCTTCGTGATGTTTGCAATCAAGTCACAGAGTTGAACCTTCCGTTTCATAGAGCAGGTTGGAAACACTCTTATTGTAGTATCTGGAAGTGGACATTTGGAGCGCTTTCAGGCCTATGGTGAAAAAGGAAATATCTTCCCATAAAAACGACATAGAAGCTATCTCAGGAACTTGTTTATGATGCATCTAATCAACTAACAGTGTTGAACCTTTGTACTGACAGAGCAGTTTGAAACACTCTTTTTTTGGAATCTGCAAGTGGATATTTGGATCGCTTTGAGGATTTCGTTGGAAACGGGATGCAATATAAAACGTACACAGCAGCATACTCAGAAAATACTTTGCCATATTTCCATTCAAGTCACAGAGTGGAACATTCCCATTCATAGAGCAGGTTTGAAACACTCTTTTTGGAGTATCTGGAAGTGGACATTTGGAGCGCTTTCTGAACTATGGTGAAAAAGGAAATATCTTCCAATGAAAACAAGACAGAAGCATTCTGAGAAACTTATTTGTGATGTGTGTCCTCAACAAACGGACTTGAACCTTTCGTTTCATGCAGTACTTCTGGAACACTCTTTTTGAAGATTCTGCATGCGGATATTTGGATAGCTTTGAGGATTTCGTTGGAAACGGGCTTACATGTAAAAATTAGACAGCAGCATTCTCAGAAACTTCTTTGTGGTGTCTGCATTCAAGTCACAGAATTGAACTTCCCCTCACATAGAGCAGTTGTGCAGCACTCTATTTGTAGTATCTGGAAGTGGACATTTGGAGGGCTTTGTAGCCTATCTGGAAAAAGGAAATATCTTCCCATGAATGCGAGATAGAAGTAATCTCAGAAACATGTTTATGCTGTATCTACTCAACTAACTGTGCTGAACATTTCTATTGATAGAGCAGTTTTGAGACACTCTTCTTTTGGAATCTGCAAGTGGATATTTGGATAGATTTGAGGATTTCGTTGGAAACGGGATTATATATAAAAAGTAGACAGCAGCATTCTCAGAAACTTCTTTGTGATGTTTGCATCCAGCTCTCAGAGTTGAACATTCCCTTTCATAGAGTAGGTTTGAAACCCTCTTTTTATAGTGTCTGGAAGCGGGCATTTGGAGCGCTTTCAGGCCTATGCTGAAAAAGGAAATATCTACCTATAGAAACTAGACAGAAGCATTCTGAGAATCACGTTTGTGATGTGGGTACTCAACTAACAGTGTTGATCCATTCTTTTGATACAGCAGTTTTGAACCACACTTTTTGTAGAATCTGCAAGTGGATATTTGGATAGCTGTGAGGATTTCGTTGGAAACGGGAATGTCTTCATAGAAAATTTAGACAGAAGCATTCTCAGAACCTTGATTGTGATGTGTGTTCTCCACTAACAGAGTTGAACCTTTCTTTTGACAGAACTGTTCTGAAACATTCTTTTTGTAGAATCTGGAAGTGGATATTTGGAAAGCTTTGAGGATTTCGTTGGAAACGGGAATATCTTCAAATAAAATCTAGCCAGAAGCATTCTAAGAAACATCTTAGGGATGTTTACATTCAAGTCACAGAGTTGAACATTCCCTTTCACAGAGCAGGTTTGAAACAATCTTCTCGTACTATCTGGCAGTGGACATTTTGAGCTCCTTGGGGCCTATGCTGAAAAAGGAAATATCTTCCGACAAAAACTAGACAGAAGCATTCGCAGAATCACGTTTGTGATGTGTGCACTCAACTGTCAGAATTGAACCTTGGTTTGGACAGAGCACTTTTGAAACACTCTTTTTGTAGAATCTGCAGGTGGATATTTGGCTAGCTTTGAGGATTTCGTTGGAAACGGTAATGTCTTCAAAGAAAATCTAGACAGAAGCATTCTCAGAAACAACTTCGTGATGTTTGCAATCAAGTCACAGAGTTGAACCTTCCGTTTCATAGAGCAGGTTGGAAACACTCTTTTTGTAGTATCTGGAAGTGGACATTTGGAGGGCTTTGTAGCCTATCTGGAAAAAGGAAATATCTTCCCATGAATGCGAGATAGAAGTAATCTCAGAAACATGTTTATGCTGTATCTACTCAACTAACTGTGCTGAACATTTCTATTGATAGAGCAGTTTTGAGACACTCTTCTTTTGGAATCTGCAAGTGGATATTTGGATAGATTTGAGGATTTCGTTGGAAACGCGATTATATATAAAAAGTAGACAGCAGCATTCTCAGAAACTTCTTTGTGATGTTTGCATCCAGCTCTCAGAGTTGAACATTCCCTTTCATAGAGTAGGTTTGAAACCCTCTTTTTATAGTGTCTGGAAGCGGGCATTTGGAGCGCTTTCAGGCCTATGCTGAAAAAGGAAATATCTACCTATAGAAACTAGACAGAAGCATTCTGAGTATCACGTTTGTGATGTGGGTACTCAACTAACAGTGTTGATCCATTCTTTTGATACAGCAGTTTTGAACCACACTTTTTGTAGAATCTGCAAGTGGATATTTGGATAGCTGTGAGGATTTCGTTGGAAACGGGAATGTCTTCATAGAAAATTTAGACAGAAGCATTCTCAGAACCTTGATTGTGATGTGTGTTCTCCACTAACAGAGTTGAACCTTTCTTTTGACAGAACTGTTCTGAAACATTCTTTTTATAGAATCTGGAAGTGGATATTTGGAAAGCTTTGAGGATTTCGTTGGAAACGGGAATATCTTCAAATAAAATCTAGCCAGAAGCATTCTAAGAAACATCTTAGGGATGTTTACATTCAAGTCACAGAGTTGAACATTCCCTTTCACAGAGCAGGTTTGAAACAATCTTCTCGTACTATCTGGCAGTGGACATTTTGAGCTCCTTGGGGCCTATGGTGAAAAAGGAAATATCTTCCGACAAAAACTAGACAGAAGCATTCGCAGAATCACGTTTGTGATGTGTGCACTCAACTGTCAGAATTGAACCTTGGTTTGGACAGAGCACTTTTGAAACACTCTTTTTGTAGAATCTGCAGGTGGATATTGGCTAGCTTTGAGGATTTCGTTGGAAACGGTAATGTCTTCAAAGAAAATCTAGACGGAAGCATTCTCAGAAACACCTTCGTGATGTTTGCAATCAAGTCACAGAGTTGAACCTTCCGTTTCATAGAGCAGGTTGGAAACACTCTTTTTGTAGTATCTGGAAGTGGACATTTGGAGCGCTTTCAGGCCTATGGTGAAAAAGGAAATATCTTCCCATAAAAACGACATAGAAGCTATCTCAGGAACTTGTTTATGATGCATCTAATCAACTAACAGTGTTGAACCTTTGTACTGACAGAGCAGTTTGAAACACTCTTTTTTTGGAATCTGCAAGTGGATATTTGGATCGCTTTGAGGATTTCGTTGGAAACGGGATGCAATATAAAACGTACACAGCAGCATACTCAGAAAATACTTTGCCATATTTCCATTCAAGTCACAGAGTGGAACATTCCCATTCATAGAGCAGGTTGGAAACACTCTTTTTGGAGTATCTGGAAGTGGACATTTGGAGCGCTTTCTGAACTATGGTGAAAAAGGAAATATCTTCCAATGAAAACAAGACAGAAGCATTCTGAGAAACTTATTTGTGATGTGTGTCCTCAACAAACGGACTTGAACCTTTCGTTTCATGCAGTACTTCTGGAACACTCTTTTTGAAGATTCTGCATGCGGATATTTGGATAGCTTTGAGGATTTCGTTGGAAACGGGCTTACATGTAAAAATTAGACAGCAGCATTCTCAGAAACTTCTTTGTGGTGTCTGCATTCAAGTCACAGAATTGAACATCCCCTCACATAGAGCAGTTGTGCAGCACTCTATTTGTAGTATCTGGAAGTGGACATTTGGAGGGCTTTGTAGCCTATGTGGAAAAAGGAAATATCTTCCCATGAATGCGAGATAGAAGTAATCTCAGAAACATGTTTATGCTGTATCTACTCAACTAACTGTGCTGAACATTTCTATTGATAGAGCAGTTTTGAGACACTCTTCTTTTGGAATCTGCAAGTGGATATTTGGATAGATTTGAGGATTTCGTTGGAAACGGGATTATATATAAAAAGTAGACAGCAGCATTCTCAGAAACTTCTTTGTGATGTTTGCATCCAGCTCTCAGAGTTGAACATTCCCTTTCATAGAGTAGGTTTGAAACCCTCTTTTTATAGTGTCTGGAAGCGGGCATTTGGAGCGCTTTCAGGCCTATGCTGAAAAAGGAAATATCTACCTATAGAAACTAGACAGAAGCATTCTGAGAATCACGTTTGTGATGTGGGTACTCAACTAACAGTGTTGATCCATTCTTTTGATACAGCAGTTTTGAACCACACTTTTTGTAGAATCTGCAAGTGGATATTTGGATAGCTGTGAGGATTTCGTTGGAAACGGGAATGTCTTCATAGAAAATTTAGACAGAAGCATTCTCAGAACCTTGATTGTGATGTGTGTTCTCCACTAACAGAGTTGAACCTTTCTTTTGACAGAACTGTTCTGAAACATTCTTTTTATAGAATCTGGAAGTGGATATTTGGAAAGCTTTGAGGATTTCGTTGGAAACGGGAATATCTTCAAATAAAATCTAGCCAGAAGCATTCTAAGAAACATCTTAGGGATGTTTACATTCAAGTCACAGAGTTGAACATTCCCTTTCACAGAGCAGGTTTGAAACAATCTTCTCGTACTATCTGGCAGTGGACATTTTGAGCTCCTTGGGGCCTATGCTGAAAAAGGAAATATCTTCCGACAAAAACTAGACAGAAGCATTCGCAGAATCACGTTTGTGATGTGTGCACTCAACTGTCAGAATTGAACCTTGGTTTGGACAGAGCACTTTTGAAACACTCTTTTTGTAGAATCTGCAGGTGGATATTTGGCTAGCTTTGAGGATTTCGTTGGAAACGGTAATGTCTTCAAAGAAAATCTAGACAGAAGCATTCTCAGAAACACCTTCGTGATGTTTGCAATCAAGTCACAGAGTTGAACCTTCCGTTTCATAGAGCAGGTTGGAAACACTCTTTTTGTAGTATCTGGAAGTGGACATTTGGAGCGCTTTCAGGCCTATGGTGAAAAAGGAAATATCTTCCCATAAAAACGACATAGAAGCTATCTCAGGAACTTGTTTATGATGCATCTAATCAACTAACAGTGTTGAACCTTTGTACTGACAGAGCAGTTTGAAACACTCTTTTTTTGGAATCTGCAAGTGGATATTTGGATCGCTTTGAGGATTTCGTTGGAAACGGGATGCAATATAAAACGTACACAGCAGCATACTCAGAAAATACTTTGCCATATTTCCATTCAAGTCACAGAGTGGAACATTCCCATTCATAGAGCAGGTTTGAAACACTCTTTTTGGAGTATCTGGAAGTGGACATTTGGAGCGCTTTCTGAACTATGGTGAAAAAGGAAATATCTTCCAATGAAAACAAGACAGAAGCATTCTGAGAAACTTATTTGTGATGTGTGTCCTCAACAAACGGACTTGAACCTTTCGTTTCATGCAGTACTTCTGGAACACTCTTTTTGAAGATTCTGCATGCGGATATTTGGATTGCTTTGAGGATTTCGTTGGAAACGGGCTTACATGTAAAAATTAGACAGCAGCATTCTCAGAAACTTCTTTGTGGTGTCTGCATTCAAGTCACAGAATTGAACTTCCCCTCACATAGAGCAGTTGTGCAGCACTCTATTTGTAGTATCTGGAAGTGGACATTTGGAGGGCTTTGTAGCCTATCTGGAAAAAGGAAATATCTTCCCATGAATGCGAGATAGAAGTAATCTCAGAAACATGTTTATGCTGTATCTACTCAACTAACTGTGCTGAACATTTCTATTGATAGAGCAGTTTTGAGACACTCTTCTTTTGGAATCTGCAAGTGGATATTTGGATAGATTTGAGGATTTCGTTGGAAACGGGATTATATATAAAAAGTAGACAGCAGCATTCTCAGAAACATCTTTGTGATGTTTGCATCCAGCTCTCAGAGTTGAACATTCCCTTTCATAGAGTAGGTTTGAAACCCTCTTTTTATAGTGTCTGGAAGCGGGCATTTGGAGCGCTTTCAGGCCTATGCTTAAAATAGGAAATATCTACCTACAGAAACTAGACAGAAGCATTCTGAGAATCACGTTTGTGATGTGGGTACTCAACTAACAGTGTTGATCCATTCTTTTGATACAGCAGTTTTGAACCACACTTTTTGTAGAATCTGCAAGAGGATATTTGGATAGCTGTGAGGATTTCGTTGGAAACGGGAATGTCTTCAAAGAAAATCTAGACAGAAGCATTCTCAGAAACACCTTCGTGATGTTTGCAATCAAGTCACAGAGTTGAACCTTCCGTTTCATAGAGCAGGTTGGAAACACTCTTATTGTAGTATCTGGAAGTGGACATTTGGAGCGCTTTCAGGCCTATGGTGAAAAAGGAAATATCTTCCCATAAAAACGACATAGAAGCTATCTCAGGAACTTGTTTATGATGCATCTAATCAACTAACAGTGTTGAACCTTTGTACTGACAGAGCAGTTTGAAACACTCTTTTTTTGGAATCTGCAAGTGGATATTTGGATCACTTTGAGGATTTCGTTGGAAACGGGATGCAATATAAAACGTACACAGCAGCATACTCAGAAAATACTTTGCCATATTTCCATTCAAGTCACAGAGTGGAACATTCCCATTCATAGAGCAGGTTGGAAACACTCTTTTTGGAGTATCTGGAAGTGGACATTTGGAGCGCTTTCTGAACTATGGTGAAAAAGGAAATATCTTCCAATGAAAACAAGACAGAAGCATTCTGAGAAACTTATTTGTGATGTGTGTCCTCAACAAACGGACTTGAACCTTTCGTTTCATGCAGTACTTCTGGAACACTTTTTGAAGATTCTGCATGCGGATATTTGGATAGCTTTGAGGATTTCGTTGGAAACGGGCTTACATGTAAAAATTAGACAGCAGCATTCTCAGAAACTTCTTTGTGGTGTCTGCATTCAAGTCACAGAGTTGAACTTCCCCTCACATAGAGCAGTTGTGCAGCACTCTATTTGTAGTATCTGGAAGTGGACATTTGGAGGGCTTTGTAGCCTATCTGGAAAAAGGAAATATCTTCCCATGAATGCGAGATAGAAGTAATCTCAGAAACATGTTTATGCTGTATCTACTCAACTAACTGTGCTGAACATTTCTATTGATAGAGCAGTTTTGAGACACTCTTCTTTTGGAATCTGCAAGTGGATATTTGGATAGATTTGAGGATTTCGTTGGAAACGGGATTATATATAAAAAGTAGACAGCAGCATTCTCAGAAACTTCTTTGTGATGTTTGCATCCAGCTCTCAGAGTTGAACATTCCCTTTCATAGAGTAGGTTTGAAACCCTCTTTTTATAGTGTCTGGAAGCGGGCATTTGGAGCGCTTTCAGGCCTATGCTTAAAATAGGAAATATCTACCTACAGAAACTAGACAGAAGCATTCTGAGAATCACGTTTGTGATGTGGGTACTCAACTAACAGTGTTGATCCATTCTTTTGATACAGCAGTTTTGAACCACACTTTTTGTAGAATCTGCAAGTGGATATTTGGATAGCTGTGAGGATTTCGTTGGAAACGGGAATGTCTTCATAGAAAATTTAGACAGAAGCATTCTCAGAAACACCTTCGTGATGTTTGCAATCAAGTCACAGAGTTGAACCTTCCGTTTCATAGAGCAGGTTGGAAACACTCTTATTGTAGTATCTGGAAGTGGACATTTGGAGCGCTTTCAGGCCTATGGTGAAAAAGGAAATATCTTCCCATAAAAACGACATAGAAGCTATCTCAGGAACTTGTTTATGTTGCATCTAATCAACTAACAGTGTTGAACCTTTGTACTGACAGAGCAGTTTGAAACACTCTTTTTTTGGAATCTGCAAGTGGATATTTGGATCGCTTTGAGGATTTCGTTGGAAACGGGATGCAATATAAAACGTACACAGCAGCATACTCAGAAAATACTTTGCCATATTTCCATTCAAGTCACAGAGTGGAACATTCCCATTCATAGAGCAGGTTGGAAACACTCTTTTTGGAATATCTGGAAGTGGACATTTGGAGCGCTTTCTGAACTATGGTGAAAAAGGAAATATCTTCCAATGAAAACAAGACAGAAGCATTCTGAGAAACTTATTTGTGATGCGTGTCCTCAACTAACGGACTCGAACCTTTCGTTTCATGCAGTACTTCTGGAACACTCTTTTTGAAGATTCTGCATGCGGATATTTGGTTAGCTTTGAGGATTTCGTTGGAAACGGGCTTACATGTAAAAATTAGACAGCAGCATTCTCAGAAACTTCTTTGTGGTGTCTGCATTCAAGTCACAGAATTGAACATCCCCTCACATAGAGCAGTTGTGCAGCACTCTATTTGTAGTATCTCGAAGTGGACATTTGGAGGGCTTTGTAGCCTATCTGGAAAAAGGAAATATCTTCCCATGAATGCGAGATAGAAGTAATCTCAGAAACATGTTTATGCTGTATCTACTCAACTAACTGTGCTGAACATTTCTATTGATAGAGCAGTTTTCAGACACTCTTCTTTTGGAATCTGCAAGTGGATATTTGGATAGATTTGAGGATTTCGTTGGAAACGGGATTATATATAAAAAGTAGACAGCAGCATTCTCAGAAACTTCTTTGTGATGTTTGCATCCAGCTCTCAGAGTTGAACATTCCCTTTCATAGAGTAGGTTTGAAACCCTCTTTTTATAGTGTCTGGAAGCGGGCATTTGGAGCGCTTTCAGGCCTATGCTGAAAAAGGAAATATCTACCTATAGAAACTAGACAGAAGCATTCTGAGAATCACGTTTGTGATGTGGGTACTCAACTAACAGTGTTGATCCATTCTTTTGATACAGCAGTTTTGAACCACACTTTTTGTAGAATCTGCAAGTGGATATTTGGATAGCTGTGAGGATTTCGTTGGAAACGGGAATGTCTTCATAGAAAATTTAGACAGAAGCATTCTCAGAACCTTGATTGTGATGTGTGTTCTCCACTAACAGAGTTGAACCTTTCTTTTGACAGAACTGTTCTGAAACATTCTTTTTGTAGAATCTGGAAGTGGATATTTGGAAAGCTTTGAGGATTTCGTTGGAAACGGGAATATCTTCAAATCAAATCTAGCCAGAAGCATTCTAAGAAACATCTTAGGGATGTTTACATTCAAGTCACAGAGTTGAACATTCCCTTTCACAGAGCAGGTTTGAAACAATCTTCTCGTACTATCTGGCAGTGGACATTTTGAGCTCCTTGGGGCCTATGCTGAAAAAGGAAATATCTTCCGACAAAAACTAGACAGAAGCATTCGCAGAATCACGTTTGTGATGTGTGCACTCAACTGTCAGAATTGAACCTTGGTTTGGACAGAGCACATTTGAAACACTCTTTTTGTAGAATCTGCAGGTGGATATTTGGCTAGCTTTGAGGATTTCGTTGGAAACGGTAATGTCTTCAAAGAAAATCTAGACAGAAGCATTCTCAGAAACACCTTCGTGATGTTTGCAATCAAGTCACAGAGTTGAACCTTCCGTTTCATAGAGCAGGTTGGAAACACTCTTTTTGTAGTATCTGGAAGTGGACATTTGGAGGGCTTTGTAGCCTATGTGGAAAAAGGAAATATCTTCCCATGAATGCGAGATAGAAGTAATCTCAGAAACATGTTTATGCTGTATCTACTCAACTAACTGTGCTGAACATTTCTATTGATAGAGCAGTTTTGAGACACTCTTCTTTTGGAATCTGCAAGTGGATATTTGGAGAGATTTGAGGATTTCGTTGGAAACGGGATTATATATAAAAAGTAGACAGCAGCATTCTCAGAAACTTCTTTGTGATGTTTGCATCCAGCTCTCAGAGTTGAACATTCCCTTTCATAGAGTAGGTTTGAAACCCTCTTTTTATAGTGTCTGGAAGCGGGCATTTGGAGCGCTTTCAGGCCTATGCTTAAAATAGGAAATATCTACCTACAGAAACTAGACAGAAGCATTCTGAGAATCTCGTTTGTGATGTGGGTACTCAACTAACAGTGTTGATCCATTCTTTTGATACAGCAGTTTTGAACCACACTTTTTGTAGAATCTGCAAGAGGATATTTGGATAGCTGTGAGGATTTCGTTGGAAACGGGAATGTCTTCAAAGAAAATCTAGACAGAAACATTCTCAGAAACACCTTCGTGATGTTTGCAATCAAGTCACAGAGTTGAACCTTCCGTTTCATAGAGCAGGTTGCAAACACTCTTTTTGTAGTATCTGGAAGTGGACATTTGGAGCGCTTTCAGGCCTATGGTGAAAAAGGAAATATCTTCCAATAAAAACGACATAGAAGCTATCTCAGGAACTTGTTTATGATGCATCCAATCAACTAACAGTGTTGAACATTTGTACTGACAGAGCAGTGTGAAACACTCTTTTTTTTGGAATCTGCAAGTGGATATTAGGATCGCTTTGAGGATTTCGTTGGAAACGGGATGCAATATAAAACGTACACAGCAGCATACTCAGAAAATACTTTGCCATATTTCCATTCAAGTCACAGAGTGGAACATTCCCATTCATAGAACAGGTTGGAAACACTCCTTTTGTAGTATCTGGAAGTGGACATTTGGAGCGCTTTCTGAACTATGGTGAAAAAGGAAATATCTTCGAATGAAAACAAGACAGAAGCATTCTGGGAAACTTATTTGTGATGTGTGTCCTCAACTAACGGACTTGAACCTTTCGTTTCATGCAGTACTTCTGGAACACTCTTTTTGAAGATTCTGCATGCGGATATTTGGATAGCTTTGAGGATTTCGTTGGAAACGGGCTTACATATAAAAATTAGACAGCAGCATTCTCAGAAACTTCTTTGTGGTGTCTGCATTCAAGTCACAGAATTGAACATCCCCTCACATAGAGCAGTTGTGCAGCACTCTATTTGTAGTATCTCGAAGTGGACATTTGGAGGGCTTTGTAGCCTATCTGGAAAAAGGAAATATCTTCCCATGAATGCGAGATAGAAGTAATCTCAGAAACATGTTTATGCTGTATCTACTCAACTAACTGTGCTGAACATTTCTATTGATAGAGCAGTTTTGAGACACTCTTCTTTTGGAATCTGCTAGTGGATATTTGGATAGATTTGAGGATTTCATTGGAAACGGGATTATATATAAAAAGTAGACAGCAGCATTCTCAGAAACTTCTTTGTGATGTTTGCATCCAGCTCTCAGAGTTGAACATTCCCTTTCATAGAGTAGGTTTGAAACCCTCTTTTTATAGTGTCTGGAAGCGGGCATTTGGAGCGCTTTCAGGCCTATGCTTAAAATAGGAAATATCTACCTACAGAAACTAGACAGAAGCATTCTGAGAATCTCGTTTGTGATGTGGGTACTCAACTAACAGTGTTGATCCATTCTTTTGATACAGCAGTTTTGAACCACACTTTTTGTAGAATCTGCAAGAGGATATTTGGATAGCTGTGAGGATTTCGTTGGAAACGGGAATGTCTTCAAAGAAAATCTAGACAGAAGCATTCTCAGAAATACCTTCGTGATGTTTGCAATCAAGTCACAGAGTTGAACCTTCCGTTTCATAGAGCAGGTTGGAAACACTCTTATTGTAGTATCTGGAAGTGGACATTTGGAGCGCTTTCAGGCCTATGGTGAAAAAGGAAATATCTTCCCATAAAAACGATATAGAAGCTATCTCAGGAACTTGTTTATGAGGCATCTAATCAACTAACAGTGTTGAACCTTTGTACTGACAGAGCAGTTTGAAACACTCTTTTTTTGGAATCTGCAAGTGGATATTTGGATCGCTTTGAGGATTTCGTTGGAAACGGGATGCAATATAAAACGTACACAGCAGCATACTCAGAAAATACTTTGCCATATTTCCATTCAAGTCACAGAGTGGAACATTCCCATTCATAGAGCAGGTTGGAAACACTCTTTTTGGAGTATCTGGAAGTGGACATTTGGAGCGCTTTCTGAACTATGGTGAAAAAGGAAATATCTTCCAATGAAAACAAGACAGAAGCATTCTGAGAAACTTATTTGTGATGTGTGTCCTCAACAAACGGACTTGAACCTTTCGTTTCATGCAGTACTTCTGGAACACTCTTTTTGAAGATTCTGCATGCGGATATTTGGATTGCTTGAGGATTTCGTTGGAAACGGGCTTACATGTAAAAATTAGACAGCAGCATTCTCAGGAAACTTCTTTGTGGTGTCTGCATTCAAGTCACAGAGTTGAACTTCCCCTCACATAGAGCAGTTGTGCAGCACTCTATTTGTAGTATCTGGAAGGGGACATTTGGAGGGCTTTGTAGCCTATCTGGAAAAAGGAAATATCTTCCCATGAATGCGAGATAGAAGTAATCTCAGAAACATGTTTATGCTGTATCTACTCAACTAACTGTGCTGAACATTTCTATTGATAGAGCAGTTTTGAGACACTCTTCTTTTGGAATCTGCAAGTGGATATTTGGATAGATTTGAGGATTTCGTTGGAAACGGGATTATATATAAAAAGTAGACAGCAGCATTCTCAGAAACTTCTTTGTGATGTTTGCATCCAGCTCTCAGAGTTGAACATTCCCTTTCATAGAGTAGGTTTGAAACCCTCTTTTTATAGTGTCTGGAAGCGGGCATTTGGAGCGCTTTCAGGCCTATGCTTAAAATAGGAAATATCTACCTACAGAAACTAGACAGAAGCATTCTGAGAATCACGTTTGTGATGTGGGTACTCAACTAACAGTGTTGATCCATTCTTTTGATACAGCAGTTTTGAACCACACTTTTTGTAGAATCTGCAAGAGGATATTTGGATAGCTGTGAGGATTTCGTTGGAAACGGGAATGTCTTCAAAGAAAATCTAGACAGAAGCATTCTCAGAAACACCTTCGTGATGTTTGCAATCAAGTCACAGAGTTGAACCTTCCGTTTCATAGAGCAGGTTGGAAACACTCTTATTGTAGTATCTGGAAGTGGACATTTGAGCGCTTTCAGGCCTATGGTGAAAAAGGAAATATCTTCCCATAAAAACGACATAGAAGCTATCTCAGGAACTTGTTTATGATGCATCTAATCAACTAACAGTGTTGAACCTTTGTACTGACAGAGCAGTTTGAAACACTCTTTTTTTGGAATCTGCAAGTGGATATTTGGATCGCTTTGAGGATTTCGTTGGAAACGGGATGCAATATAAAACGTACACAGCAGCATACTCAGAAAATACTTTGCCATATTTCCATTCAAGTCACAGAGTGGAACATTCCCATTCATAGAGCAGGTTGGAAACACTCTTTTTGGAGTATCTGGAAGTGGACATTTGGAGCGCTTTCTGAACTATGGTGAAAAAGGAAATATCTTCCAATGAAAACAACACAGAAGCATTCTGAGAAACTTATTTGTGATGTGTGTCCTCAACAAACGGACTTGAACCTTTCGTTTCATGCAGTACTTCTGGAACACTCTTTTTGAAGATTCTGCATGCGGATATTTGGATAGCTTTGAGGATTTCGTTGGAAACGGGCTTACATGTAAAAATTAGACAGCAGCATTCTCAGAAACTTCTTTGTGGTGTCTGCATTCAAGTCACAGAATTGAACTTCCCCTCACATAGAGCAGTTGTGCAGCACTCTATTTGTAGTATCTGGAAGTGGACATTTGGAGGGCTTTGTAGCCTATCTGGAAAAAGGAAATATCTTCCCATGAATGCGAGATAGAAGTAATCTCAGAAACATGTTTATGCCGTATCTACTCAACTAACTGTGCTGAACATTTCTATTGATAGAGCAGTTTTGAGACACTCTTCTTTTGGAATCTGCAAGTGGATATTTGGATAGATTTGAGGATTTCGTTGGAAACGGGATTATATATAAAAAGTAGACAGCAGCATTCTCAGAAACTTCTTTGTGATGTTTGCATCCAGCTCTCAGAGTTGAACATTCCCTTTCATAGAGTAGGTTTGAAACCCTCTTTTTATAGTGTCTGGAAGCGGGCATTTGGAGCGCTTTCAGGCCTATGCTTAAAATAGGAAATATCTACCTACAGAAACTAGACAGAAGCATTCTGAGAATCACGTTTGTGATGTGGGTACTCAACTAACAGTGTTGATCCATTCTTTTGATACAGCAGTTTTGAACCACACTTTTTGTAGAATCTGCAAGAGGATATTTGGATAGCTGTGAGGATTTCGTTGGAAACGGGAATGTCTTCAAAGAAAATCTAGACAGAAGCATTCTCAGAAACACCTTCGTGATGTTTGCAATCAAGTCACAGAGTTGAACCTTCCGTTTCATAGAGCAGGTTGGAAACACTCTTATTGTAGTATCTGGAAGTGGACATTTGGAGCGCTTTCAGGCCTATGGTGAAAAAGGAAATATCTTCCCATAAAAACGACATAGAAGCTATCTCAGGAACTTGTTTATGATGCATCTAATCAACTAACAGTGTTGAACCTTTGTACTGACAGAGCAGTTTGAAACACTCTTTTTTTGGAATCTGCAAGTGGATATTTGGATCGCTTTGAGGATTTCGTTGGAAACGGGATGCAATATAAAACGTACACAGCAGCATACTCAGAAAATACTTTGCCATATTTCCATTCAAGTCACAGAGTGGAACATTCCCATTCATAGAGCAGGTTGGAAACACTCTTTTTGGAGTATCTGGAAGTGGACATTTGGAGCGCTTTCTGAACTATGGTGAAAAAGGAAATATCTTCCAATGAAAACAAGACAGAAGCATTCTGAGAAACTTATTTGTGATGTGTGTCCTCAACAAACGGACTTGAACCTTTCGTTTCATGCAGTACTTCTGGAACACTCTTTTTGAAGATTCTGCATGCGGATATTTGGATAGCTTTGAGGATTTCGTTGAAAACGGGCTTACATGTAAAAATTAGACAGCAGCATTCTCAGAAACTTCTTTGTGGTGTCTGCATTCAAGTCACAGAATTGAACTTCCCCTCACATAGAGCAGTTGTGCAGCACTCTATTTGTAGTATCTCGAAGTGGACATTTGGAGGGCTTTGTAGCCTATCTGGAAAAAGGAAATATCTTCCCATGAATGCGAGATAGAAGTAATCTCAGAAACATGTTTATGCTGTATCTACTCAACTAACTGTGCTGAACATTTCTATTGATAGAGCAGTTTTGAGACACTCTTCTTTTGGAATCTGCAAGTGGATATTTGGATAGATTTGAGGATTTCGTTGGAAACGGGATTATATATAAAAAGTAGACAGCAGCATTCTCAGAAACTTCTTTGTGATGTTTGCATCCAGCTCTCAGAGTTGAACATTCCCTTTCATAGAGTAGGTTTGAAACCCTCTTTTTATAGTGTCTGGAAGCGGGCATTTGGAGCGCTTTCAGGCCTATGCTGAAAAAGGAAATATCTACCTATAGAAACTAGACAGAAGCATTCTGAGAATCACGTTTGTGATGTGGGTACTCAACTAACAGTGTTGATCCATTCTTTTGATACAGCAGTTTTGAACCACACTTTTTGTAGAATCTGCAAGTGGATATTTGGATAGCTGTGAGGATTTCGTTGGAAACGGGAATGTCTTCATAGAAAATTTAGACAGAAGCATTCTCAGAACCTTGATTGTGATGTGTGTTCTCCACTAACAGAGTTGAACCTTTCTTTTGACAGAACTGTTCTGAAACATTCTTGTTATAGAATCTGGAAGTGGATATTTGGAAAGCTTTGAGGATTTCGTTGGAAACGGGAATATCTTCAAATCAAATCTAGCCAGAAGCATTCTAAGAAACATCTTAGGGATGTTTACATTCAAGTCACAGAGTTGAACATTCCCTTTCACAGAGCAGGTTTGAAACAATCTTCTCGTACTATCTGGCAGTGGACATTTTGAGCTCCTTGGGGCCTATGCTGAAAAAGGAAATATCTTCCGACAAAAACTAGACAGAAGCATTCACAGAATCGCGTTTGTGATGTGTGCACTCAACTGTCAGAATTGAACCTTGGTTTGGACAGAGCACTTTTGAAACACTCTTTTTGTAGAATCTGCAGGTGGATATTTGGCTAGCTTTGAGGATTTCGTTGGAAACGGTAATGTCTTCAAAGAAAATCTAGACAGAAACATCCTCAGAAACACCTTCGTGATGTTTGCAATCAAGTCACAGAGTTGAACCTTCCGTTTCATAGAGCAGGTTGGAAACACTCATTTTGTAGTATCTGGAAGTGGACATTTGGAGCGCTTTCAGGCCTATGGTGTAAAAGGAAATATCTTCCCATAAAAGCGACATAGAAGCTATCTCAGGAACTTGTTTATGATGCATCTAATCAACTAACAGTGTTGAACCTTTGTACTGACAGAGCAGTTTGAAACACTCTTTTTTTGGAATCTGCAAGTGGATATTTGGATCGCTTTGAGGATTTCGTTGGAAACGGGATGCAATATAAAACGTACACAGCAGCATACTCAGAAAATACTTTGCCATATTTCCATTCAAGTCAGAGAGTGGAACATTCCCATTCATAGAGCAGGTTTGAAACACTCTTTTTGGAGTATCTGGAAGTGGACATTTGGAGCGCTTTCTGAACTATGGTGAAAAAGGAAATATCTTCCAATGAAAACAAGACAGAAGCATTCTGAGAAACTTATTTGTGATGTGTGTCCTCAACAAACGGACTTGAACCTTTCGTTTCATGCAGTACTTCTGGAACACTCTTTTTGAAGATTCTGCATGCGGATATTTGGATAGCTTTGAGGATTTCGTTGGAAACGGGCTTACATGTAAAAATTAGACAGCAGCATTCTCAGAAACTTCTTTGTGGTGTCTGCATTCAAGTCACAGAATTGAACTTCCCCTCACATAGAGCAGTTGTGCAGCACTCTATTTGTAGTATCTGGAAGTGGACATTTGGAGGGCTTTGTAGCCTATCTGGAAAAAGGAAATATCTTCCCATGAATGCGAGATAGAAGTAATCTCAGAAACATGTTTATGCTGTATCTACTCAACTAACTGTGCTGAACATTTCTATTGATAGAGCAGTTTTGAGACACTCTTCTTTTGGAATCTGCAAGTGGATATTTGGATAGATTTGAGGATTTCGTTGGAAACGGGATTATATATCAAAAGTAGACAGCAGCATTCTCAGAAACTTCTTTGTGATGTTTGCATCCAGCTCTCAGAGTTGAACATTCCCTTTCATAGAGTAGGTTTGAAACCCTCTTTTTATAGTGTCTGCAAGCGGGCATTTGGAGCGCTTTCAGGCCTATGCTTAAAATAGGAAATATCTACCTACAGAAACTAGACAGAAGCATTCTGAGAATCACGTTTGTGATGTGGGTACTCAACTAACAGTGTTGATCCATTCTTTTGATACAGCAGTTTTGAACCACACTTTTTGTAGAATCTGCAAGAGGATATTTGGATAGCTGTGAGGATTTCGTTGGAAACGGGAATGTCTTCAAAGAAAATCTAGACAGAAGCATTCTCAGAAACACCTTCGTGATGTTTGCAATCAAGTCACAGAGTTGAACCTTCCGTTTCATAGAGCAGGTTGGAAACACTCTTATTGTAGTATCTGGAAGTGGACATTTGGAGCGCTTTCAGGCCTATGGTGAAAAAGGAAATATCTTCCCATAAAAACGACATAGAAGCTATCTCAGGAACTTTTTTATGATGCATCTAATCAACTAACAGTGTTGAACCTTTGTACTGACAGAGCAGTTTGAAACACTCTTTTTTTGGAATCTGCAAGTGGATATTTGGATCGCTTTGAGGATTTCGTTGGAAACGGGATGCAATATAAAACGTACACAGCAGCATACTCAGAAAATACTTTGCCATATTTCCATTCAAGTCACAGAGTGGAACATTCCCATTCATAGAGCAGGTTGGAAACACTCTTTTTGGAGTATCTGGAAGTGGACATTTGGAGCGCTTTCTGAACTATGGTGAAAAAGGAAATATCTTCCAATGAAAACAAGACAGAAGCATTCTGAGAAACTTATTTGTGATGTGTGTCCTCAACAAACGGACTTGAACCTTTCGTTTCATGCAGTACTTCTGGAACACTCTTTTTGAAGATTCTGCATGCGGATATTTGGATAGCTTTGAGGATTTCGTTGGAAACGGGCTTACATGTAAAAATTAGACAGCAGCATTCTCAGAAACTTCTTTGTGGTGTCTGCATTCAAGTCACAGAATTGAACTTCCCCTCACATAGAGCAGTTGTGCAGCACTCTATTTGTAGTATCTGGAAGTGGACATTTGGAGGGCTTTGTAGCCTATCTGGAAAAAGGAAATATCTTCCCATGAATGCGAGATAGAAGTAATCTCAGAAACATGTTTATGCTGTATCTACTCAACTAACTGTGCTGAACATTTCTATTGATAGAGCAGTTTTGAGACACTCTTCTTTTGGAATCTGCAAGTGGATATTTGGATAGATTTGAGGATTTCGTTGGAAACGGGATTATATATAAAAAGTAGACAGCAGCATTCTCAGAAACTTCTTTGTGATGTTTGCATCCAGCTCTCAGAGTTGAACATTCCCTTTCATAGAGTAGGTTTGAAACCCTCTTTTTATAGTGTCTGGAAGCGGGCATTTGGAGCGCTTTCAGGCCTATGCTTAAAATAGGAAATATCTACCTACAGAAACTAGACAGAAGCATTCTGAGAATCACGTTTGTGATGTGGGTACTCAACTAACAGTGTTGATCCATTCTTTTGATACAGCAGTTTTGAACCACACTTTTTGTAGAATCTGCAAGTGGATATTTGGATAGCTGTGAGGATTTCGTTGGAAACGGGAATGTCTTCAAAGAAAATCTAGACAGAAGCATTCTCAGAAACACCTTCGTGATGTTTGCAATCAAGTCACAGAGTTGAACCTTCCGTTTCATAGAGCAGGTTGGAAACACTCTTATTGTAGTATCTGGAAGTGGACATTTGGAGCGCTTTCAGGCCTATGGTGAAAAAGGAAATATCTTCCCATAAAAACGACATAGAAGCTATCTCAGGAACTTGTTTATGATGCATCTAATCAACTAACAGTGTTGAACCTTTGTACTGACAGAGCACTTTGAAACACTCTTTTTTTGGAATCTGCAAGTGGATATTTGGATCGCTTTGAGGATTTCGTTGGAAACGGGATGCAATATAAAACGTACACAGCAGCATACTCAGCAAAATACTTTGCCATATTTCCATTCAAGTCACAGAGTGGAACATTCCCATTCATAGAGCAGGTTGGAAACACTCTTTTTGGAGTATCTGGAAGTGGACATTTGGAGCGCTTTCTGAACTATGGTGAAAAAGGAAATATCTTCCAATGAAAACAAGACAGAAGCATTCTGAGAAACTTATTTGTGATGTGTGTCCTCAACAAACGGACTTGAACCTTTCGTTTCATGCAGTACTTCTGGAACACTCTTTTTGAAGATTCTGCATGCGGATATTTGGATAGCTTTGAGGATTTCGTTGGAAACGGGCTTACATGTAAAAATTAGACAGCAGCATTCTCAGAAACTTCTTTGTGGTGTCTGCATTCAAGTCACAGAATTGAACTTCCCCTCACATAGAGCAGTTGTGCAGCACTCTATTTGTAGTATCTGGAAGTGGACATTTGGAGGGCTTTGTAGCCTATCTGGAAAAAGGAAATATCTTCCCATGAATGCGAGATAGAAGTAATCTCAGAAACATGTTTATGCTGTATCTACTCAACTAACTGTGCTGAACATTTCTATTGATAGAGCAGTTTTCAGACACTCTTCTTTTGGAATCTGCAAGTGGATATTTGGATAGATTTGAGGATTTCGTTGGAAACGGGATTATATATAAAAAGTAGACAGCAGCATTCTCAGAAACTTCTTTGTGATGTTTGCATCCAGCTCTCAGAGTTGAACATTCCCTTTCATAGAGTAGGTTTGAAACCCTCTTTTTATAGTGTCTGGAAGCGGGCATTTGGAGCGCTTTCAGGCCTATGCTGAAAAAGGAAATATCTACCTATAGAAACTAGACAGAAGCATTCTGAGAATCACGTTTGTGATGTGGGTACTCAACTAACAGTGTTGATCCATTCTTTTGATACAGCAGTTTTGAACCACACTTTTTGTAGAATCTGGAAGTGGATATTTGGAAAGCTTTGAGGATTTCGTTGGAAACGGGAATATCTTCAAATAAAATCTAGCCAGAAGCATTCTAAGAAACATCTTAGGGATGTTTACATTCAAGTCACAGAGTTGAACATTCCCTTTCACAGAGCAGGTTTGAAACAATCTTCTCGTACTATCTGGCAGTGGACATTTTGAGCTCCTTGGGGCCTATGCTGAAAAAGGAAATATCTTCCGACAAAAACTAGACAGAAGCATTCGCAGAATCACGTTTGTGATGTGTGCACTCAACTGTCAGAATTGAACCTTGGTTTGGACAGAGCACTTTTGAAACACTCTTTTTGTAGAATCTGCAGGTGGATATTTGGCTAGCTTTGAGGATTTCGTTGGAAACGGTAATGTCTTCAAAGAAAATCTAGACAGAAGCATTCTCAGAAACACCTTCGTGATGTTTGCAATCAAGTCACAGAGTTGAACCTTCCGTTTCATAGAGCAGGTTGGAAACACTCTTTTTGTAGTATCTGGAAGTGGACATTTGGAGGGCTTTTTAGCCTATCTGGAAAAAGGAAATATCTTCCCATGAATGCGAGATAGAAGTAATCTCAGAAACATGTTTATGCTGTATCTACTCAACTAACTGTGCTGAACATTTCTATTGATAGAGCAGTTTTGAGACACTCTTCTTTTGGAATCTGCAAGTGGATATTTGGATAGATTTGAGGATTTCGTTGGAAACGGGATTATATATAAAAAGTAGACAGCAGCATTCTCAGAAACTTCTTTGTGATGTTTGCATCCAGCTCTCAGAGTTGAACATTCCCTTTCATAGAGTAGGTTTGAAACCCTCTTTTTATAGTGTCTGGAAGCGGGCATTTGGAGCGCTTTCAGGCCTATGCTTAAAATAGGAAATATCTACCTACAGAAACTAGACAGAAGCATTCTGAGAATCACGTTTGTGATGTGGGTACTCAACTAACAGTGTTGATCCATTCTTTTGATACAGCAGTTTTGAACCACACTTTTTGTAGAATCTGCAAGAGGATATTTGGATAGCTGTGAGGATTTCGTTGGAAACGGGAATGTCTTCAAAGAAAATCTAGACAGAAGCATTCTCAGAAACACCTTCGTGATGTTTGCAATCAAGTCACAGAGTTGAACCTTCCGTTTCATAGAGCAGGTTGGAAACACTCTTATTGTAGTATCTGGAAGTGGACATTTGGAGCGCTTTCAGGCCTATGGTGAAAAAGGAAATATCTTCCCATAAAAACGACATAGAAGCTATCTCAGGAACTTGTTTATGATGCATCTAATCAACTAACAGTGTTGAACCTTTGTACTGACAGAGCAGTTTGAAACACTCTTTTTTTGGAATCTGCAAGTGGATATTTGGATCGCTTTGAGGATTTCGTTGGAAACGGGATGCAATATAAAACGTACACAGCAGCATACTCAGAAAATACTTTGCCATATTTCCATTCAAGTCACAGAGTGGAACATTCCCATTCATAGAGCAGGTTGGAAACACTCTTTTTGGAGTATCTGGAAGTGGACATTTGGAGCGCTTTCTGAACTATGGTGAAAAAGGAAATATCTTCCAATGAAAACAAGACAGAAGCATTCTGAGAAACTTATTTGTGATGTGTGTCCTCAACAAACGGACTTGAACCTTTCGTTTCATGCAGTACTTCTGGAACACTCTTTTTGAAGATTCTGCATGCGGATATTTGGATAGCTTTGAGGATTTCGTTGGAAACGGGCTTACATGTAAAAATTAGACAGCAGCATTCTCAGAAACTTCTTTGTGGTGTCTGCATTCAAGTCACAGAATTGAACTTCCCCTCACATAGAGCAGTTGTGCAGCACTCTATTTGTAGTATCTGGAAGTGGACATTTGGAGGGCTTTGTAGCCTATCTGGAAAAAGGAAATATCTTCCCATGAATGCGAGATAGAAGTAATCTCAGAAACATGTTTATGCTGTATCTACTCAACTAACTGTGCTGAACATTTCTATTGATAGAGCAGTTTTGAGACACTCTTCTTTTGGAATCTGCAAGTGGATATTTGGATAGATTTGAGGATTTCGTTGGAAACGGGATTATATATCAAAAGTAGACAGCAGCATTCTCAGAAACTTCTTTGTGATGTTTGCATCCAGCTCTCAGAGTTGAACATTCCCTTTCATAGAGTAGGTTTGAAACCCTCTTTTTATAGTGTCTGCAAGCGGGCATTTGGAGCGCTTTCAGGCCTATGCTTAAAATAGGAAATATCTACCTACAGAAACTAGACAGAAGCATTCTGAGAATCACGTTTGTGATGTGGGTACTCAACTAACAGTGTTGATCCATTCTTTTGATACAGCAGTTTTGAACCACACTTTTTGTAGAATCTGCAAGAGGATATTTGGATAGCTGTGAGGATTTCGTTGGAAACGGGAATGTCTTCAAAGAAAATCTAGACAGAAGCATTCTCAGAAACACCTTCGTGATGTTTGCAATCAAGTCACAGAGTTGAACCTTCCGTTTCATAGAGCAGGTTGGAAACACTCTTATTGTAGTATCTGGAAGTGGACATTTGGAGCGCTTTCAGGCCTATGGTGAAAAAGGAAATATCTTCCCATAAAAACGACATAGAAGCTATCTCAGGAACTTGTTTATGATGCATCTAATCAACTAACAGTGTTGAACCTTTGTACTGACAGAGCAGTTTGAAACACTCTTTTTTTTGGAATCTGCAAGTGGATATTTGGATCGCTTTGAGGATTTCGTTGGAAACGGGATGCAATATAAAACGTACACAGCAGCATACTCAGAAAATACTTTGCCATATTTCCATTCAAGTCACAGAGTGGAACATTCCCATTCATAGAGCAGGTTGGAAACACTCTTTTTGGAGTATCTGGAAGTGGACATTTGGAGCGCTTTCTGAACTATGGTGAAAAAGGAAATATCTTCCAATGAAAACAAGACAGAAGCATTCTGAGAAACTTATTTGTGATGTGTGTCCTCAACAAACGGACTTGAACCTTTCGTTTCATGCAGTACTTCTGGAACACTCTTTTTGAAGATTCTGCATGCGGATATTTGGATAGCTTTGAGGATTTCGTTGGAAACGGGCTTACATGTAAAAATTAGACAGCAGAATTCTCAGAAACTTCTTTGTGGTGTCTGCATTCAAGTCACAGAATTGAACTTCCCCTCATATAGAGCAGTTGTGCAGCACTCTATTTGTAGTATCTGGAAGTGGACATTTGGAGGGCTTTGTAGCCTATCTGGAAAAAGGAAATATCTTCCCATGAATGCGAGATAGAAGTAATCTCAGAAACATGTTTATGCTGTATCTACTCAACTAACTGTGCTGAACATTTCTATTGATAGAGCAGTTTTGAGACACTCTTCTTTTGGAATCTGCAAGTGGATATTTGGATAGATTTGAGGATTTCGTTGGAAACGGGATTATATATAAAAAGTAGACAGCAGCATTCTCAGAAACTTCTTTGTGATGTTTGCATCCAGCTCTCAGAGTTGAACATTCCCTTTCATAGAGTAGGTTTGAAACCCTCTTTTTATAGTGTCTGGAAGCGGGCATTTGGAGCGCTTTCAGGCCTATGCTTAAAATAGGAAATATCTACCTACAGAAACTAGACAGAAGCATTCTGAGAATCACGTTTGTGATGTGGGTACTCAACTAACAGTGTTGATCCATTCTTTTGATACAGCAGTTTTGAACCACACTTTTTGTAGAATCTGCAAGCGGATATTTGGATAGCTGTGAGGATTTCGTTGGAAACGGGAATGTCTTCAAAGAAAATCTAGACAGAAACATTCTCAGAAACACCTTCGTGATGTTTGCAATCAAGTCACAGAGTTGAACCTTCCGTTTCATAGAGCAGGTTGGAAACACTCTTTTTGTAGTATCTGGAAGTGGACATTTGGAGCGCTTTCAGGCCTATGGTGAAAAAGGAAATATCTTCCCATAAAAACGACATAGAAGCTATCTCAGGAACTTGTTTATGATGCATCTAATCAACTAACAGTGTTGAACCTTTGTACTGACAGAGCAGTTTGAAACACTCTTTTTTTGGAATCTGCAAGTGGATATTTGGATCGCTTTGAGGATTTCGTTGGAAACGGGATGCAATATAAAACGTACACAGCAGCATACTCAGAAAATACTTTGCCATATTTCCATTCAAGTCACAGAGTGGAACATTCCCATTCATAGAGCAGGTTGGAAACACTCTTTTTGGAGTATCTGGAAGTGGACATTTGGAGCGCTTTCTGAACTATGGTGAAAAAGGAAATATCTTCCAATGAAAACAAGACAGAAGCATTCTGAGAAACTTATTTGTGATGTGTGTCCTCAACAAACGGACTTGAACCTTTCGTTTCATGCAGTACTTCTGGAACACTCTTTTTGAAGATTCTGCATGCGGATATTTGGATAGCTTTGAGGATTTCGTTGGAAACGGGCTTACATGTAAAAATTAGACAGCAGCATTCTCAGAAACTTCTTTGTGGTGTCTGCATTCAAGTCACAGAATTGAACTTCCCCTCACATAGAGCAGTTGTGCAGCACTCTATTTGTAGTATCTGGAAGTGGACATTTGGAGGGCTTTGTAGCCTATCTGGAAAAAGGAAATATCTTCCCATGAATGCGAGATAGAAGTAATCTCAGAAACATGTTTATGCTGTATCTACTCAACTAACTGTGCTGAACATTTCTATTGATAGAGCAGTTTTGAGACACTCTTCCTTTGGAATCTGCAAGTGGATATTTGGATAGATTTGAGGATTTCGTTGGAAACGGGATTATATATAAAAAGTAGACAGCAGCATTCTCAGAAACTTCTTTGTGATGTTTGCATCCAGCTCTCAGAGTTGAACATTCCCTTTCATAGAGTAGGTTTGAAACCCTCTTTTTATAGTGTCTGGAAGCGGGCATTTGGAGCGCTTTCAGGCCTATGCTGAAAAAGGAAATATCTACCTATAGAAACTAGACAGAAGCATTCTGAGAATCACGTTTGTGATGTGGGTACTCAACTAACAGTGTTGATCCATTCTTTTGATACAGCAGTTTTGAACCACACTTTTTGTAGAATCTGCAAGTGGATATTTGGATAGCTGTGAGGATTTCGTTGGAAACGGGAATGTCTTCATAGAAAATTTAGACAGAAGCATTCTCAGAACCTTGATTGTGATGTGTGTTCTCCACTAACAGAGTTGAACCTTTCTTTTGACAGAACTGTTCTGAAACATTCTTTTTATAGAATCTGGAAGTGGATATTTGGAAAGCTTTGAGGATTTCGTTGGAAACGGGAATATCTTCAAATAAAATCTAGCCAGAAGCATTCTAAGAAACATCTTAGGGATGTTTACATTCAAGTCACAGAGTTGAACATTCCCTTTCACAGAGCAGGTTTGAAACAATCTTCTCGTACTATCTGGCAGTGGACATTTTGAGCTCCTTGGGGCCTATGCTGAAAAAGGAAATATCTTCCGACAAAAACTAGACAGAAGCATTCGCAGAATCACGTTTGTGATGTGTGCACTCAACTGTCAGAATTGAACCTTGGTTTGGACAGAGCACTTTTGAAACACTCTTTTTGTAGAATCTGCAGGTGGATATTTGGCTAGCTTTGAGGATTTCGTTGGAAACGGTAATGTCTTCAAAGAAAATCTAGACAGAAGCATTCTCAGAAACAGCGTCGTGATGTTTGCAATCAAGTCACAGAGTTGAACCTTCCGTTTCATAGAGCAGGTTGGAAACACTCTTTTTGTAGTATCTGGAAGTGGACATTTGGAGGGCTTTGTAGCCTATCTGGAAAAAGGAAATATCTTCCCATGAATGCGAGATAGAAGTAATCTCAGAAACATGTTTATGCTGTATCTACTCAACTAACTGTGCTGAACATTTCTATTGATAGAGCAGTTTTGAGACACTCTTCTTTTGGAATCTGCAAGTGGATATTTGGATAGATTTGAGGATTTCGTTGGAAATGGGATTATATATAAAAAGTAGACAGCAGCATTCTCAGAAACTTCTTTGTGATGTTTGCATCCAGCTCTCAGAGTTGAACATTCCCTTTCATAGAGTAGGTTTGAAACCCTCTTTTTATAGTGTCTGGAAGCGGGCATTTGGAGCGCTTTCAGGCCTATGCTGAAAAAGGAAATATCTACCTATAGAAACTAGACAGAAGCATTCTGAGAATCACGTTTGTGATGTGGGTACTCAACTAACAGTGTTGATCCATTCTTTTGATACAGCAGTTTTGAACCACACTTTTTGTAGAATCTGCAAGTGGATATTTGGATAGCTGTGAGGATTTCGTTGGAAACGGGAATGTCTTCATAGAAAATTTAGACAGAAGCATTCTCAGAACCTTGATTGTGATGTGTGTTCTCCACTAACAGAGTTGAACCTTTCTTTTGACAGAACTGTTCTGAAACATTCTTTTTATAGAATCTGGAAGTGGATATTTGGAAAGCTTTGAGGATTTCGTTGGAAACGGGAATATCTTCAAATAAAATCTAGCCAGAAGCATTCTAAGAAACATCTTAGGGATGTTTACATTCAAGTCACAGAGTTGAACATTCCCTTTCACAGAGCAGGTTTGAAACAATCTTCTCGTACTATCTGGCAGTGGACATTTTGAGCTCCTTGGGGCCTATGCTGAAAAAGGAAATATCTTCCGACAAAAACTAGACAGAAGCATTCGCAGAATCACGTTTGTGATGTGTGCACTCAACTGTCAGAATTGAACCTTGGTTTGGACAGAGCACTTTTGAAACACTCTTTTTGTAGAATCTGCAGGTGGATATTTGGCTAGCTTTGAGGATTTCGTTGGAAACGGTAATGTCTTCAAAGAAAATCTAGACAGAAGCATTCTCAGAAACACCTTCGTGATGTTTGCAATCAAGTCACAGAGTTGAACCTTCCGTTTCATAGAGCAGGTTGGAAACACTCTTTTTGTAGTATCTGGAAGTGGACATTTGGAGGGCTTTGTAGCCTATCTGGAAAAAGGAAATATCTTCCCATGAATGCGAGATAGAAGTAATCTCAGAAACATGTTTATGCTGTATCTACTCAACTAACTGTGCTGAACATTTCTATTGATAGAGCAGTTTTGAGACACTCTTCTTTTGGAATCTGCAAGTGGATATTTGGATAGATTTGAGGATTTCGTTGGAAACGGGATTATATATAAAAAGTAGACAGCAGCATTCTCAGAAACTTCTTTGTGATGTTTGCATCCAGCTCTCAGAGTTGAACATTCCCTTTCATAGAGTAGGTTTGAAACCCTCTTTTTATAGTGTCTGGAAGCGGGCATTTGGAGCGCTTTCAGGCCTATGCTGAAAAAGGAAATATCTACCTATAGAAACTAGACAGAAGCATTCTGAGAATCACGTTTGTGATGTGGGTACTCAACTAACAGTGTTGATCCATTCTTTTGATACAGCAGTTTTGAACCACACTTTTTGTAGAATCTGCAAGTGGATATTTGGATAGCTGTGAGGATTTCGTTGGAAACGGGAATGTCTTCATAGAAAATTTAGACAGAAGCATTCTCAGAACCTTGATTGTGATGTGTGTTCTCCACTAACAGCAGTTGAACCTTTCTTTTGACAGAACTGTTCTGAAACATTCTTTTTATAGAATCTGGAAGTGGATATTTGGAAAGCTTTGAGGATTTCGTTGGAAACGGGAATATCTTCAAATCAAATCTAGCCAGAAGCATTCTAAGAAACATCTTAGGGATGTGTACATTCAAGTCACAGAGTTGAACATTCCCCTTTCTCAGAGCAGGTTTGAAACAATCTTCTCGTACTATCTGGAAGTGGACATTTTGAGCTCCTTGGGGCCTATGCTGAAAAAGGAAATATCTTCCGACAAAAAGTAGACAGAAGCATTCGCAGAATCACGTTTGTGATGTGTGCACTCAACTGTCAGAATTGAACCTTGGTTTGGACAGAGCACTTTTGAAACACTCTTTTTGTAGAATCTGCAGGTGGATATTTGGCTAGCTTTGAGGATTTCGTTGGAAACGGTAATGTCTTCAAAGAAAATCTAGACAGAAACATCCTCAGAAACACCTTCGTGATGTTTGCAATCAAGTCACAGAGTTGAACCTTCCGTTTCATAGAGCAGGTTGGAAACACTCATTTTGTAGTATCTGGAAGTGGACATTTGGAGCGCTTTCAGGCCTATGGTGTAAAAGGAAATAGCTTCCCATAAAAGCGACATAGAAGCTATCTCAGGAACTTGTTTATGATGCATCTAATCAACTAACAGTGTTGAACCTTTGTACTGACAGAGCAGTTTGAAACACTCTTTTTTTGGAATCTGCAAGTGGATATTTGTATCACTTTGAGGATTTCGTTGGAAACAGGATGCAATATAAAACTTACACAGCAGCATACTCAGAAAATACTTTGCCATATTTCCATTCAAGTCACAGAGTGGAACATTCCCATTCATAGAGCAGGTTTGAAACACTCTTTTTGGAGTATCTGGAAGTGGACATTTGGAGCGCTTTCTGAACTATGGTGAAAAAGGAAATATCTTCCAATGAAAACAAGACAGAAGCATTCTGAGAAACTTATTTGTGATGCGTGTCCTCAACTAACGGACTCGAACCTTTCGTTTCATGCAGTACTTCTGGAACACTCTTTTTGAAGATTCTGCATGCGGATATTTGGATAGCTTTGAGGATTTCGTTGGAAACGGGCTTACATATAAAAATTAGACAGCAGCATTCTCAGAAACTTCTTTGTGGTGTCTGCATTCAAGTCACAGAACTGAACATCCCCTCACATAGAGCAGTTGTGCAGCACTCTATTTGTAGTATCTGGAAGTGGACATTTGGAGGGCTTTGTAGCCTATCTGGAAAAAGGAAATATCTTCCCATGAATGCGAGATAGAAGTAATCTCAGAAACATGTTTATGCTGTATCTACTCAACTAAGTGTGCTGAACATTTCTATTAATAGAGCAGTTTTGAGACACTCTTCTTTTCGAATCTGCAAGTGGATATTTGGCTAGATTTGAGGATTTCGTTGGAAACGGGATTATATATAAAAAGTAGACAGCAGCATTCTCAGAAACTTCTTTGTGATGTTTGCATCCAGGTCCCAGAGTTGAACATTCCGTTTCATAGAGTAGGTTTGAAACCCCCTTTTTATAGTGTCTGGAAGCGGGCATTTGGAGCGCTTTCAGGCCTATGCTGAAAAAGGAAATATCTACCTACAGAAACTAGACAGAAGCATTCTGAGAATCACGTTTGTGATGTGGGTACTCAACTAACAGTGTTGATCCATTCTTTTGATACAGCAGTTTTGAACCACACTTTTTGTAGAATCTGCAAGTGGATATTTGGATAGCTGTGAGGATTTCGTTGGAAACGGGAATGTCTTCATAGAAAATTTAGACAGAAGCATTCTCAGAACCTTGATTGTGATGTGTGTTCTCCACTAACAGAGTTGAACCTTTCTTTTGACAGAACTGTTCTGAAACATTCTTTTTATAGAATCTGGAAGTGGATATTTGGAAAGCTTTGAGGATTTCGTTGGAAACGGGAATATCTTCAAATCAAATCTAGCCAGAAGCATTCTAAGAAACATCTTAGGGATGTTTACATTCAAGTCACAGAGTTGAACATTCCCTTTCACAGCAGCAGGTTTGAAACAATCTTCTCGTACTATCTGGCAGTGGACATTTTGAGCTCCTTGGGGCCTATGCTGAAAAAGGAAATATCTTCCGACAAAAACTAGACAGAAGCATTCGCAGAATCACGTTTGTGATGTGTGCACTCAACTGTCAGAATTGAACCTTGGTTTGGACAGAGCACTTTTGAAACACTCTTTTTGTAGAATCTGCAGGTGGATATTTGGCTAGCTTTGAGGATTTCGTTGGAAACGGTAATGTCTTCAAAGAAAATCTAGACAGAAACATCCTCAGAAACACCTTCGTGATGTTTGCAATCAAGTCACAGAGTTGAACCTTCCGTTTCATAGAGCAGGTTGGAAACACTCATTTTGTAGTATCTGGAAGTGGACATTTGGAGCGCTTTCAGGCCTATGGTGTAAAAGGAAATATCTTCCCATAAAAGCGACATAGAATCTATATCAGGAACTTGTTTATGATGCATCTAATCAACTAACAGTGTTGAACCTTTGTACTGACAGAGCAGTTTGAAACACTCTTTTTTTGGAATCTGCAAGTGGATATTTGGATCGCTTTGAGGATTTCGTTGGAAACGGGATGCAATATAAAACGTACACAGCAGCATACTCAGAAAATACTTTGCCATATTTCCATTCAAGTCACAGAGTGGAACATTCCCATTCATAGAGCAGGTTTGAAACACTCTTTTTGGAGTATCTGGAAGTGGACATTTGGAGCGCTTTCTGAACTATGGTGAAAAAGGAAATATCTTCCAATGAAAACAAGACAGAAGCATTCTGAGAAACTTATTTGTGATGTGTGTCCTCAACAAACGGACTTGAACCTTTCGTTTCATGCAGTACTTCTGGAACACTCTTTTTGAAGATTCTGCATGCGGATATTTGGATTGCTTTGAGGATTTCGTTGGAAACGGGCTTACATGTAAAAATTAGACAGCAGCATTCTCAGAAACTTCTTTGTGGTGTCTGCATTCAAGTCACAGAATTGAACTTCCCCTCACATAGAGCAGTTGTGCAGCACTCTATTTGTAGTATCTGGAAGTGGACATTTGGAGGGCTTTGTAGCCTATCTGGAAAAAGGAAATATCTTCCCATGAATGCGAGATAGAAGTAATCTCAGAAACATGTTTATGCTGTATCTACTCAACTAACTGTGCTGAACATTTCTATTGATAGAGCAGTTTTGAGACACTCTTCTTTTGGAATCTGCAAGTGGATATTTGGATAGATTTGAGGATTTCGTTGGAAACGGGATTATATATAAAAAGTAGACAGCAGCATTCTCAGAAACTTCTTTGTGATGTTTGCATCCAGCTCTCAGAGTTGAACATTCCCTTTCATAGAGTAGGTTTGAAACCCTCTTTTTATAGTGTCTGGAAGCGGGCATTTGGAGCGCATTCAGGCCTATGCTTAAAATAGGAAATATCTACCTACAGAAACTAGACAGAAGCATTCTGAGAATCACGTTTGTGATGTGGGTACTCAACTAACAGTGTTGATCCATTCTTTTGATACAGCAGTTTTGAACCACACTTTTTGTAGAATCTGCAAGAGGATATTTGGATAGCTGTGAGGATTTCGTTGGAAACGGGAATGTCTTCAAAGAAAATCTAGACAGAAGCATTCTCAGAAACACCTTCGTGATGTTTGCAATCAAGTCACAGAGTTGAACCTTCCGTTTCATAGAGCAGGTTGGAAACACTCTTATTGTAGTATCTGGAAGTGGACATTTGGAGCGCTTTCAGGCCTATGGTGAAAAAGGAAATATCTTCCCATAAAAACGACATAGAAGCTATCTCAGGAACTTGTTTATGATGCATCTAATCAACTAACAGTGTTGAACCTTTGTACTGACAGAGCACTTTGAAACACTCTTTTTTTGGAATCTGCAAGTGGATATTTGGATCGCTTTGAGGATTTCGTTGGAAACGGGATGCAATATAAAACGTACACAGCAGCATACTCAGAAAATACTTTGCCATGTTTCCATTCAAGTCACAGAGTGGAACATTCCCATTCATAGAGCAGGTTGGAAACACTCTTTTTGGAGTATCTGGAAGTGGACATTTGGAGCGCTTTCTGAACTATGGTGAAAAAGGAAATATCTTCCAATGAAAACAAGACAGAAGCATTCTGAGAAACTTATTTGTGATGTGTGTCCTCAACAAACGGACTTGAACCTTTCGTTTCATGCAGTACTTCTGGAACACTCTTTTTGAAGATTCTGCATGCGGATATTTGGATAGCTTTGAGGATTTCGTTGGAAACGGCCTTACATGTAAAAATTAGACAGCAGCATTCTCAGAAACTTCTTTGTGGTGTCTGCATTCAAGTCACAGAATTGAACTTCCCCTCACATAGAGCAGTTGTGCAGCACTCTATTTGTAGTATCTGGAAGTGGACATTTGGAGGGCTTTGTAGCCTATCTGGAAAAAGGAAATATCTTCCCATGAATGCGAGATAGAAGTAATCTCAGAAACATGTTTATGCTGTATCTACTCAACTAACTGTGCTGAACATTTCTATTGATAGAGCAGTTTTGAGACACTCTTCTTTTGGAATCTGCAAGTGGATATTTGGATAGATTTGAGGATTTCGTTGGAAACGGGATGATATATCAAAAGTAGACAGCAGCATTCTCAGAAACTTCTTTGTGATGTTTGCATCCAGCTCTCAGAGTTGAACATTCCCTTTCATAGAGTAGGTTTGAAACCCTCTTTTTATAGTGTCTGGAAGCGGGCATTTGGAGCGCTTTCAGGCCTATGCTGAAAAAGGAAATATCTACCTATAGAAACTAGACAGAAGCATTCTGAGAATCACGTTTGTGATGTGGGTACTCAACTAACAGTGTTGATCCATTCTTTTGATACAGCAGTTTTGAACCACACTTTTTGTAGAATCTGCAAGTGGATATTTGGATAGCTGTGAGGATTTCGTTGGAAACGGGAATGTCTTCATAGAAAATTTAGACAGAAGCATTCTCAGAACCTTGATTGTGATGTGTGTTCTCCACTAACAGAGTTGAACCTTTCTTTTGACAGAACTGTTCTGAAACATTCTTTTTATAGAATCTGGAAGTGGATATTTGGAAAGCTTTGAGGATTTCGTTGGAAACGGGAATATCTTCAAATCAAATCTAGCCAGAAGCATTCTAAGAAACATCTTAGGGATGTTTACATTCAAGTCACAGAGTTGAACATTCCCTTTCACAGAGCAGGTTTGAAACAATCTTCTCGTACTATCTGGCAGTGGACATTTTGAGCTCCTTGGGGCCTATGCTGAAAAAGGAAATATCTTCCGACAAAAACTAGACAGAAGCATTCGCAGAATCACGTTTGTGATGTGTGCACTCAACTGTCAGAATTGAACCTTGGTTTGGACAGAGCACTTTTGAAACACTCTTTTTGTAGAATCTGCAGGTGGATATTTGGCTAGCTTTGAGGATTTCGTTGGAAACGGTAATGTCTTCAAAGAAAATCTAGACAGAAGCATTCTCAGAAACACCTTCGTGATGTTTGCAATCAAGTCACAGAGTTGAACCTTCCGTTTCATAGAGCAGGTTGGAAACACTCTTTTTGTAGTATCTGGAAGTGGACATTTGGAGGGCTTTGTAGCCTATGTGGAAAAAGGAAATATCTTCCCATGAATGCGAGATAGAAGTAATCTCAGAAACATGTTTATGCTGTATCTACTCAACTAACTGTGCTGAACATTTCTATTGATAGAGCAGTTTTGAGACACTCTTCTTTTGGAATCTGCAAGTGGATATTTGGATAGATTTGAGGATTTCGTTGGAAACGGGATTATATATAAAAAGTAGACAGCAGCATTCTCAGAAACTTCTTTGTGATGTTTGCATCCAGCTCTCAGAGTTGAACATTCCCTTTCATAGAGTAGGTTTGAAACCCTCTTTTTATAGTGTCTGGAAGCGGGCATTTGGAGCGCTTTCAGGCCTATGCTTAAAATAGGAAATATCTACCTACAGAAACTAGACAGAAGCATTCTGAGAATCACGTTTGTGATGTGGGTACTCAACTAACAGTGTTGATCCATTCTTTTGATACAGCAGTTTTGAACCACACTTTTTGTAGAATCTGCAAGAGGATATTTGGATAGCTGTGAGGATTTCGTTGGAAACGGGAATGTCTTCAAAGAAAATCTAGACAGAAGCATTCTCAGAAACACCTTCGTGATGTTTGCAATCAAGTCACAGAGTTGAACCTTCCGTTTCATAGAGCAGGTTGGAAACACTCTTATTGTAGTATCTGGAAGTGGACATTTGGAGCGCTTTCAGGCCTATGGTGAAAAAGGAAATATCTTCCCATAAAAACGACATAGAAGCTATCTCAGGAACTTGTTTATGATGCATCTAATCAACTAACAGTGTTGAACCTTTGTACTGACAGAGCAGTTTGAAACACTCTTTTTTTGGAATCTGCAAGTGGATATTTGGATCGCTTTGAGGATTTCGTTGGAAACGGGATGCAATATAAAACGTACACAGCAGCATACTCAGAAAATACTTTGCCATATTTCCATTCAAGTCACAGAGTGGAACATTCCCATTCATAGAGCAGGTTTGAAACACTCTTTTTGGAGTATCTGGAAGTGGACATTTGGAGCGCTTTCTGAACTATGGTGAAAAAGGAAATATCTTCCAATGAAAACAAGACAGAAGCATTCTGAGAAACTTATTTGTGATGTGTGTCCTCAACAAACGGACTTGAACCTTTCGTTTCATGCAGTACTTCTGGAACACTCTTTTTGAAGATTCTGCATGCGGATATTTGGATAGCTTTGAGGATTTCGTTGGAAACGGGCTTACATGTAAAAATTAGACAGCAGCATTCTCAGAAACTTCTTTGTGGTGTCTGCATTCAAGTCACAGAATTGAACATCCCCTCACATAGAGCAGTTGTGCAGCACTCTATTTGTAGTATCTGGAAGTGGACATTTGGAGGGCTTTGTAGCCTATCTGGAAAAAGGAAATATCTTCCCATGAATGCGAGATAGAAGTAATCTCAGAAACATGTTTATGCTGTATGTACTCAACTAACTGTGCTGAACATTTCTATTGATAGAGCAGTTTTGAGACACTCTTCTTTTGGAATCTGCAAGTGGATATTTGGATAGATTTGAGGATTTCGTTGGAAACGGGATTATATATAAAAAGTAGACAGCAGCATTCTCAGAAACTTCTTTGTGATGTTTGCATCCAGCTCTCAGAGTTGAACATTCCCTTTCATAGAGTAGGTTTGAAACCCTCTTTTTATAGTGTCTGGAAGCGGGCATTTGGAGCGCTTTCAGGCCTATGCTTAAAATAGGAAATATCTACCTACAGAAACTAGACAGAAGCATTCTGAGAATCACGTTTGTGATGTGGGTACTCAACTAACAGTGTTGATCCATTCTTTTGATACAGCAGTTTTGAACCACACTTTTTGTAGAATCTGCAAGAGGATATTTGGATAGCTGTGAGGATTTCGTTGGAAACGGGAATGTCTTCAAAGAAAATCTAGACAGAATCATTCTGAGGAACACCTTCGTGATGTTTGCAATCAAGTCACAGAGTTGAACCTTCCGTTTCATAGAGCAGGTTGGAAACACTCTTATTGTAGTATCTGGAAGTGGACATTTGGAGCGCTTTCAGGCCTATGGTGAAAAAGGAAATATCTTCCCATAAAAACGACATAGAAGCTATCTCAGGAACTTGTTTATGATGCATCTAATCAACTAACAGTGTTGAACCTTTGTACTGACAGAGCACTTTGAAACACTCTTTTTTTGGAATCTGCAAGTGGATATTTGGATCGCTTTGAGGATTTCGTTGGAAACGGGATGCAATATAAAACGTACACAGCAGCATACTCAGAAAATACTTTGCCATATTTCCATTCAAGTCACAGAGTGGAACATTCCCATTCATAGAGCAGGTTGGAAACACTCTTTTTGGAGTATCTGGAAGTGGACATTTGGAGCGCTTTCTGAACTATGGTGAAAAAGGAAATATCTTCCAATGAAAACAAGACAGAAGCATTCTGAGAAACTTATTTGTGATGTGTGTCCTCAACAAACGGACTTGAACCTTTCGTTTCATGCAGTACTTCTGGAACACTCTTTTTGAAGATTCTGCATGCGGATATTTGGATAGCTTTGAGGATTTCGTTGGAAACGGGCTTACATGTAAAAATTAGACAGCAGCATTCTCAGAAACTTCTTTGTGGTGTCTGCATTCAAGTCACAGAATTGAACTTCCCCTCACATAGAGCAGTTGTGCAGCACTCTATTTGTAGTATCTGGAAGTGGACATTTGGAGGGCTTTGTAGCCTATCTGGAAAAAGGAAATATCTTCCCATGAATGCGAGATAGAAGTAATCTCAGAAACATGTTTATGCTGTATCTACTCAACTAACTGTGCTGAACATTTCTATTGATAGAGCAGTTTTGAGACACTCTTCTTTTGGAATCTGCAAGTGGATATTTGGATAGATTTGAGGATTTCGTTGGAAACGGGATTATATATAAAAAGTAGACAGCAGCATTCTCAGAAACTTCTTTGTGATGTTTGCATCCAGCTCTCAGAGTTGAACATTCCCTTTCATAGAGTAGGTTTGAAACCCTCTTTTTATAGTGTCTGGAAGCGGGCATTTGGAGCGCTTTCAGGCCTATGCTTAAAATAGGAAATATCTACCTACAGAAACTAGACAGAAGCATTCTGAGAATCATGTTTGTGATGTGGGTACTCAACTAACAGTGTTGATCCATTCTTTTGATACAGCAGTTTTGAACCACACTTTTTGTAGAATCTGCAAGAGGATATTTGGATAGCTGTGAGGATTTCGTTGGAAACGGGAATGTCTTCAAAGAAAATCTAGACAGAAGCATTCTCAGAAACACCTTCGTGATGTTTGCAATCAAGTCACAGAGTTGAACCTTCCGTTTCATAGAGCAGGTTGGAAACACTCTTATTGTAGTATCTGGAAGTGGACATTTGGAGCGCTTTCAGGCCTATGGTGAAAAAGGAAATATCTTCCCATAAAAACGACATAGAAGCTATCTCAGGAACTTGTTTATGATGCATCTAATCAACTAACAGTGTTGAACCTTTGTACTGACAGAGCAGTTTGAAACACTCTTTTTTTGGAATCTGCAAGTGGATATTTGGATCGCTTTGAGGATTTCGTTGGAAACGGGATGCAATATAAAACGTACACAGCAGCATACTCAGAAAATACTTTGCCATATTTCCATTCAAGTCACAGAGTGGAACATTCCCATTCATAGAGCAGGTTGGAAACACTCTTTTTGGAGTATCTGGAAGTGGACATTTGGAGCGCTTTCTGAACTATGGTGAAAAAGGAAATATCTTCCAATGAAAACAAGACAGAAGCATTCTGAGAAACTTATTTGTGATGTGTGTCCTCAACAAACGGACTTGAACCTTTCGTTTCATGCAGTACTTCTGGAACACTCTTTTTGAAGATTCTGCATGCGGATATTTGGATAGCTTTGAGGATTTCGTTGGAAACGGGCTTACATGTAAAAATTAGACAGCAGCATTCTCAGAAACTTCTTTGTGGTGTCTGCATTCAAGTCACAGAATTGAACTTCCCCTCACATAGAGCAGTTGTGCAGCACTCTATTTGTAGTATCTGGAAGTGGACATTTGGAGGGCTTTGTAGCCTATCTGGAAAAAGGAAATATCTTCCCATGAATGCGAGATAGAAGTAATCTCAGAAACATGTTTATGCTGTATCTGCTCAACTAACTGTGCTGAACATTTCTATTGATAGAGCAGTTTTGAGACACTCTTCTTTTGGAATCTGCAAGTGGATATTTGGATAGATTTGAGGATTTCGTTGGAAACGGGATTATATATAAAAAGTAGACAGCAGCATTCTCAGAAACTTCTTTGTGATGTTTGCATCCAGCTCTCAGAGTTGAACATTCCCTTTCATAGAGTAGGTTTGAAACCCTCTTTTTATAGTGTCTGGAAGCAGGCATTTGGAGCGCTTTCAGGCCTATGCTTAAAATAGGAAATATCTACCTACAGAAACTAGACAGAAGCATTCTGAGAATCACGTTTGTGATGTGGGTACTCAACTAACAGTGTTGATCCATTCTTTTGATACAGCAGTTTTGAACCACACTTTTTGTAGAATCTGCAAGAGGATATTTGGATAGCTGTGAGGATTTCGTTGGAAACGGGAATGTCTTCAAAGAAAATCTAGACAGAAGCATTCTCAGAAACACCTTCGTGATGTTTGCAATCAAGTCACAGAGTTGAACCTTCCGTTTCATAGAGCAGGTTGGAAACACTCTTATTGTAGTATCTGGAAGTGGACATTTGGAGCGCTTTCAGGCCTATGGTGAAAAAGGAAATATCTTCCCATAAAAACGACATAGAAGCTATCTCAGGAACTTGTTTATGATGCATCTAATCAACTAACAGTGTTGAACCTTTGTACTGACAGAGCAGTTTGAAACACTCTTTTTTTGGAATCTGCAAGTGGATATTTGGATCGCTTTGAGGATTTCGTTGGAAACGGGATGCAATATAAAACGTACACAGCAGCATACTCAGAAAATACTTTGCCATATTTCCATTCAAGTCACAGAGTGGAACATTCCCATTCATAGAGCAGGTTGGAAACACTCTTTTTGGAGTATCTGGAAGTGGACATTTGGAGCGCTTTCTGAACTATGGTGAAAAAGGAAATATCTTCCAATGAAAACAAGACAGAAGCATTCTGAGAAACTTATTTGTGATGTGTGTCCTCAACAAACGGACTTGAACCTTTCGTTTCATGCAGTACTTCTGGAACACTCTTTTTGAAGATTCTGCATGCGGATATTTGGATAGCTTTGAGGATTTCGTTGGAAACGGGCTTACATGTAAAAATTAGACAGCAGCATTCTCAGAAACTTCTTTGTGGTGTCTGCATTCAAGTCACAGAATTGAACTTCCCCCTCACATAGAGCAGTTGTGCAGCACTCTATTTGTAGTATCTGGAAGTGGACATTTGGAGGGCTTTGTAGCCTATCTGGAAAAAGGAAATATCTTCCCATGAATGCGAGATAGAAGTAATCTCAGAAACATGTTTATGCTGTATCTACTCAACTAACTGTGCTGAACATTTCTATTGATAGAGCAGTTTTGAGACACTCTTCTTTTGGAATCTGCAAGTGGATATTTGGATAGATTTGAGGATTTCGTTGGAAACGGGATTATATATAAAAAGTAGACAGCAGCATTCTCAGAAACTTCTTTGTGATGTTTGCATCCAGCTCTCAGAGTTGAACATTCCCTTTCATAGAGTAGGTTTGAAACCCTCTTTTTATAGTGTCTGGAAGCGGGCATTTGGAGCGCTTTCAGGCCTATGCTTAAAATAGGAAATATCTACCTACAGAAACTAGACAGAAGCATTCTGAGAATCACGTTTGTGATGTGGGTACTCAACTAACAGTGTTGATCCATTCTTTTGATACAGCAGTTTTGAACCACACTTTTTGTAGAATCTGCAAGTGGATATTTGGATAGCTGTGAGGATTTCGTTGGAAACGGGAATGTCTTCAAAGAAAATCTAGACAGAAGCATTCTCAGAAACACCTTCGTGATGTTTGCAATCAAGTCACAGAGTTGAACCTTCCGTTTCATAGAGCAGGTTGGAAACACTCTTATTGTAGTATCTGGAAGTGGACATTTGGAGCGCTTTCAGGCCTATGGTGAAAAAGGAAATATCTTCCCATAAAAACGACATAGAAGCTATCTCAGGAACTTGTTTATGATGCATCTAATCAACTAACAGTGTTGAACCTTTGTACTGACAGAGCAGTTTGAAACACTCTTTTTTTGGAATCTGCAAGTGGATATTTGGATCGCTTTGAGGATTTCGTTGGAAACGGGATGCAATATAAAACGTACACAGCAGCATACTCAGAAAATACTTTGCCATATTTCCATTCAAGTCACAGAGTGGAACATTCCCATTCATAGAGCAGGTTGGAAACACTCTTTTTGGAGTATCTGGAAGTGGACATTTGGAGCGCTTTCTGAACTATGGTGAAAAAGGAAATATCTTCCAATGAAAACAAGACAGAAGCATTCTGAGAAACTTATTTGTGATGTGTGTCCTCAACAAACGGACTTGAACCTTTCGTTTCATGCAGTACTTCTGGAACACTCTTTTTGAAGATTCTGCATGCGGATATTTGGATAGCTTTGAGAATTTCGTTGGAAACGGGCTTACATGTAAAAATTAGACAGCAGCATTCTCAGAAACTTCTTTGTGGTGTCTGCATTCAAGTCACAGAATTGAACATCCCCTCACATTGGGCAGTTGTGCAGCACTCTATTTGTAGTATCTCGATGTGGACATTTGGAGGGCTTTGTAGCCTATCTGGAAAAAGGAAATATCTTCCCATGAATGCGAGATAGAAGTAATCTCAGAAACATGTTTATGCTGTATCTACTCAACTAACTGTGCTGAACATTTCTATTGATAGAGCAGTTTTGAGACACTCTTCTTTTGGAATCTGCAAGTGGATATTTGGATAGATTTGAGGATTTCGTTGGAAACGGGATTATATATAAAAAGTAGACAGCAGCATTCTCAGAAACTTCTTTGTGATGTTTGCATCCAGCTCTCAGAGTTGAACATTCCCTTTCATAGAGTAGGTTTGAAACCCTCTTTTTATAGTGTCTGGAAGCGGGCATTTTGAGCGCATTCAGGCCTATGCTTAAAATAGGAAATATCTACCTACAGAAACTAGACAGAAGCATTCTGAGAATCACGTTTGTGATGTGGGTACTCAACTAACAGTGTTGATCCATTCTTTTGATACAGCAGTTTTGAACCACACTTTTTGTAGAATCTGCAAGTGGATATTTGGATAGCTGTGAGGATTTCGTTGGAAACGGGAATGTCTTCATAGAAAATTTAGAGAGAAGCATTCTCAGAACCTTGATTGTGATGTGTGTTCTCCACTAACAGAGTTGAACCTTTCTTTTGACAGAACTGTTCTGAAACATTCTTTTTATAGAATCTGGAAGTGGATATTTGGAAAGCTTTGAGGATTTCGTTGGAAACGGGAATATCTTCAAATAAAATCTAGCCAGAAGCATTCTAAGAAACATCTTAGGGATGTTTACATTCAAGTCACAGAGTTGAACATTCCCTTTCACAGAGCAGGTTTGAAACAATCTTCTCGTACTATCTGGCAGTGGACATTTTGAGCTCCTTGGGGCCTATGCTGAAAAAGGAAATATCTTCCGACAAAAACTAGACAGAAGCATTCGCAGAATCACGTTTGTGATGTGTGCACTCAACTGTCAGAATTGAACCTTGGTTTGGACAGAGCACTTTTGAAACACTCTTTTTGTAGAATCTGCAGGAGGATATTTGGCTAGCTTTGAGGATTTCGTTGGAAACGGTAATGTCTTCAAAGAAAATCTAGACAGAAGCATTCTCAGAAACAACTTCGTGATGTTTGCAATCAAGTCACAGAGTTGAACCTTCCGTTTCATAGAGCAGGTTTGAAACACTCTTTTTGTAGTATCTGGAAGTGGACATTTGGAGGGCTTTGTAGCCTATCTGGAAAAAGGAAATATCTTCCCATGAATGCGAGATAGAAGCTATCTCAGGAACTTGTTTATGATGCATCTAATCAACTAACAGTGTTGAACCTTTGTACTGACAGAGCAGTTTGAAACACTCTTTTTTTGGAATCTGCAAGTGGATATTTGGATCGCTTTGAGGATTTCGTTGGAAACGGGATGCAATATAAAACGTACACAGCAGCATACTCAGAAAATACTTTGCCATATTTCCATTCAAGTCACAGAGCGGAACATTCCCATTCATAGAGCAGGTTTGAAACACTCTTTTTGGAGTATCTGGAAGTGGACATTTGGAGCGCTTTCTGAACTATGGTGAAAAAGGAAATATCTTCCAATGAAAACAAGACAGAAGCATTCTGAGAAACTTATTTGTGATGTGTGTCCTCAACAAACGGACTTGAACCTTTCGTTTCATGCAGTACTTCTTGAACACTCTTTTTGAAGATTCTGCATGCGGATATTTGGATAGCTTTGAGGATTTCGTTGGAAACGGGCTTACATGTAAAAATTAGACAGCAGCATTCTCAGAAACTTCTTTGTGGTGTCTGCATTCAAGTCACAGAATTGAACTTCCCCTCACATAGAGCAGTTGTGCAGCACTCTATTTGTAGTATCTGGAAGTGGACATTTGGAGGGCTTTGTAGCCTATCTGGAAAAAGGAAATATCTTCCCATGAATGCGAGATAGAAGTAATCTCAGAAACATGTTTATGCTGTATCTACTCAACTAACTGTGCTGAACATTTCTATTGATAGAGCAGTTTTGAGACACTCTTCTTTTGGAATCTGCAAGTGGATATTTGGATAGCTTTGAGGATTTCGTTGGAAACGGGCTTACATGTAAAAATTAGACAGCAGCATTCTCAGAAACTTCTTTGTGGTGTCTGCATTCAAGTCACAGAATTGAACTTCCCCTCACATAGAGCAGTTGTGCAGCACTCTATTTGTAGTATCTCGAAGTGGACATTTGGAGGGCTTTGTAGCCTATCTGGAAAAAGGAAATATCTTCCCATGAATGCGAGATAGAAGTAATCTCAGAAACATGTTTATGCTGTATCTTCTCAACTAACTGTGCTGAACATTTCTATTGATAGAGCAGTTTTGAGACACTCTTCTTTTGGAATCTGCAAGTGGATATTTGGATAGATTTGAGGATTTCGTTGGAAACGGGATTATATATAAAAAGTAGACAGCAGCATTCTCAGAAACTTCTTTGTGATGTTTGCATCCAGCTCTCAGAGTTGAACATTCCCTTTCATAGAGTAGGTTTGAAACCCTCTTTTTATAGTGTCTGGAAGCGGGCATTTGGAGCGCTTTCAGGCCTATGCTTAAAATAGGAAATATCTACCTACAGAAACTAGACAGAAGCATTCTGAGAATCACGTTTGTGATGTGGGTACTCAACTAACAGTGTTGATCCATTCTTTTGATACAGCAGTTTTGAACCACACTTTTTGTAGAATCTGCAAGAGGATATTTGGATAGCTGTGAGGATTTCGTTGGAAACGGGAATGTCTTCAAAGAAAATCTAGACAGAAGCATTCTCAGAAACACCTTCGTGATGTTTGCAATCAAGTCACAGAGTTGAACCTTCCGTTTCATAGAGCAGGTTGGAAACACTCTTATTGTAGTATCTGGAAGTGGACATTTGGAGCGCTTTCAGGCCTATGGTGAAAAAGGAAATATCTTCCCATAAAAACGACATAGAAGCTATCTCAGGAACTTGTTTATGATGCATCTAATCAACTAACAGTGTTGAACCTTTGTACTGACAGAGCAGTTTGAAACACTCTTTTTTTGGAATCTGCAAGTGGATATTTGGATCGCTTTGAGGATTTCGTTGGAAACGGGATGCAATATAAAACGTACACAGCAGCATACTCAGAAAATACTTTGCCATATTTCCATTCAAGTCACAGAGTGGAACATTCCCATTCATAGAGCAGGTTGGAAACACCCTTTTTGGAGTATCTGGAAGTGGACATTTGGAGCGCTTTCTGAACTATGGTGAAAAAGGAAATATCTTCCAATGAAAACAAGACAGAAGCATTCTGAGAAACTTATTTGTGATGTGTGTCCTCAACAAACGGACTTGAACCTTTCGTTTCATGCAGTACTTCTGGAACACTCTTTTTGAAGATTCTGCATGCGGATATTTGGATAGCTTTGAGGATTTCGTTGGAAACGGGCTTACATGTAAAAATTAGACAGCAGCATTCTCAGAAACTTCTTTGTGGTGTCTGCATTCAAGTCACAGAATTGAACATCCCCTCACATAGAGCAGTTGTGCAGCACTCTATTTGTAGTATCTGGAAGTGGACATTTGGAGGGCTTTGTAGCCTATGTGGAAAAAGGAAATATCTTCCCATGAATGCGAGATAGAAGTAATCTCAGAAACATGTTTATGCTGTATCTACTCAACTAACTGTGCTGAACATTTCTATTGATAGAGCAGTTTTGAGACACTCTTCTTTTGGAATCTGCAAGTGGATATTTGGATAGATTTGAGGATTTCGTTGGAAACGGGATTATATATAAAAAGTAGACAGCAGCATTCTCAGAAACTTCTTTGTGATGTTTGCATCCAGCTCTCAGAGTTGAACATTCCCTTTCATAGAGTAGGTTTGAAACCCTCTTTTTATAGTGTCTGGAAGCGGGCATTTGGAGCGCTTTCAGGCCTATGCTGAAAAAGGAAATATCTACCTATAGAAACTAGACAGAAGCATTCTGAGAATCACGTTTGTGATGTGGGTACTCAACTAACAGTGTTGATCCATTCTTTTGATACAGCAGTTTTGAACCACACTTTTTGTAGAATCTGCAAGTGGATATTTGGATAGCTGTGAGGATTTCGTTGGAAACGGGAATGTCTTCATAGAAAATTTAGACAGAAGCATTCTCAGAACCTTGATTGTGATGTGTGTTCTCCACTAACAGAGTTGAACCTTTCTTTTGACAGAACTGTTCTGAAACATTCTTTTTATAGAATCTGGAAGTGGATATTTGGAAAGCTTTGAGGATTTCGTTGGAAACGGGAATATCTTCAAATCAAATCTAGCCAGAAGCATTCTAAGAAACATCTTAGGGATGTTTACATTCAAGTCACAGAGTTGAACATTCCCTTTCACAGAGCAGGTTTGAAACAATCTTCTCGTACTATCTGGCAGTGGACATTTTGAGCTCCTTGGGGCCTATGCTGAAAAAGGAAATATCTTCCGAAAAAAACTAGACAGAAGCATTCGCAGAATCACGTTTGTGATGTGTGCACTCAACTGTCAGAATTGAACCTTGGTTTGGACAGAGCACTTTTGAAACACTCTTTTTGTAGAATCTGCAGGTGGATATTTGGCTAGCTTTGAGGATTTCGTTGGAAACGGTAATGTCTTCAAAGAAAATCTAGACAGAAACATTCTCAGAAACACCTTCGTGATGTTTGCAATCAATTCACAGAGTTGAACCTTCCGTTTCATAGAGCAGGTTGGAAACACTCTTTTTGTAGTATCTGGAAGTGGACATTGGGAGCGCTTTCAGGCCTATGGTGAAAAAGGAAATATCTTCCCATGAAAACGACATAGAAGCTATCTCAGGGAACTTGTTTATGATGCATCTAATCAACTAACAGTGTTGAACCTTTGTACTGACAGAGCACTTTGAAACACTCTTTTTTTGGAATCTGCAAGTGGATATTTGGATCGCTTTGAGGATTTCGTTGGAAACGGGATGCAATATAAAACGTACACAGCAGCATACTCAGAAAATACTTTGCCATATTTCCATTCAAGTCACAGAGTGGAACATTCCCATTCATAGAGCAGGTTTGAAACACTCTTTTTGGAGTATCTGGAAGTGGACATTTGGAGCGCTTTCTGAACTATGGTGAAAAAGGAAATATCTTCCAATGAAAACAAGACAGAAGCATTCTGAGAAACTTATTTGTGATGTGTGTCCTCAACAAACGGACTTGAACCTTTCGTTTCATGCAGTACTTCTGGAACACTCTTTTTGAAGATTCTGCATGCGGATATTTGGATAGCTTTGAGGATTTCGTTGGAAACGGGCTTACATGTAAAAATTAGACAGCAGCATTCTCAGAAACTTCTTTGTGGTGTCTGCATTCAAGTCACAGAATTGAACATCCCCTCACATAGAGCAGTTGTGCAGCACTCTATTTGTAGTATCTGGAAGTGGACATTTGGAGGGCTTTGTAGCCTATCTGGAAAAAGGAAATATCTTCCCATGAATGCGAGATAGAAGTAATCTCAGAAACATGTTTATGCTGTATCTACTCAACTAACTGTGCTGAACATTTCTATTGATAGAGCAGTTTTGAGACACTCTTCTTTTGGAATCTGCAAGTGGATATTTGGATAGATTTGAGGATTTCGTTGGAAACGGGATTATATATAAAAAGTAGACAGCAGCATTCTCAGAAACTTCTTTGTGATGTTTGCATCCAGCTCTCAGAGTTGAACATTCCCTTTCATAGAGTAGGTTTGAAACCCTCTTTTTATAGTGTCTGGAAGCGGGCATTTGGAGCGCTTTCAGGCCTATGCTTAAAATAGGAAATATCTACCTACAGAAACTAGACAGAAGCATTCTGAGAATCACGTTTGTGATGTGGGTACTCAACTAACAGTGTTGATCCATTCTTTTGATACAGCAGTTTTGAACCACACTTTTTGTAGAATCTGCAAGAGGATATTTGGATAGCTGTGAGGATTTCGTTGGAAACGGGAATGTCTTCAAAGAAAATCTAGACAGAAGCATTCTCAGAAACACCTTCGTGATGTTTGCAATCAAGTCACAGAGTTGAACCTTCCGTTTCATAGAGCAGGTTGGAAACACTCTTATTGTAGTATCTGGAAGTGGACATTTGGAGCGCTTTCAGGCCTATGGTGAAAAAGGAAATATCTTCCCATAAAAACGACATAGAAGCTATCTCAGGAACTTGTTTATGATGCATCTAATCAACTAACACTGTTGAACCTTTGTACTGACAGAGCAGTTTGAAACACTCTTTTTTTGGAATCTGCAAGTGGATATTTGGATCGCTTTGAGGATTTCGTTGGAAACGGGATGCAATATAAAACGTACACAGCAGCATACTCAGAAAATACGTTGCCATATTTCCATTCAAGTCACAGAGTGGAACATTCCCATTCATAGAGCAGGTTGGAAACACTCTTTTTGTAGTATGTGGAAGTGGACATTTGGAGGGCTTTCTGAACTATGGTGAAAAAGGAAATATCTTCCAATGAAAACAAGACAGAAGCATTCTGAGAAACTTATTTGTGATGTGTGTCCTCAACAAACGGACTTGAACCTTTCGTTTCATGCAGTACTTCTGGAACACTCTTTTTGAAGATTCTGCATGCGGATATTTGGATAGCTTTGAGGATTTCGTTGGAAACGGGCTTACATGTAAAAATTAGACAGCAGCATTCTCAGAAACTTCTTTGTGGTGTCTGCATTCAAGTCACAGAATTGAACTTCCCCTCACATAGAGCAGTTGTGCAGCACTCTATTTGTAGTATCTGGAAGTGGACATTTGGAGGGCTTTGTAGCCTATCTGGAAAAAGGAAATATCTTCCCATGAATGCGAGATAGAAGTAATCTCAGAAACATGTTTATGCTGTATCTACTCAACTAACTGTGCTGAACATTTCTATTGATAGAGCAGTTTTGAGACACTCTTCTTTTGGAATCTGCAAGTGGATATTTGGATAGATTTGAGGATTTCGTTGGAAACGGGATTATATATAAAAAGTAGACAGCAGCATTCTCAGAAACTTCTTTGTGATGTTTGCATCCAGCTCTCAGAGTTGAACATTCCCTTTCATAGAGTAGGTTTGAAACCCTCTTTTTATAGTGTCTGGAAGCGGGCATTTGGAGCGCTTTCAGGCCTATGCTGAAAAAGGAAATATCTACCTATAGAAACTAGACAGAAGCATTCTGAGAATCACGTTTGTGATGTGGGTACTCAACTAACAGTGTTGATCCATTCTTTTGATACAGCAGTTTTGAACCACACTTTTTGTAGAATCTGCAAGTGGATATTTGGATAGCTGTGAGGATTTCGTTGGAAACGGGTATGTCTTCATAGAAAATTTAGACAGAAGCATTCTCAGAACCTTGATTGTGATGTGTGTTCTCCACTAACAGAGTTGAACCTTTCTTTTGACAGAACTGTTCTGAAACATTCTTTTTATAGAATCTGGAAGTGGATATTTGGAAAGCTTTGAGGATTTCGTTGGAAACGGGAATATCTTCAAATCAAATCTAGCCAGAAGCATTCTAAGAAACATCTTAGGGATGTTTACATTCAAGTCACAGAGTTGAACATTCCCTTTCACAGAGCAGGTTTGAAACAATCTTCTCGTACTATCTGGCAGTGGACATTTTGAGCTCCTTGGGGCCTATGCTGAAAAAGGAAATATCTTCCGACAAAAACTAGACAGAAGCATTTGCAGAATCACGTTTGTGATGTGTGCACTCAACTGTCAGAATTGAACCTTGGTTTGGACAGAGCACTTTTGAAACACTCTTTTTGTAGAATCTGCAGGTGGATATTTGGCTAGCTTTGAGGATTTCGTTGGAAACGGTAATGTCTTCAAAGAAAATCTAGACAGAAACATCCTCAGAAACACCTTCGTGATGTTTGCAATCAAGTCACAGAGTTGAACCTTCCGTTTCATAGAGCAGGTTGGAAACACTCATTTTGTAGTATCTGGAAGTGGACATTTGGAGCGCTTTCAGGCCTATGGTGTAAAAGGAAATATCTTCCCATAAAAGCGACATAGAAGCTATCTCAGGAACTTGTTTATGATGCCTCTAATCAACTAACAGTGTTGAACCTTTGTACTGACAGAGCAGTTTGAAACACTCTTTTTTTGGAATCTGCAAGTGGATATTTGGATCGCTTTGAGGATTTCGTTGGAAACGGGATGCAATATAAAACGTACACAGCAGCATACTCAGAAAATACTTTGCCATATTTCCATTCAAGTCACAGAGTGGAACATTCCCATTCATAGAGCAGGTTGGAAACACTCTTTTTGGAGTATCTGGAAGTGGACATTTGGAGCGCTTTCTGAACTATGGTGAAAAAGGAAATATCTTCCAATGAAAACAAGACAGAAGCATTCTGAGAAACTTATTTGTGATGTGTGTCCTCAACAAACGGACTTGAACCTTTCGTTTCATGCAGTACTTCTGGAACACTCTTTTTGAAGATTCTGCATGCGGATATTTGGATAGCTTTGAGGATTTCGTTGGAAACGGGCTTACATGTAAAAATTAGACAGCAGCATTCTCAGAAACTTCTTTGTGGTGTCTGCATTCAAGTCACAGAATTGAACATCCCCTCACATAGAGCAGCTGTGCAGCACTCTATTTGTAGTATCTCGAAGTGGACATTTGGAGGGCTTTGTAGCCTATCTGTAAAAAGGAAATATCTTCCCATGAATGCGAGATAGAAGTAATCTCAGAAACATGTTTATGCTGTATCTACTCAACTAACTGTGCTGAACATTTCTATTGATAGAGCAGTTTTGAGACACTCTTCTTTTGGAATCTGCAAGTGGATATTTGGATAGCTTTGAGGATTTCGTTGGAAACGGGCTTACATGTAAAAATTAGACAGCAGCATTCTCAGAAACTTCTTTGTGATGTTTGCATCCAGCTCTCAGAGTTGAACATTCCCTTTCATAGAGTAGGTTTGAAACCCTCTTTTTATAGTGTCTGGAAGCGGGCATTTGGAGCGCTTTCAGGCCTATGCTGAAAAAGGAAATATCTACCTATAAAAACTAGACAGAAGCATTCTGAGAATCACGTTTGTGATGTGGGTACTCAACTAACAGTGTTGATCCATTCTTTTGATACAGCAGATTTGAACCACACTTTTTGTAGAATCTGCAAGTGGATATTTGGATAGCTGTGAGGATTTCCTTGGAAACGGGAATGCCTTCATAGAAAATTTAGACAGAAGCATTCTCAGAACCTTGATTGTGATGTGTGTTCTCCACTAACAGAGTTGAACCTTTCTTTTGACAGAACTGTTCTGAAACATTCTTTTTATAGAATCTGGAAGTGGATATTTGGAAAGCCTTGAGGATTTCGTTGGAAACGGGAATATCTTCAAATCAAATCTAGCCAGAAGCATTCTAAGAAACATCTTAGGGATGTTTACATTCAAGTCACAGAGTTCAACATTCCCTTTCACAGGGCAGGTTTGAAACAATCTTCTCGTACTATCTGGAAGTGGACATTTTGAGCTCTTTGGGGCCTATGCTGAAAAAGGAAATATCTTCCGACAAAAACTAGACAGAAGCATTCGCAGAATCACGTTTGTGATGTGTGCACTCAACTGTCAGAATTGAACCTTTGTTTGGACAGAGCACTTTTGAAACACTCTTTTTGTAGAATCTGCAGGTGGATATTTGGCTAGCTTTGAGGATTTCGTTGGAAACGGTAATGTCTTCAAAGAAAATCTAGACAGAAACATCCTCAGAAACACCTTCGTGATGTTTGCAATCAAGTCACAGAGTTGAACCTTCCGTTTCATAGAGCAGGTTGGAAACACTCATTTTGTAGTATCTGGAAGTGGACATTTGGAGCGCTTTCAGGCCTATGGTGTAAAAGGAAATATGTTCCCATAAAAACGACATAGAAGCTATCTCAGGAACTTGTTTATGATGCATCTAATCAACTAACAGTGTTGAACCTTTGTACTGACAGAGCAGTTTGAAACACTCTTTTTTTGGAATCTGCAAGTGGATATTTGGATCGCTTTGAGGATTTCGTTGGAAACGGGATGCAATATAAAACGTACACAGCAGCATACTCAGAAAATACTTTGCCATATTTCCATTCAAGTCACAGAGTGGAACATTCCCATTCATAGAGCAGGTTTGAAACACTCTTTTTGGAGTATCTGGAAGTGGACATTTGGAGCGCTTTCTGAACTATGGTGAAAAAGGAAATATCTTCCAATGAAAACAAGACAGAAGCATTCTGAGAAACTTATTTGTGATGTGTGTCCTCAACAAACGGACTTGAACCTTTCGTTTCATGCAGTACTTCTGGAACACTCTTTTTGAAGATTCTGCATGCGGATATTTGGATAGCTTTGGGGGATTTCGTTGGAAACGGCCTTACATGTAAAAATTAGACAGCAGCATTCTCAGAAACTTCTTTGTGGTGTCTGCATTCAAGTCACAGAATTGAACTTCCCCTCACATAGAGCAGTTGTGCAGCACTCTATTTGTAGTATCTGGAAGTGGACATTTGGAGGGCTTTGTAGCCTATCTGGAAAAAGGAAATATCTTCCCATGAATGCGAGATAGAAGTAATCTCAGAAACATGTTTATGCTGTATCTACTCAACTAACTGTGCTGAACATTTCTATTGATAGAGCAGTTTTGAGACACTCTTCTTTTGGAATCTGCAAGTGGATATTTGGATAGATTTGAGGATTTCGTTGGAAACGGGATTATATATAAAAAGTAGACAGCAGCATTCTCAGAAACTTCTTTGTGATGTTTGCATCCAGCTCTCAGAGTTGAACATTCCCTTTCATAGAGTAGGTTTGAAACCCTCTTTTTATAGTGTCTGGAAGCGGGCATTTGGAGCGCTTTCAGGCCTATGCTGAATAAGGAAATATCTACCTATAGAAACTAGACAGAAGCATTCTGAGAATCACGTTTGTGATGTGGGTACTCAACTAACAGTGTTGATCCATTCTTTTGATACAGCAGTTTTGAACCACACTTTTTGTAGAATCTGGAAGTGGATATTTGGAAAGCTTTGAGGATTTCGTTGGAAACGGGAATATCTTCAAATAAAATCTAGCCAGAAGCATTCTAAGAAACATCTTAGGGATGTTTACATTCAAGTCACAGAGTTGAACATTCCCTTTCACAGAGCAGGTTTGAAACAATCTTCTCGTACTATCTGGCAGTGGACATTTTGAGCTCCTTGGGGCCTATGCTGAAAAAGGAAATATCTTCCGACAAAAACTAGACAGAAGCATTCGCAGAATCACGTTTGTGATGTGTGCACTCAACTGTCAGAATTGAACCTTGGTTTGGACAGAGCACTTTTGAAACACTCTTTTTGTAGAATCTGCAGGTGGATATTTGGCTAGCTTTGAGGATTTCGTTGGAAACGGTAATGTCTTCAAAGAAAATCTAGACAGAAGCATTCTCAGAAACACCTTCGTGATGTTTGCAATCAAGTCACAGAGTTGAACCTTCCGTTTCATAGAGCAGGTTGGAAACACTCTTTTTGTAGTATCTGGAAGTGGACATTTGGAGGGCTTTTTAGCCTATCTGGAAAAAGGAAATATCTTCCCATGAATGCGAGATAGAAGTAATCTCAGAAACATGTTTATGCTGTATCTACTCAACTAACTGTGCTGAGCATTTCTATTGATAGAGCAGTTTTGAGACACTCTTCTTTTGGAATCTGCAAGTGGATATTTGGATAGATTTGAGGATTTCGTTGGAAACGGGATTATATATAAAAAGTAGACAGCAGCATTCTCAGAAACTTCTTTGTGATGTTTGCATCCAGCTCTCAGAGTTGAACATTCCCTTTCATAGAGTAGGTTTGAAACCCTCTTTTTATAGTGTCTCGAAGCGGGCATTTGGAGCGCTTTCAGGCCTATGCTTAAAATAGGAAATATCTACCTACAGAAACTAGACAGAAGCATTCTGAGAATCACGTTTGTGATGTGGGTACTCAACTAACAGTGTTGATCCATTCTTTTGATACAGCAGTTTTGAACCACACTTTTTGTAGAATCTGCAAGAGGATATTTGGATAGCTGTGAGGATTTCGTTGGAAACGGGAATGTCTTTAAAGAAAATCTAGACAGAAACATTCTCAGAAACACCTTCATGATGTTTGCAATCAAGTCACAGAGTTGAACCTTCCGTTTCATAGAGCAGGTTGGAAACACTCTTTTTGTAGTATCTGGAAGTGGACATTTGGAGCGCTTTCAGGCCTATGGTGAAAAAGGAAATATCTTCCCATAAAAACGACATAGAAGCTATCTCAGGATCTTGTTTATGATGCATCTAATCAACTAACAGTGTTGAAACTTTGTACTGACAGAGCACTTTGAAACACTCTTTTTTTGGAATCTGCAAGTGGATATTTGGATCGCTTTGAGGATTTCGTTGGAAACGGGATGCAATATAAAACGTACACAGCAGCATACTCAGAAAATACTTTGCCATATTTCCATTCAAGTCACAGAGTGGAACATTCCCATTCATAGAGCAGGTTTGAAACACTCTTTTTGGAGTATCTGGAAGTGGACATTTGGAGCGCTTTCTGAACTATGGTGAAAAAGGAAATATCTTCCAATGAAAACAAGACAGAAGCATTCTGAGAAACTTCTTTGTGATGTGTGTCCTCAACAAACGGACTTGAACCTTTCGTTTCATGCAGTACTTCTGGAACACTCTTTTTGAAGATTCTGCATGCGGATATTTGGATAGCTTTGAGGATTTCGTTGGAAACGGGCTTACATGTAAAAATTAGACAGCAGCATTCTCAGAAACTTCTTTGTGGTGTCTGCATTCAAGTCACAGAATTGAACTTCCCCTCACATAGAGCAGTTGTGCAGCACTCTATTTGTAGTATCTGGAAGTGGACATTTGGAGGGCTTTGTAGCCTATCTGGAAAAAGGAAATATCTTCCCATGAATGCGAGATAGAAGTAATCTCAGAAACATGTTTATGCTGTATGTACTCAACTAACTGTGCTGAACATTTCTATTGATAGAGCAGTTTTGAGACACTCTTCTTTTGGAATCTGCAAGTGGATATTTGGATAGATTTGAGGATTTCGTTGGAAACGGGATTATATATCAAAAGTAGACAGCAGCATTCTCAGAAACTTCTTTGTGATGTTTGCATCCAGCTCTCAGAGTTGAACATTCCCTTTCATAGAGTAGGTTTGAAACCCTCTTTTTATAGTGTCTGGAAGCGGGCATTTGGAGCGCTTTCAGGCCTATGCTGAAAAAGGAAATATCTACCTATAGAAACTAGACAGAAGCATTCTGAGAATCACGTTTGTGATGTGGGTACTCAACTAACAGTGTTGATCCATTCTTTTGATACAGCAGTTTTGAAACACACTTTTTGTAGAATCTGCAAGTGGATATTTGGATAGCTGTGAGGATTTCGTTGGAAACGGGAATGTCTTCATAGAAAATTTAGACAGAAGCATTCTCAGAACCTTGATTGTGATGTGTGTTCTCCACTAACAGAGTTGAACCTTTCTTTTGACAGAACTGTTCTGAAACATTCTTTTTATAGAATCTGGAAGTGGATATTTGGAAAGCTTTGAGGATTTCGTTGGAAACGGGAATATCTTCAAATAAAATCTAGCCAGAAGCATTCTAAGAAACATCTTAGGGATGTTTACATTCAAGTCACAGAGTTGAACATTCCCTTTCACAGAGCAGGTTTGAAACAATCTTCTCGTACTATCTGGCAGTGGACATTTTGAGCTCCTTGGGGCCTATGCTGAAAAAGGAAATATCTTCCGACAAAAACTAGACAGAAGCATTCGCAGAATCACGTTTGTGATGTGTGCACTCAACTGTCAGAATTGAACCTTGGTTTGGACAGAGCACTTTTGAAACACTCTTTTTGTAGAATCTGCAGGTGGATATTTGGCTAGCTTTGAGGATTTCGTTGGAAACGGTAATGTCTTCAAAGAAAATCTAGACAGAAGCATTCTAAGAAATACCTTCGTGATGTTTGCAATCAAGTCACAGAGTTGAACCTTCCGTTTCATAGAGCAGGTTGGAAACACTCTTATTGTAGTATCTGGAAGTGGACATTTGGAGCGCTTTCAGGCCTATGGTGAAAAAGGAAATATCTTCCCATAAAAACGATATAGAAGCTATCTCAGGAACTTGTTTATGATGCATCTAATCAACTAACAGTGTTGAACCTTTGTACTGACAGAGCAGTTTGAAACACTCTTTTTTTGGAATCTGCAAGTGGATATTTGGATCGCTTTGAGGATTTCGTTGGAAACGGGATGCAATATAAAACGTACACAGCAGCATACTCAGAAAATACTTTGCCATATTTCCATTCAAGTCACAGAGTGGAACATTCCCATTCATAGAGCAGGTTGGAAACACTCTTTTTGGAGTATCTGGAAGTGGACATTTGGAGCGCTTTCTGAACTATGGTGAAAAAGGAAATATCTTCCAATGAAAACAAGACAGAAGCATTCTGAGAAACTTATTTGTGATGTGTGTCCTCAACAAACGGACTTGAACCTTTCGTTTCATGCAGTACTTCTGGAACACTCTTTTTGAAGATTCTGCATGCGGATATTTGGATAGCTTTGAGGATTTCGTTGGAAACGGGCTTACATGTAAAAATTAGACAGCAGCATTCTCAGAAACTTCTTTGTGGTGTCTGCATTCAAGTCACAGAATTGAACTTCCCCTCACATAGAGCAGTTGTGCAGCACTCTATTTGTAGTATCTGGAAGTGGACATTTGGAGGGCTTTGTAGCCTATCTGGAAAAAGGAAATATCTTCCCATGAATGCGAGATAGAAGTAATCTCAGAAACATGTTTATGCTGTATCTACTCAACTAACTGTGCTGAACATTTCTATTGATAGAGCAGTTTTCAGACACTCTTCTTTTGGAATCTGCAAGTGGATATTTGGATAGATTTGAGGATTTCGTTGGAAACGGGATTATATATAAAAAGTAGACAGCAGCATTCTCAGTAAACTTCTTTGTGATGTTTGCATCCAGCTCTCAGAGTTGAACATTCCCTTTCATAGAGTAGGTTTGAAACCCTCTTTTTATAGTGTCTGGAAGCGGGCATTTGGAGCGCATTCAGGCCTATGCTTAAAATAGGAAATATCTACCTACAGAAACTAGACAGAAGCATTCTGAGAATCACGTTTCTGATGTGGGTACTCAACTAACAGTGTTGATCCATTCTTTTGATACAGCAGTTTTGAACCACACTTTTTGTAGAATCTGCAAGTGGATATTTGGATAGCTGTGAGGATTTCGTTGGAAACGGGAATGTCTTCATAGAAAATTTAGACAGAAGCATTCTCAGAACCTTGATTGTGATGTGTGTTCTCCACTAACAGAGTTGAACCTTTCTTTTGACAGAACTGTTCTGAAACATTCTTTTTATAGAATCTGGAAGTGGATATTTGGAAAGCTTTGAGGATTTCGTTGGAAACGGGAATATCTTCAAATAAAATCTAGCCAGAAGCATTCTAAGAAACATCTTAGGGATGTTTACATTCAAGTCACAGAGTTGAACATTCCCTTTCACAGAGCAGGTTTGAAACAATCTTCTCGTACTATCTGGCAGTGGACATTTTGAGCTGCCTTGGGGCCTATGCTGAAAAAGGAAATATCTTCTGACAAAAACTAGACAGAAGCATTCGCAGAATCACGTTTGTGATGTGTGCACTCAACTGTCAGAATTGAACCTTGGTTTGGACAGAGCACTTTTGAAACACTCTTTTTGTAGAATCTGCAGGTGGATATTTGGCTAGCTTTGAGGATTTCGTTGGAAACGGTAATGTCTTCAAAGAAAATCTAGACAGAAGCATTCTCAGAAACACCTTCGTGATGTTTGCAATCAAGTCACAGAGTTGAACCTTCCGTTTCATAGAGCAGGTTGGAAACACTCTTTTTGTAGTATCTGGAAGTGGACATTTGGAGGGCTTTGTAGCCTATGTGGAAAAAGGAAATATCTTCCCATGAATGCGAGATAGAAGTAATCTCAGAAACATGTTTATGCTGTATCTACTCAACTAACTGTGCTGAACATTTCTATTGATAGAGCAGTTTTGAGACACTCTTCTTTTGGAATCTGCAAGTGGATATTTGGATAGATTTGAGGATTTCGTTGGAAACGGGATTATATATCAAAAGTAGACAGCAGCATTCTCAGAAACTTCTTTGTGATGTTTGCATCCAGCTCTCAGAGTTGAACATTCCCTTTCATAGAGTAGGTTTGAAACCCTCTTTTTATAGTGTCTGGAAGCGGGCATTTGGAGCGCTTTCAGGCCTATGCTGAAAAAGGAAATATCTACCTATAGAAACTAGACAGAAGCATTCTGAGAATCACGTTTGTGATGTGGGTACTCAACTAACAGTGTTGATCCATTCTTTTGATACAGCAGTTTTGAACCACACTTTTTGTAGAATCTGCAAGTGGATATTTGGATAGCTGTGAGGATTTCGTTGGAAACGGGAATGTCTTCATAGAAAATTTAGACAGAAGCATTCTCAGAACCTTGATTGTGATGTGTGTTCTCCACTAACAGAGTTGAACCTTTCTTTTGACAGAACTGTTCTGAAACATTCTTTTTATAGAATCTGGAAGTGGATATTTGGAAAGCTTTGAGGATTTCGTTGGAAACGGGAATATCTTCAAATAAAATCTAGCCAGAAGCATTCTAAGAAACATCTTAGGGATGTTTACATTCAAGTCACAGAGTTGAACATTCCCTTTCACAGAGCAGGTTTGAAACAATCTTCTCGTACTATCTGGCAGTGGACATTTTGAGCTCCTTGGGGCCTATGCTGAAAAAGGAAATATCTTCCGACAAAAACTAGACAGAAGCATTCGCAGAATCACGTTTGTGATGTGTGCACTCAACTGTCAGAATTGAACCTTGGTTTGGACAGAGCACTTTTGAAACACTCTTTTTGTAGAATCTGCAGGTGGATATTTGGCTAGCTTTGAGGATTTCGTTGGAAACGGTAATGTCTTCAAAGAAAATCTAGACAGAAGCATTCTCAGAAACACCTTCGTGATGTTTGCAATCAAGTCACAGAGTTGAACCTTCCGTTTCATAGAGCAGGTTGGAAACACTCTTTTTGTAGTATCTGGAAGTGGACATTTGGAGGGCTTTGTAGCCTATGTGGAAAAAGGAAATATCTTCCCATGAATGCGAGATAGAAGTAATCTCAGAAACATGTTTATGCTGTATCTACTCAACTAACTGTGCTGAACATTTCTATTGATAGAGCAGTTTTGAGACACTCTTCTTTTGGAATCTGCAAGTGGATATTTGGAGAGATTTGAGGATTTCGTTGGAAACGGGATTATATATAAAAAGTAGACAGCAGCATTCTCAGAAACTTCTTTGTGATGTTTGCATCCAGCTCTCAGAGTTGAACATTCCCTTTCATAGAGTAGGTTTGAAACCCTCTTTTTATAGTGTCTGGAAGCGGGCATTTGGAGCGCTTTCAGGCCTATGCTTAAAATAGGAAATATCTACCTACAGAAACTAGACAGAAGCATTCTGAGAATCTCGTTTGTGATGTGGGTACTCAACTAACAGTGTTGATCCATTCTTTTGATACAGCAGTTTTGAACCACACTTTTTGTAGAATCTGCAAGAGGATATTTGGATAGCTGTGAGGATTTCGTTGGAAACGGGAATGTCTTCAAAGAAAATCTAGACAGAAACATCCTCAGAAACAACTTCGTGATGTTTGCCATCAAGTCACAGAGTTGAACCTTCCGTTTCATAGAGCAGGTTGGAAACACTCTTTTTGTAGTATCTGGAAGTGGACATTTGGAGCGCTTTCAGGCCTATGGTGTAAAAGGAAATATCTTCCCATAAAAGCGACATAGAACCTATCTCAGGAACATGTTTATGATGTATCTAATCAACTAACAGTGTTGAACCTTTGTACTGACAGAGCAGTTTGAAACACTCTTTTTTATGAATCTGCAAGTGGATATTTGGATCGCTTTGAGGATTTCGTTGGAAACGGGGTGCAATATAAAACGTACACAGCAGCATACTCAGAAAATACTTTGCCATATTTCCATTCAAGTCACAGAGTGGAACATTCCCATTCATAGAGCAGGTTTGAAACACTCTTTTTGGAGTGTCTGGAAGTGGACATTTGGAGCGCTATCTGAACTATGGTGAAAAAGGAAATATCTTCCAATGAAAACAAGACAGAAGCATTCTGAGAAACTTACTTGTGATGCGTGTCCTCAACTAACGGACTCGAACCTTTCGTTTCATGCAGTACTTCTGGAACACTCTTTTTGAAGATTCTGCATGCGGATATTTGGATAGCTTTGAGGAGTTCGTTTGAAATGGGCTTACATATAAAAATTAGACAGCAGCATTCTCAGAAACTTCTTTGTGGTGTCTGCATTCAAGTCACAGAATTGAACATCTCCTCACATAGAGCAGTTGTGCAGCACTCTATTTGTAGTATCTCGAAGAGGACATTTGGAGGTCTTTGTAGCCTATCTGGAAAAAGGAAATATCTTCCCATGAATGCGAGATAGAAGTAATCTCAGAAACATGTTTATGCTGTATCTACTCAACTAACTGTGCTGAACATTTCTATTGATAGAGCAGTTTTGAGACACTCTTCTTTTGGAATCTGCAAGTGGATATTTGGATAGATTTGAGGATTTCGTTGGAAACGGGATTATATATAAAAAGTAGACAGCAGCATTCTCAGAAACTTCTTTGTGATGTTTGCATCCAGCTCTCAGAGTTGAACATTCCCTTTCATAGAGTAGGTTTGAAACCCTCTTTTTATAGTGTCTGGAAGCGGACATTTGGAGCGCTTTCAGGCCTATGCTTAAAATAGGAAATATCTACCTACAGAAACTAGACAGAAGCATTCTGAGAATCACGTTTGTGATGTGGGTACTCAACTAACAGTGTTGATCCATTCTTTTGATACAGCAGTTTTGAACCACACTTTTTGTAGAATCTGCAAGAGGATATTTGGATAGCTGTGAGGATTTCGTTGGAAACGGGAATGTCTTCAAAGAAAATCTAGACAGAAGCATTCTCAGAAACACCTTCGTGATGTTTGCAATCAAGTCACAGAGTTGAACCTTCCGTTTCATAGAGCAGGTTGGAAACACTCTTATTGTAGTATCTGGAAGTGGACATTTGGAGCGCTTTCAGGCCTATGGTGAAAAAGGAAATATCTTCCCATAAAAACGACATAGAAGCTATCTCAGGAACTTGTTTATGATGCATCTAATCAACTAACAGTGTTGAACCTTTGTACTGACAGAGCAGTTTGAAACACTCTTTTTTTGGAATCTGCAAGTGGATATTTGGATCGCTTTGAGGATTTCGTTGGAAACGGGATGCAATATAAAACGTACACAGCAGCATACTCAGAAAATACTTTGCCATATTTCCATTCAAGTCACAGAGTGGAACATTCCCATTCATAGAGCAGGTTGGAAACACTCTTTTTGGAGTATCTGGAAGTGGACATTTGGAGCGCTTTCTGAACTATGGTGAAAAAGGAAATATCTTCCAATGAAAACAAGACAGAAGCATTCTGAGAAACTTATTTGTGATGTGTGTCCTCAACAAACGGACTTGAACCTTTCGTTTCATGCAGTACTTCTGGAACACTCTTTTTGAAGATTCTGCATGCGGATATTTGGATAGCTTTGAGGATTTCGTTGGAAACGGGCTTACATGTAAAAATTAGACAGCAGCATTCTCAGAAACTTCTTTGTGGTGTCTGCATTCAAGTCACAGAATTGAACTTCCCCTCACATAGAGCAGTTGTGCAGCACTCTATTTGTAGTATCTGGAAGTGGACATTTGGAGGGCTTTGTAGCCTATCTGGAAAAAGGAAATATCTTCCCATGAATGCGAGATAGAAGTAATCTCAGAAACATGTTTATGCTCTATCTACTCAACTAACTGTGCTGAACATTTCTATTGATAGAGCAGTTTTGAGACACTCTTCTTTTGGAATCTGCAAGTGGATATTTGGATAGATTTGAGGATTTCGTTGGAAACGGGATTATATATCAAAAGCAGACAGCAGCATTCTCAGAAACTTCTTTGTGATGTTTGCATCCAGCTCTCAGAGTTGAACATTCCCTTTCATAGAGTAGGTTTGAAACCCTCTTTTTATAGTGTCTGGAAGCGGGCATTTGGAGCGCTTTCAGGCCTATGCTTAAAATAGGAAATATCTACCTACAGAAACTAGACAGAAGCATTCTGAGAATCACGTTTGTGATGTGGGTACTCAACTAACAGTGTTGATCCATTCTTTTGATACAGCAGTTTTGAACCACACTTTTTGTAGAATCTGCAAGAGGATATTTGGATAGCTGTGAGGATTTCGTTGGAAACGGGAATGTCTTCAAAGAAAATCTAGACAGAAGCATTCTCAGAAACACCTTCGTGATGTTTGCAATCAAGTCACAGAGTTGAACCTTCCGTTTCATAGAGCAGGTTGGAAACACTCTTATTGTAGTATCTGGAAGTGGACATTTGGAGCGCTTTCAGGCCTATGGTGAAAAAGGAAATATCTTCCCATAAAAACGACATAGAAGCTATCTCAGGAACTTGTTTATGATGCATCTAATCAACTAACAGTGTTGAACCTTTGTACTGACAGAGGAGTTTGAAACACTCTTTTTTTGGAATCTGCAAGTGGATATTTGGATCGCTTTGAGGATTTCGTTGGAAACGGGATGCAATATAAAACGTACACAGCAGCATACTCAGAAAATACTTTGCCATATTTCCATTCAAGTCAGAGAGTGGAACATTCCCATTCATAGAGCAGGTTGGAAACACTCTTTTTGGAGTATCTGGAAGTGGACATTTGGAGCGCTTTCTGAACTATGGTGAAAAAGTAAATATCTTCCAATGAAAACAAGACAGAAGCATTCTGAGAAACTTATTTGTGATGTGTGTCCTCAACAAACGGACTTGAACCTTTCGTTTCATGCAGTACTTCTGGAACACTCTTTTTGAAGATTCTGCATGCGGATATTTGGATAGCTTTGAGGATTTCGTTGGAAACGGGCTTACATGTAAAAATTAGACAGCAGCATTCTCAGAAACTTCTTTGTGGTGTCTGCATTCAAGTCACAGAATTGAACTTCCCCTCACATAGAGCAGTTGTGCAGCACTCTATTTGTAGTATCTGGAAGTGGACATTTGGAGGGCTTTGTAGCCTATCTGGAAAAAGGAAATATCTTCCCATGAATGCGAGATAGAAGTAATCTCAGAAACATGTTTATGCTGTATCTACTCAACTAACTGTGCTGAACATTTCTATTGATAGAGCAGTTTTGAGACACTCTTCTTTTGGAATCTGCAAGTGGATATTTGGATACATTTGAGGATTTCGTTGGAAACGGGATTATATATAAAAAGTAGACAGCAGCATTCTCAGAAACTTCTTTGTGATGTTTGCATCCAGCTCTCAGAGTTGAACATTCCCTTTCATAGAGTAGGTTTGAAACCCTCTTTTTATAGTGTCTGGAAGCGGGCATTTGGAGCGCTTTCAGGCCTATGCTTAAAATAGGAAATATCTACCTACAGAAACTAGACAGAAGCATTCTGAGAATCACGTTTGTGATGTGGGTACTCAACTAACAGTGTTGATCCATTCTTTTGATACAGCAGTTTTGAACCACACTTTTTGTAGAATCTGCAAGAGGATATTTGGATAGCTGTGAGGATTTCATTGGAAACGGGAATGTCTTCAAAGAAAATCTAGACAGAAGCATTCTCAGAAACACCTTCGTGATGTTTGCAATCAAGTCACAGAGTTGAACCTTCCGTTTCATAGAGCAGGTTGGAAACACTCTTATTGTAGTATCTGGAAGTGGACATTTGGAGCGCTTTCAGGCCTATGGTGAAAAAGGAAATATCTTCCCATAAAAACGACATAGAAGCTATCTCAGGAACTTGTTTATGATGCATCTAATCAACCAACAGTGTTGAACCTTTGTACTGACAGAGCACTTTGAAACACTCTTTTTTTGGAATCTGCAAGTGGATATTTGGATCGCTTTGAGGATTTCGTTGGAAACGGGATGCAATATAAAACGTACACAGCAGCATACTCAGAAAATACTTTGCCATATTTCCATTCAAGTCACAGAGTGGAACATTCCCATTCATAGAGCAGGTTGGAAACACTCTTTTTGGAGTATCTGGAAGTGGACATTTGGAGCGCTTTCTGAACTATGGTGAAAAAGGAAATATCTTCCAATGAAAACAAGACAGAAGCATTCTGAGAAACTTATTTGTGATGTGTGTCCTCAACAAACGGACTTGAACCTTTCGTTTCATGCAGTACTTCTGGAACACTCTTTTTGAAGATTCTGCATGCGGATATTTGGATAGCTTTGAGGATTTCGTTGGAAACGGGCTTACATGTAAAAATTAGACAGCAGCATTCTCAGAAACTTCTTTGTGGTGTCTGCATTCAAGTCACAGAATTGAACTTCCCCTCACATAGAGCAGTTGTGCAGCACTCTATTTGTAGTATCTGGAAGTGGACATTTGGAGGGCTTTGTAGCCTATCTGGAAAAAGGAAATATCTTCCCATGAATGCGAGATAGAAGTAATCTCAGAAACATGTTTATGCTGTATCTACTCAACTAACTGTGCTGAACATTTCTATTGATAGAGCAGTTTTGAGACACTCTTCTTTTGGAATCTGCAAGTGGATATTTGGATAGATTTGAGGATTTCGTTGGAAACGGGATTATATATCAAAAGCAGACAGCAGCATTCTCAGAAACTTCTTTGTGATGTTTGCATCCAGCTCTCAGAGTTGAACATTCCCTTTCATAGAGTAGGTTTGAAACCCTCTTTTTATAGTGTCTGGAAGCGGGCATTTGGAGCGCTTTCAGGCCTATGCTTAAAATAGGAAATATCTACCTACAGAAACTAGACAGAAGCATTCTGAGAATCACGTTTGTGATGTGGGTACTCAACTAACAGTGTTGATCCATTCTTTTGATACAGCAGTTTTGAACCACACTTTTTGTAGAATCTGCAAGAGGATATTTGGATAGCTGTGAGGATTTCGTTGGAAACGGGAATGTCTTCAAAGAAAATCTAGACAGAAGCATTCTGAGGAACACCTTCGTGATGTTTGCAATCAAGTCACAGAGTTGAACCTTCCGTTTCATAGAGCTGGTTGGAAACACTCTTATTGTAGTATCTGGAAGTGGACATTTGGAGCGCTTTCAGGCCTATGGTGAAAAAGGAAATATCTTCCCATAAAAACGACATAGAAGCTATCTCAGGGAACTTGTTTATGATGCATCTAATCAACTAACAGTGTTGAACCTTTGTACTAACAGAGCAGTTTGAAACACTCTTTTTTTGGAATCTGCAAGTGGATATTTGGATCGCTTTGAGGATTTCGTTGGAAACGGGATGCAATATAAAACGTACACAGCAGCATACTCAGAAAATACTTTGCCATATTTCCATTCAAGTCACAGAGTGGAACATTCCCATTCATAGAGCAGGTTGGAAACACTCTTTTTGGAGTATCTGGAAGTGGACATTTGGAGCGCTTTCTGAACTATGGTGAAAAAGGAAATATCTTCCAATGAAAACAAGACAGAAGCATTCTGAGAAACTTATTTGTGATGTGTGTCCTCAACAAACGGACTTGAACCTTTCGTTTCATGCAGTACTTCTGGAACACTCTTTTTGAAGATTCTGCATGCGGATATTTGGATAGCTTTGAGGATTTCGTTGGAAACGGGCTTACATGTAAAAATTAGACAGCAGCATTCTCAGAAACTTCTTTGTGGTGTCTGCATTCAAGTCACAGAATTGAACTTCCCCTCACATAGAGCAGTTGTGCAGCACTCTATTTGTAGTATCTGGAAGTGGACATTTGGAGGGCTTTGTAGCCTATCTGGAAAAAGGAAATATCTTCCCATGAATGCGAGATAGAAGTAATCTCAGAAACATGTTTATGCTGTATCTACTCAACTAACTGTGCTGAACATTTCTATTGATAGAGCAGTTTTGAGACCCTCTTCTTTTGGAATCTGCAAGTGGATATTTGGATAGATTTGAGGATTTCGTTGGAAACGGGATTATATATAAAAAGTAGACAGCAGCATTCTCAGAAACTTCTTTGTGATGTTTGCATCCAGCTCTCAGAGTTGAACATTCCCTTTCATAGAGTAGGTTTGAAACCCTCTTTTTATAGTGTCTGGAAGCGGGCATTTGGAGCGCTTTCAGGCCTATGCTTAAAATAGGAAATATCTACCTACAGAAACTAGACAGAAGCATTCTGAGAATCACGTTTGTGATGTGGGTACTCAACTAACAGTGTTGATCCATTCTTTTGATACAGCAGTTTTGAACCACACTTTTTGTAGAATCTGCAAGAGGATATTTGGATAGCTGTGAGGATTTCGTTGGAAACGGGAAAGTCTTCAAAGAAAATCTAGACAGAAGCATTCTCAGAAACACCTTCGTGATGTTTGCAATCAAGTCACAGAGTTGAACCTTCCGTTTCATAGAGCAGGTTGGAAACACTCTTATTGTAGTATCTGGAAGTGGACATTTGGAGCGCTTTCAGGCCTATGGTGAAAAAGGAAATATCTTCCCATAAAAACGACATAGAAGCTATCTCAGGAACTTGTTTATGATGCATCTAATCAACTAACAGTGTTGAACCTTTGTACTGACAGAGCAGTTTGAAACACTCTTTTTTTGGAATCTGCAAGTGGATATTTGGATCGCTTTGAGGATTTCGTTGGAAACGGGATGCAATATAAAACGTACACAGCAGCATACTCAGAAAATACTTTGCCATATTTCCATTCAAGTCAGAGAGTGGAACATTCCCATTCATAGAGCAGGTTTGAAACACTCTTTTTGGAGTATCTGGAAGTGGACATTTGGAGCGCTTTCTGAACTATGGTGAAAAAGGAAATATCTTCCAATGAAAACAAGACAGAAGCATTCTGAGAAACTTATTTGTGATGTGTGTCCTCAACAAACGGACTTGAACCTTTCGTTTCATGCAGTACTTCTGGAACACTCTTTTTGAAGATTCTGCATGCGGATATTTGGATAGCTTTGAGGATTTCGTTGGAAACGGGCTTACATGTAAAAATTAGACAGCAGCATTCTCAGAAACTTCTTTGTGGTGTCTGCATTCAAGTCACAGAATTGAACATCCCGTCACATAGAGCAGTTGTGCAGCACTCTATTTGTAGTATCTGGAAGTGGACATTTGGAGGGCTTTGTAGCCTATCTGCAAAAAGGAAATATCTTCCCATGAATGCGAGATAGAAGTAATCTCAGAAACATGTTTATGCTGTATCTACTCAACTAACTGTGCTGAACATTTCTATTGATAGAGCAGTTTTGAGACACTCTTCTTTTGGAATCTGCAAGTGGATATTTGGATAGATTTGAGGATTTCGTTGGCAACGGGATTATATATAAAAAGTAGACAGCAGCATTCTCAGAAACTTCTTTGTGATGTTTGCATCCAGCTCTCAGAGTTGAACATTCCCTTTCGTAGAGTAGGTTTGAAACCCTCTTTTTATAGTGTGTGGAAGCGGGCATTTGGAGCGCTTTCAGGCCTATGCTGAAAAAGGAAATATCTACCTATAGAAACTAGACAGAAGCATTCTGAGAATCACGTTTGTGATGTGGGTACTCAACTAACAGTGTTGATCCATTCTTTTGATACAGCAGTTTTGAACCACACTTTTTGTAGAATCTGCAAGTGGATATTTGGATAGCTGTGAGGATTTCCTTGGAAACGGGAATGTCTTCATAGAAAATTTAGACAGAAGCATTCTCAGAACCTTGATTGTGATGTGTGTTCTCCACTAACAGGGTTGAACCTTTCTTTTGACAGAACTGTTCTGAAACATTCTTTGTATAGAATCTGGAAGCGGATATTTGGAAAGCTTTGAGGATTTCGTTGGAAACGGGAATATCTTCAAATCAAATCTAGCCAGAAGCATTCTAAGAAACATCTTAGGGATGTTTACATTCAAGTCACAGAGTTGAACATTCCCTTTCACAGAGCAGGTTTGAAACAATCTTCTCGTACTATCTGGAAGTGGACATTTTGAGCTCCTTTTGGCGTATGCTGAAAAAGGAAATACCTTCCGACAAAAACTAGACAGAAGCATTCGCAGAATCACGTTTGTGATGTGTGCACTCAACTGTCGGAATTGAACCTTTGTTTGGACAGAGCACTTTTGAAACACTCTTTTTGTAGAATCTGCAGGTGGATATTTGGCTAGCTTTGAGGATTTCGTTGGAAACGGTAATGTCTTCAAAGAAAATCTAGACAGAAACATTCTCAGAAACACCTTCGTGATGTTTGCAATCAAGTCACAGAGTTGAACCTTCCGTTTCATAGAGCAGGTTGGAAACACTCTTTTTGTAGTATCTGGAAGTGGACATTTGGAGCGCTTTCAGGCCTATGGTGAAAAAGGAAATATCTTCCCATGAAAACGACATAGAAGCTATCTCAGGAACTTGTTTATGATGCATCCAATCAACTAACAGTGTTGAACCTTTGTACTGACAGAGCAGTGTGAAACACTCTATTTTTTGGAATCTGCAAGTGGATATTTGGATCGCTTTGAGGATTTCGTTGGAAACGGGATGCAATATAAAACGTACACAGCAGCATACTCAGAAAATACTTTGCCATATTTCCATTCAAGTCACAGAGTGGAACATTCCCATTCATAGAGCAGGTTTGACACACTCTTTTTGTAGTATCTGGAAGTGGACATTTGGAGCGCTTTCTGAACTATGGTGAAAAAGGAAATATCTTCCAATGAAAACAAGACAGACAAGCATTCTGAGAAACTTATTTGTGATGTGAGTCCTCAACTAACGGCACTTGAACCTTTCGTTTCATGCAGTACTTCTGGAACACTCTTTTTGAAGATTCTGCATGCGGATATTTGGATAGCTTTGAGGATTTCGTTGGAAACGGGCTTACATATAAAAATTAGACAGCAGCATTCTCAGAAACTTCTCTGTGGTGTCTGCATCCAAGTCACAGAATTGAACATCCCCTCACATAGAGCAGTTGTGCAGCACTCTATTTGTAGTATCTCGAAGTGGACATTTGGAGGGCTTTGTAGCCTATCTGGAAAAAGGAAATATCTTCCCATGAATGCGAGATAGAAGTAATCTCAGAAACATGTTTATGCTGTATCTACTCAACTAACTGTGCTGAACATTTCTATTGATAGAGCAGTTTTGAGACACTCTTCTTTTGGAATCTGCAAGTGGATATTTGGATAGATTTGAGGATTTCGTTGGCAACGGGATTATATATCAAAAGTAGACAGCAGCATTCTCAGAAACTTCTTTGTGATGTTTGCATCCAGCTCTCAGAGTTGAACATTCCCTTTCATAGAGTAGGTTTGAAACCCTCTTTTTATAGTGTCTGGAAGCGGGCATTTGGAGCGCTTTCAGGCCTATGCTGAAAAAGGAAATATCTACCTATAGAAACTAGACAGAAGCATTCTGAGAATCACGTTTGTGATGTGGGTACTCAACTAACAGTGTTGATCCATTCTTTTGATACAGCAGTTTTGAACCACACTTTTTGTAGAATCTGCAAGTGGATATTTGGATAGCTGTGAGGATTTCGTTGGAAACGGGAATGTCTTCATAGAAAATTTAGACAGAAGCATTCTCAGAACCTTGATTGTGATGTGTGTTCTCCACTAACAGAGTTGAACCTTTCTTTTGACAGAACTGTTCTGAAACATTCTTTTTATAGAATCTGGAAGTGGATATTTGGAAAGCTTTGAGGATTTCGTTGGAAACGGGAATATCTTCAAATCAAATCTAGCCAGAAGCATTCTAAGAAACATCTTAGGGATGTTTACATTCAAGTCACAGAGTTGAACATTCCCTTTCACAGAGCAGGTTTGAAACAATCTTCTCGTACTATCTGGCAGTGGACATTTTGAGCTCCTTGGGGCCTATGCTGAAAAAGGAAATATCTTCCGACAAAAACTAGACAGAAGCATTCGCAGAATCACGTTTGTGATGTGTGCACTCAACTGTCAGAATTGAACCTTGGTTTGGACAGAGCACTTTTGAAACACTCTTTTTGTAGAATCTGCAGGTGGATATTTGGCTAGCTTTGAGGATTTCGTTGGAAACGGTAATGTCTTCAAAGAAAATCTAGACAGAAGCATTCTCAGAAACACCTTCGTGATGTTTGCAATCAAGTCACAGAGTTGAACCTTCCGTTTCATAGAGCAGGTTGGAAACACTCTTTTTGTAGTATCTGGAAGTGGACATTTGGAGGGCTTTGTAGCCTATCTGGAAAAAGGAAATATCTTCCCATGAATGCGAGATAGAAGTAATCTCAGAAACATGTTTATGCTGTATCTACTCAACTAACTGTGCTGAACATTTCTATTGATAGAGCAGTTTTGAGACACTCTTCTTTTGGAATCTGCAAGTGGATATTTGGATAGATTTGAGGATTTCGTTGGAAACGGGATTATATATAAAAAGTAGACAGCAGCATTCTCAGAAACTTCTTTGTGATGTTTGCATCCAGCTCTCAGAGTTGAACATTCCCTTTCATAGAGTAGGTTTGAAACCCTCTTTTTATAGTGTCTGGAAGCGGGCATTTGGAGCGCTTTCAGGCCTATGCTTAAAATAGGAAATATCTACCTACAGAAACTAGACAGAAGCATTCTGAGAATCACGTTTGTGATGTGGGTACTCAACTAACAGTGTTGATCCATTCTTTTGATACAGCAGTTTTGAACCACACTTTTTGTAGAATCTGCAAGAGGATATTTGGATAGCTGTGAGGATTTCGTTGGAAACGGGAATGTCTTCAAAGAAAATCTAGACAGAAGCATTCTCAGAAACACCTTCGTGATGTTTGCAATCAAGTCACAGAGTTGAACCTTCCGTTTCATAGAGCAGGTTGGAAACACTCTTATTGTAGTATCTGGAAGTGGACATTTGGAGCGCTTTCAGGCCTATGGTGAAAAAGGAAATATCTTCCCATAAAAACGACATAGAAGCTATCTCAGGAACTTGTTTATGATGCATCTAATCAACTAACAGTGTTGAACCTTTGTACTGACAGAGCAGTTTGAAACACTCTTTTTTTGGAATCTGCAAGTGGATATTTGGATCGCTTTGAGGATTTCGTTGGAAACGGGATGCAATATAAAACGTACACAGCAGCATACTCAGAAAATACTTTGCCATATTTCCATTCAAGTCACAGAGTGGAACATTCCCATTCATAGAGCAGGTTGGAAACACTCTTTTTGGAGTATCTGGAAGTGGACATTTGGAGCGCTTTCTGAACTATGGTGAAAAAGGAAATATCTTCCAATGAAAACAAGACAGAAGCATTCTGAGAAACTTATTTGTGATGTGTGTCCTCAACAAACGGACTTGAACCTTTCGTTTCATGCAGTACTTCTGGAACACTCTTTTTGAAGATTCTGCATGCGGATATTTGGATAGCTTTGAGGATTTCGTTGGAAACGGGCTTACATGTAAAAATTAGACAGCAGCATTCTCAGAAACTTCTTTGTGGTGTCTGCATTCAAGTCACAGAATTGAACATCCCCTCACATAGAGCAGTTGTGCAGCACTCTATTTGTAGTATCTGGAAGTGGACATTTGGAGGGCTTTGTAGCCTATGTGGAAAAAGGAAATATCTTCCCATGAATGCGAGATAGAGTAATCTCAGAAACATGTTTATGCTGTATCTACTCAACTAACTGTGCTGAACATTTCTATTGATAGAGCAGTTTTGAGACACTCTTCTTTTGGAATCTGCAAGTGGATATTTGGATAGATTTGAGGATTTCGTTGGAAACGGGATTATATATCAAAAGTAGACAGCAGCATTCTCAGAAACTTCTTTGTGATGTTTGCATCCAGCTCTCAGAGTTGAACATTCCCTTTCATAGAGTAGGTTTGAAACCCTCTTTTTATAGTGTCTGGAAGCGGGCATTTGGAGCGCTTTCAGGCCTATGCTGAAAAAGGAAATATCTACCTATAGAAACTAGACAGAAGCATTCTGAGAATCACGTTTGTGATGTGGGTACTCAACTAACAGTGTTGATCCATTCTTTTGATACAGCAGTTTTGAACCACACTTTTTGTAGAATCTGCAAGTGGATATTTGGATAGCTGTGAGGATTTCGTTGGAAACGGGAATGTCTTCATAGAAAATTTAGACAGAAGCATTCTCAGAACCTTGATTGTGATGTGTGTTCTCCACTAACAGAGTTGAACCTTTCTTTTGACAGAACTGTTCTGAAACATTCTTTTTATAGAATCTGGAAGTGCATATTTGGAAAGCTTTGAGGACTTCGTTTGAAACGGGAATATCTTCAAATCAAATCTAGCCAGAAGCATTCTAAGAAACATCTTAGGGATGTTTACATTCAAGTCACAGAGTTGAACATTCCCTTTCACAGAGCAGGTTTGAAACAATCTTCTCGTAGTATCTGGAAGTGGACATTTTGAGCTCCTTGGGGCCTATGCTGAAAAAGGAAATATCTTCCGACAAAAACTAGACAGAAGCATTCGCAGAATCACGTTTGTGATGTGTGCACTCAACTGTCAGAATTGAACCTTGGTTTGGACAGAGCACTTTTGAAACACTCTTTTTGTAGAATCTGCAGGTGGATATTTGGCTAGCTTTGAGGATTTCGTTGGAAACGGTAATGTCTTCAAAGAAAATCTAGACAGAAACATTCTCAGAAACACCTTCGTGATGTTTGCAATCAAGTCACAGAGTTGAACCTTCCGTTTCATAGAGCAGGTTGGAAACACTCTTTTTGTAGTATCTGGAAGTGGACATTTGGAGCGCTTTCAGGCCTATGGTGAAAAAGGAAATATCTTCCCATAAAAACGACATAGAAGCTATCTCAGGAACTTGTTTATGATGCATCCAATCAATTAACAGTGTTGAACTTTTGTACTGACAGAGCAGTGTGAAACACTCTTTTTTTTCGAATCTGCAAGTGGATATTTGGATCGCTTTGAGGATTTCGTTGGAAACGGGATGCAATATAAATCGTACACAGCAGCATACTCAGAAAATACTTTGCCATATTTCCATTCAAGTCACAGAGTGGAACATTCCCATTCATAGAGCAGGTTGGAAACACTCTTTTTGGAGTATCTGGAAGTGGACATTTGGAGCGCTTTCTGAACTATGGTGAAAAAGGAAATATCTTCCAATGAAAACAAGACAGAAGCATTCTGAAAAACTTATTTGTGATGTGTGTCCTCAACAAACGGACTTGAACCTTTCGTTTCATGCAGTACTTCTGGAACACTCTTTTTGAAGATTCTGCATGCGGATATTTGGATAGCTTTGAGGATTTCGTTGGAAACGGGCTTACATGTAAAAATTAGACAGCAGCATTCTCAGAAACTTCTTTGTGGTGTCTGCATTCAAGTCACAGAATTGAACTTCCCCTCACATAGAGCAGTTGTGCAGCACTCTATTTGTAGTATCTGGAAGTGGACATTTGGAGGGCTTTGTAGCCTATCTGGAAAAAGGAAATATCTTCCCATGAATGCGAGATAGAAGTAATCTCAGAAACATGTTTATGCTGTATCTACTCAACTAACTGTGCTGAACATTTCTATTGATAGAGCAGTTTTGAGACACTCTTCTTTTGGAATCTGCAAGTGGATATTTGGATAGATTTGAGGATTTCGTTGGAAACGGGATTATATATAAAAAGTAGACAGCAGCATTCTCAGAAACTTCTTTGTGATGTTTGCATCCAGCTCTCAGAGTTGAACATTCCCTTTCATAGAGTAGGTTTGAAACCCTCTTTTTATAGTGTCTGGAAGCGGGCATTTGGAGCGCTTTCAGGCCTATGCTGAAAAAGGAAATATCTACCTATAGAAACTAGACAGAAGCATTCTGAGAATCACGTTTGTGATGTGGGTACTCAACTAACAGTGTTGATCCATTCTTTTGATACAGCAGTTTTGAACCACACTTTTTGTAGAATCTGCAAGTGGATATTTGGATAGCTGTGAGGATTTCGTTGGAAACTTGAATGTCTTCATAGAAAATTTAGACAGAAGCATTCTCAGAACCTTGATTGTGATGTGTGTTCTCCACTAACAGAGTTGAACCTTTCTTTTGACAGAACTGTTCTGAAACATTCTTTTTATAGAATCTGGAAGTGGATATTTGGAAAGCTTTGAGGATTTCGTTGGAAACGGGAATATCTTCAAATAAAATCTAGCCAGAAGCATTCTAAGAAACATCTTAGGGATGTTTACATTCAAGTCACAGAGTTGAACATTCCCTTTCACAGAGCAGGTTTGAAACAATCTTCTCGTACTATCTGGCAGTGGACATTTTGAGCTCTTTGGGGCCTATGCTGAAAAAGGAAATATCTTCCGACAAAAACTAGACAGAAGCATTCGCAGAATCACGTTTGTGATGTGTGCACTCAACTGTCAGAATTGAACCTTGGTTTGGAGAGAGCACTTTTGAAACACTCTTTTTGTAGAATCTGCAGGTGGATATTTGGCTAGCTTTGAGGATTTCGTTGGAAACGGTAATGTCTTCAAAGAAAATCTAGACAGAAGCATTCTCAGAAACACCTTCGTGATGTTTGCAATCAAGTCACAGAGTTGAACCTTCCGTTTCATAGAGCAGGTTGGAAACACACTTTTTGTAGTATCTGGAAGTGGACATTTGGAGGGCTTTGTAGCCTATCTGGAAAAAGGAAATATCTTCCCATGAATGCGAGATAGAAGTAATCTCAGAAACATGTTTATGCTGTATCTACTCAACTAACTGTGCTGAACATTTCTATTGATAGAGCAGTTTTGAGACACTCTTCTTTTGGAATCTGCAAGTGGATATTTGGATAGATTTGAGGATTTCGTTGGAAACGGTATTATATATAAAAAGTAGACAGCAGCATTCTCAGAAACTTCTTTGTGATGTTTGCATCCAGCTCCCAGAGTTGAACATTCCCTTTCATAGAGTAGGTTTGAAACCCTCTTTTTATAGTGTCTGGAAGCGGGCATTTGGAGCGCTTTCAGGCCTATGCTGAAAAAGGAAATATCTACCTATAGAAACTAGACAGAAGCATTCTGAGAATCACGTTTGTGATGTGGGTACTCAACTAACAGTGTTGATCCATTCTTTTGATACAGCAGTTTTGAACCACACTTTTTGTAGAATCTGCAAGTGGATATTTGGATAGCTGTGAGGATTTCGTTGGAAACGGGAATGTCTTCATAGAAAATTTAGACAGAAGCATTCTCAGAACCTTGATTGTGATGTGTGTTCTCCACTTACAGAGTTGAACCTTTGTTTTGACAGAACTGTTCTGAAACATTCTTTTTATAGAATCTGGAAGTGGATATTTGGAAAGCTTTGAGGATTTCGTTGGAAACGGGAATATCTTCAAATCAAATCTAGCCAGAAGCATTCTAAGAAACATCTTAGGGATGTTTACATTCAAGTCACAGAGTTGAACATTCCCTTTCACAGAGCAGGTTTGAAACAATCTTCTCGTACTATCTGGAAGTGGACATTTTGAGCTCCTTGGGGCCTATGCTGAAAAAGGAAATATCTTCCGACAAAAACTAGACAGAAGCATTCGCAGAATCATGTTTGTGATGTGTGCACTCAAATGTCAGAATTGAACCTTTGTTTGGACAGAGCACTTTTGAAACACTCTTTTTGTAGAATCTGCAGGTGGATATTTGGCTAGCTTTGAGGATTTCGTTGGAAACGGTAATGTCTTCAAAGAAAATCTAGACAGAAGCATTCTCAGAAACACCTTCGTGATGTTTGCAATCAAGTCACAGAGTTGAACCTTCCGTTTCATAGAGCAGGTTGGAAACACTCTTTTTGTAGTATCTGGAAGTGGACATTTGGAGCGCTTTCAGGCCTATGGTGAAAAAGGAAATATCTTCCCATAAAAACGACATAGAAGCTATCTCAGGAACTTGTTTATGATGCATCCAATCAACTAACAGTGTTGAACCTTTGTACTGACAGAGCAGTGTGAAACACTCTTTTTTTTGGAATCTGCAAGTGGATATTTGGATCGCTTTGAGGATTTCGTTGGAAACGGGATGCAATATAAAACGTACACAGCAGCATACTCAGAAAATACTTTGCCATATTTCCATTCAAGTCACAGAGTGGAACATTCCCATTCATAGAGCAGGTTTGACACACTCTTTTTGTAGTATCTGGAAGTGGACATTTGGAGCGCTTTCTGAACTATGGTGAAAAAGGAAATATCTTCCAATGAAAACAAGACAGAAGCATTCTGAGAAACTTATTTGTGATGTGTGTCCTCAACTAACGGACTTGAACCTTTCGTTTCATGCAGTACTTCTGGAACACTCTTTTTGAAGATTCTGCATGCGGATATTTGGATAGCTTTGAGGATTTCATTGGAAACGGGCTTACATATAAAAATTAGACAGCAGCATTCTCAGAAACTTCTCTGTGGTGTCTGCATCCAAGTCACAGAATTGAACATCCCCTCACATAGAGCAGTTGTGCAGCACTCTATTTGTAGTATCTCGAAGTGGACATTTGGAGGGCTTTGTAGCCTATCTGGAAAAAGGAAATATCTTCCCATGAATGCGAGATAGAAGTAATCTCAGAAACATGTTTATGCTGTATCTACTCAACTAACTGTGCTGAACATTTCTATTGATAGAGCAGTTTTGAGACACTCTTCTTTTGGAATCTGCAAGTGGATATTTGGATAGATTTGAGGATTTCGTTGGCAACGGGATTATATATAAAAAGTAGACAGCCGCATTCTCAGAAACTTCTTTGTGATGTTTGCATCCAGCTCTCAGAGTTGAACATTCCCTTTCATAGAGTAGGTTTGAAACCCTCTTTTTATAGTGTGTGGAAGCGGGCATTTGGAGCGCTTTCAGGCCTATGCTGAAAAAGGAAATATCTACCTATAGAAACTAGACAGAAGCATTCTGAGAATCACCGTTTGTGATGTGGGTACTCAACTAACAGTGTTGATCCATTCTTTTGATACAGCAGTTTTGAACCACACTTTTTGTAGAATCTGCAAGTGGATATTTGGATAGCTGTGAGGATTTCGTTGGAAACGGGAATGTCTTCATAGAAAATTTAGACAGAAGCATTCTCAGAACCTTGATTGTGATGTGTGTTCTCCACTAACAGCAGTTGAACCTTTCTTTTGACAGAACTGTTCTGAAACATTCTTTTTATAGAATCTGGAAGTGGATATTTGGAAAGCTTTGAGGATTTCGTTGGAAACGGGAATATCTTCAAATCAAATCTAGCCAGAAGCATTCTAAGAAACATCTTAGGGATGTTTACATTCAAGTCACAGAGTTGAACATTCCCTTTCACAGAGCAGGTTTGAAACAATCTTCTCGTACTATCTGGCAGTGGACATTTTGAGCTCTTTGGGGCCTATGCTGAAAAAGGAAATATCTTCCGACAAAAACTAGACAGAAGCATTCGCAGAATCACGTTTGTGATGTGTGCACTCAACTGTCAGAATTGAACCTTGGTTTGGAGAGAGCACTTTTGAAACACTCTTTTTGTAGAATCTGCAGGTGGATATTTGGCTAGCTTTGAGGATTTCGTTGGAAACGGTAATGTCTTCAAAGAAAATCTAGACAGAAGCATTCTCAGAAACACCTTCGTGATGTTTGCAATCAAGTCACAGAGTTGAACCTTCCGTTTCATAGAGCAGGTTGGAAACACTCTTTTTGTAGTATCTGGAAGTGGACATTTGGAGGGCTTTGTAGCCTATCTGGAAAAAGGAAATATCTTCCCATGAATGCGAGATAGAAGTAATCTCAGAAACATGTTTATGCTGTATCTACTCAACTAACTGTGCTGAACATTTCTATTGATAGAGCAGTTTTGAGACACTCTTCTTTTGGAATCTGCAAGTGGATATTTGTATAGATTTGAGGATTTCGTTGGAAACGGGATTATATATAAAAAGTAGACAGCAGCATTCTCAGAAACTTCTTTGTGATGTTTGCATCCAGCTCTCAGAGTTGAACATTCCCTTTCATAGAGTAGGTTTGAAACCCTCTTTTTATAGTGTCTGGAAGCGGGCATTTGGAGCGCTTTCAGGCCTATGCTTAAAATAGGAAATATCTACCTACAGAAACTAGACAGAAGCATTCTGAGAATCACGTTTGTGATGTGGGTACTCAACTAACAGTGTTGATCCATTCTTTTGATACAGCAGTTTTGAACCACACTTTTTGTAGAATCTGCAAGAGGATATTTGGATAGCTGTGAGGATTTCGTTGGAAACGGGAATGTCTTCAAAGAAAATCTAGACAGAAGCATTCTCAGAAACACCTTCGTGATGTTTGCAATCAAGTCACAGAGTTGAACCTTCCGTTTCATAGAGCAGGTTGGAAACACTCTTATTGTAGTATCTGGAAGTGGACATTTGGAGCGCTTTCAGGCCTATGGTGAAAAAGGAAATATCTTCCCATCAAAACGACATAGAAGCTATCTCAGGAACTTGTTTATGATGCATCTAATCAACTAACAGTGTTGAACCTTTGTACTGACAGAGCACTTTGAAACACTCTTTTTTTGGAATCTGCAAGTGGATATTTGGATCGCTTTGAGGATTTCGTTGGAAACGGGATGCAATATAAAACGTACACAGCAGCATACTCAGAAAATACTTTGCCATATTTCCATTCAAGTCACAGAGTGGAACATTCCCATTCATAGAGCAGGTTGGAAACACTCTTTTTGGAGTATCTGGAAGTGGACATTTGGAGCGCTTTCTGAACTATGGTGAAAAAGGAAATATCTTCCAATGAAAACAAGACAGAAGCATTCTGAGAAACTTATTTGTGATGTGTGTCCTCAACAAACGGACTTGAATCTTTCGTTTCATGCAGTACTTCTGGAACACTCTTTTTGAAGATTCTGCATGCGGATATTTGGATAGCTTTGAGGATTTCGTTGGAAACGGGCTTACATGTAAAAATTAGACAGCAGCATTCTCAGAAACTTCTTTGTGGTGTCTGCATTCAAGTCACAGAATTGAACTTCCCCTCACATAGAGCAGTTGTGCAGCACTCTATTTGTAGTATCTGGAAGTGGACATTTGGAGGGCTTTGTAGCCTATCTGGAAAAAGGAAATATCTTCCCATGAATGCGAGATAGAAGTAATCTCAGAAACATGTTTATGCTGTATCTACTCAACTAACTGTGCTGAACATTTCTATTGATAGAGCAGTTTTCAGACACTCTTCTTTTGGAATCTGCAAGTGGATATTTGGATAGATTTGAGGATTTCGTTGGAAACGGGATTATATATAAAAAGTAGACAGCAGCATTCTCAGAAACTTCTTTGTGATGTTTGCATCCAGCTCTCAGAGTTGAACATTCCCTTTCATAGAGTAGGTTTGAAACCCTCTTTTTATAGTGTCTGGAAGCGGGCATTTGGAGCGCTTTCAGGCCTATGCTTAAAATAGGAAATATCTACCTACAGAAACTAGACAGAAGCATTCTGAGAATCACGTTTGTGATGTGGGTACTCAACTAACAGTGTTGATCCATTCTTTTGATACAGCAGTTTTGAACCACACTTTTTGTAGAATCTGCAAGAGGATATTTGGATAGCTGTGAGGATTTCGTTGGAAACGGGAATGTCTTCAAAGAAAATCTAGACAGAAGCATTCTCAGAAACACCTTCGTGATGTTTGCAATCAAGTCACAGAGTTGAACCTTCCGTTTCATAGAGCAGGTTGGAAACACTCTTATTGTAGTATCTGGAAGTGGACATTTGGAGCGCTTTCAGGCCTATGGTGAAAAAGGAAATATCTTCCCATAAAAACGACATAGAAGCTATCTCAGGAACTTGTTTATGATGCATCTAATCAACTAACAGTGTTGAACCTTTCTACTGACAGAGCAGTTTGAAACACTCTTTTTTTGGAATCTGCAAGTGGATATTTGGATCGCTTTGAGGATTTCGTTGGAAACGGGATGCAATATAAAACGTACACAGCAGCATACTCAGAAAATACTTTGCCATATTTCCATTCAAGTCACAGAGTGGAACATTCCCATTCATAGAGCAGGTTGGAAACACTCTTTTTGGAGTATCTGGAAGTGGACATTTGGAGCGCTTTCTGAACTATGGTGAAAAAGGAAATATCTTCCAATGAAAACAAGACAGAAGCATTCTGAGAAACTTATTTGTGATGTGTGTCCTCAACAAACGGACTTGAACCTTTCGTTTCATGCAGTACTTCTGGAACACTCTTTTTGAAGATTCTGCATGCGGATATTTGGATAGCTTTGAGGATTTCGTTGGAAACGGTCTTACATGTAAAAATTAGACAGCAGCATTCTCAGAAACTTCTTTGTGGTGTCTGCATTCAAGTCACAGAATTTAACTTCCCCTCACATAGAGCAGTTGTGCAGCACTCTATTTGTAGTATCTGGAAGTGGACATTTGGAGGGCTTTGTAGCCTATCTGGAAAAAGGAAATATCTTCCCATGAATGCGAGATAGAAGTAATCTCAGAAACATGTTTATGCTGTATCTACTCAACTAACTGTGCTGAACATTTCTATTGATAGAGCAGTTTTGAGACACTCTTCTTTTGGAATCTGCAAGTGGATATTTGGATAGATTTGAGGATTTCGTTGGAAACGGGATTATATATAAAAAGTAGACAGCAGCATTCTCAGAAACTTCTTTGTGATGTTTGCATCCAGCTCTCAGAGTTGAACATTCCCTTTCATAGAGTAGGTTTGAAACCCTCTTTTTATAGTGTCTGGAAGCGGGCATTTGGAGCGCTTTCAGGCCTATGCTTAAAATAGGAAATATCTACCTACAGAAACTAGACAGAAGCATTCTGAGAATCACGTTTGTGATGTGGGTACTCAACTAACAGTGTTGATCCATTCTTTTGATACAGCAGTTTTGAACCACACTTTTTGTAGAATCTGCAAGAGGATATTTGGATAGCTGTGAGGATTTCGTTGGAAACGGGAATGTCTTCAAAGAAAATCTAGACAGAAGCATTCTCAGAAACACCTTCGTGATGTTTGCAATCAAGTCACAGAGTTGAACCTTCCGTTTCATAGAGCAGGTTGGAAACACTCTTATTGTAGTATCTGGAAGTGGACATTTGGAGCGCTTTCAGGCCTATGGTGAAAAAGGAAATATCTTCCCATAAAAACGACATAGAAGCTATCTCAGGAACTTGTTTATGATGCATCTAATCAACTAACAGTGTTGAACCTTTGTACTGACAGAGCAGTTTGAAACACTCTTTTTTTGGAATCTGCAAGTGGATATTTGGATCGCTTTGAGGATTTCGTTGGAAACGGGATGCAATATAAAACGTACACAGCAGCATACTCAGAAAATACTTTGCCATATTTCCATTCAAGTCACAGAGTGGAACATTCCCATTCATAGAGCAGGTTGGAAACACTCTTTTTGGAGTATCTGGAAGTGGACATTTGGAGCGCTTTCTGAACTATGGTGAAAAAGGAAATATCTTCCAATGAAAACAAGACAGAAGCATTCTGAGAAACTTATTTGTGATGTGTGTCCTCAACAAACGGACTTGAACCTTTCGTTTCATGCAGTACTTCTGGAACACTCTTTTTGAAGATTCTGCATGCGGATATTTGGATAGCTTTGAGGATTTCGTTGGAAACGGGCTTACATGTAAAAATTAGACAGCAGCATTCTCAGAAACTACTTTGTGGTGTCTGCATTCAAGTCACAGAATTGAACTTCCCCTCACATAGAGCAGTTGTGCAGCACTCTATTTGTAGTATCTCGAAGTGGACATTTGGAGGGCTTTGTAGCCTATCTGGAAAAAGGAAATATCTTCCCATGAATGCGAGATAGAAGTAATCTCAGAAACATGTTTATGCTGTATCTACTCAACTAACTGTGCTGAACATTTCTATTGATAGAGCAGTTTTGAGACACTCTTCTTTTGGAATCTGCAAGTGGATATTTGGATAGATTTGAGGATTTCGTTGGAAACGGGATTATATATAAAAAGTAGACAGCAGCATTCTCAGAAACTTCTTTGTGATGTTTGCATCCAGCTCTCAGAGTTGAACATTCCCTTTCATAGAGTAGGTTTGAAACCCTCTTTTTATAGTGTCCGGAAGCGGGCATTTGGAGCGCTTTCAGGCCTATGCTGAAAAAGGAAATATCTACATATAGAAACTAGACAGAAGCATTCTGAGAATCAAGTTTGTGATGTGGGTACTCAACTAACAGTGTTGATCCATTCTTTTGATACAGCAGTTTTGAACCACACTTTTTGTAGAATCTGCAAGTGGATATTTGGATAGCTGTGAGGATTTCGTTGGAAACGGGAATGTCTTCATAGAAAATTTAGACAGAAGCATTCTCAGAACCTTGATTGTGATGTGTGTTCTCCACTAACAGAGTTGAACCTTTCTTTTGACAGAACTGTTCTGAAACATTCTTTTTATAGAATCTGGAAGTGGATATTTGGAAAGCTTTGAGGATTTCGTTGGAAACGGGAATATCTTCAAATAAAATCTAGCCAGAAGCATTCTAAGAAACATCTTAGGGATGTTTACATTCAAGTCACAGAGTTGAACATTCCCTTTCACAGAGCAGGTTTGAAACAATCTTCTCGTACTATCTGGCAGTGGACATTTTGAGCTCCTTGGGGCCTATGCTGAAAAAGGAAATATCTTCCGACAAAACTAGACAGAAGCATTCGCAGAATCACGTTTGTGATGTGTGCACTCAACTGTCAGAATTGAACCTTGGTTTGGACAGAGCACTTTTGAAACACTCTTTTTGTAGAATCTGCAGGTGGATATTTGGCTAGCTTTGAGGATTTCGTTGGAAACGGTAATGTCTTCAAAGAAAATCTAGACAGAAACATTCTCAGAAACACCTTCGTGATGTTTGCAATCAAGTCACAGAGTTGAACCTTCCGTTTCATAGAGCAGGTTGGAAACACTCTTTTTGTAGTATCTGGAAGTGGACATTTGGAGCGCTTTCAGGCCTATGGTGAAAAAGGAAATATCTTCCCATAAAAACGACATAGAAGCTATCTCAGGAACTTGTTTATGATGCATCTAATCAACTAACAGTGTTGAACCTTTGTACTGACAGAGCAGTTTGAAACACTCTTTTTTTGGAATCTGCAAGTGGATATTTGGATCACTTTGAGGATTTCGTTGGAAACGGGATGCAATATAAAACGTACACAGCAGCATTCTCAGAAACTTCTTTGTGATGTTTGCATCCAGCTCTCAGAGTTGAGCATTCCCTTTCATAGAGTAGGTTTGAAACCCTCTTTTTATAGTGTCTGGAAGCGGGCATTTGGAGCGCTTTCAGGCCTATTCTTAAAATAGGAAATATCTACCTACAGAAACTAGACAGAAGCATTCTGAGAATCACGTTTGTGATGTGGGTACTCAACTAACAGTGTTGATCCATTCTTTTGATACAGCAGTTTTGAACCACACTTTTTGTAGAATCTGCAAGAGGATATTTGGATAGCTGTGAGGATTTCGTTGGAAACGGGAATGTCCTCAAAGAAAATCTAGACAGAAGCATTCTCAGAAACACCTTCGTGATGTTTGCAATCAAGTCACAGAGTTGAACCTTCCGTTTCATAGAGCAGGTTGGAAACACTCTTATTGTAGTATCTGGAAGTGGACATTTGGAGCGCTTTCAGGCCTATGGTGAAAAAGGAAATATCTTCCCATAAAAACGACATAGAAGCTATCTCAGGAACTTGTTTATGATGCATCTAATCAACTAACAGTGTTGAACCTTTGTACTGACAGAGCAGCTTGAAACACTCTTTTTTGGAATCTGCAAGTGGATATTTGGATCGCTTTGAGGATTTCGTTGGAAACGGGATGCAATATAAAACGTACACAGCAGCATACTCAGAAAATACTTTGCCATATTTCCATTCAAGTCACAGAGTGGAACATTCCCATTCATAGAGCAGGTTGGAAACACTCTTTTTGGAGTATCTGGAAGTGGACATTTGGAGCGCTTTCTGAACTATGGTGGAAAAGGAAATATCTTCCAATGAAAACAAGACAGAAGCATTCTGAGAAACTTATTTGTGATGTGTGTCCTCAACAAACGGACTTGAACCTTTCGTTTCATGCAGTACTTCTGGAACACTCTTTTTGAAGATTCTGCATGCGGATATTTGGATAGCTTTGAGGATTTCGTTGGAAACGGGCTTACATGTAAAAATTAGACAGCAGCATTCTCAGAAACTTCTTTGTGGTGTCTGCATTCAAGTCACAGAATTGAACTTCCCCTCACATAGAGCAGTTGTGCAGCACTCTATTTGTAGTATCTGGAAGTGGACATTTGGAGGGCTTTGTAGCCTATCTGGAAAAAGGAAATATCTTCCCATGAATGCGAGATAGAAGTAATCTCAGAAACATGTTTATGCTGTATCTACTCAACTAACTGTGCTGAACATTTCTATTGATAGAGCAGTTTTGAGACACTCTTCTTTTGGAATCTGCAAGTGGATATTTGGATAGATTTGAGGATTTCGTTGGAAACGGGATTATATATAAAAAGTAGACAGCAGCATTCTCAGAAACTTCTTTGTGATGTTTGCATCCAGCTCTCAGAGTTGAACATTCCCTTTCATAGAGTAGGTTTGAAACCCTCTTTTTATAGTGTCTGGAAGCGGGCATTTGGAGCGCTTTCAGGCCTATGCTGAAAAAGGAAATATCTACCTATAGAAACTAGACAGAAGCATTCTGAGAATCACGTTTGTGATGTGGGTACTCAACTAACAGTGTTGATCCATTCTTTTGATACAGCAGTTTTGAACCACACTTTTTGTAGAATCTGCAAGTGGATATTTGGATAGCTGTGAGGATTTCGTTGGAAACGGGAATGTCTTCATAGAAAATTTAGACAGAAGCATTCTCAGAACCTTGATTGTGATGTGTGTTCTCCACTAACAGAGTTGAACCTTTCTTTTGACAGAACTGTTCTGAAACATTCTTTTTATAGAATCTGGAAGTGGATATTTGGAAAGCTTTGAGGATTTCGTTGGAAACGGGAATATCTTCAAATAAAATCTAGCCAGAAGCATTCTAAGAAACATCTTAGGGATGTTTACATTCAAGTCACAGAGTTGAACATTCCCTTTCACAGAGCAGGTTTGAAACAATCTTCTCGTACTATCTGGCAGTGGACATTTTGAGCTCCTTGGGGCCTATGCTGAAAAAGGAAATATCTTCCGACAAAAACTAGACAGAAGCATTCGCAGAATCACGTTTGTGATGTGTGCACTCAACTGTCAGAATTGAACCTTGGTTTGGACAGAGCACTTTTGAAACACTCTTTTTGTAGAATCTGCAGGTGGATATTTGGCTAGCTTTGAGGATTTCGTTGGAAACGGTAATGTCTTCAAAGAAAATCTAGACAGAAGCATTCTCAGAAACACCTTCGTGATGTTTGCAATCAAGTCACAGAGTTGAACCTTCCGTTTCATAGAGCAGGTTGGAAACACTCTTTTTGTAGTATCTGGAAGTGGACATTTGGAGGGCTTTGTAGCCTATGTGGAAAAAGGAAATATCTTCCCATGAATGCGAGATAGAAGTAATCTCAGAAACATGTTTATGCTGTATCTACTCAACTAACTGTGCTGAACATTTCTATTGATAGAGCAGTTTTGAGACACTCTTCTTTTGGAATCTGCAAGTGGATATTTGGAGAGATTTGAGGATTTCGTTGGAAACGGGATTATATATAAAAAGTAGACAGCAGCATTCTCAGAAACTTCTTTGTGATGTTTGCATCCAGCTCTCAGAGTTGAACATTCCCTTTCATAGAGTAGGTTTGAAACCCTCTTTTTATAGTGTCTGGAAGCGGGCATTTGGAGCGCTTTCAGGCCTATGCTTAAAATAGGAAATATCTACCTACAGAAACTAGACAGAAGCATTCTGAGAATCTCGTTTGTGATGTGGGTACTCAACTAACAGTGTTGATCCATTCTTTTGATACAGCAGTTTTGAACCACACTTTTTGTAGAATCTGCAAGAGGATATTTGGATAGCTGTGAGGATTTCGTTGGAAACGGGAATGTCTTCAAAGAAAATCTAGACAGAAACATTCTCAGAAACACCTTCGTGATGTTTGCAATCAAGTCACAGAGTTGAACCTTCCGTTTCATAGAGCAGGTTGGAAACACTCTTATTGTAGTATCTGGAAGTGGACATTTGGAGCGCTTTCAGGCCTATGGTGAAAAAGGAAATATCTTCCCATAAAAACGACATAGAAGCTATCTCAGGAACTTGTTTATGAGGCATCTAATCAACTAACAGTGTTGAACCTTTGTACTGACAGAGCAGTTTGAAACACTCTTTTTTTGGAATCTGCAAGTGGATATTTGGATCGCTTTGAGGATTTCGTTGGAAACGGGATGCAATATAAAACGTACACAGCAGCATACTCAGAAAATTCTTTGCCATATTTCCATTCAAGTCACAGAGTGGAACATTCCCATTCATAGAGCAGGTTGGAAACACTCTTTTTGGAGTATCTGGAAGTGGACATTTGGAGCGCTTTCTGAACTATGGTGAAAAAGGAAATATCTTCCAATGAAAACAAGACAGAAGCATTCTGAGAAACTTATTTGTGATGTGTGTCCTCAACAAACGGACTTGAACCTTTCGTTTCATGCAGTACTTCTGGAACACTCTTTTTGAAGATTCTGCATGCGGATATTTGGATAGCTTTGAGGATTTCGTTGGAAACGGGCTTACATGTAAAAATTAGACAGCAGCATTCTCAGAAACTTCTTTGTGGTGTCTGCATTCAAGTCACAGAATTGAACTTCCCCTCACATAGAGCAGTTGTGCAGCACTCTATTTGTAGTATCTGGAAGTGGACATTTGGAGGGCTTTGTAGCCTATCTGGAAAAAGGAAATATCTTCCCATGAATGCGAGATAGAAGTAATCTCAGAAACATGTTTATGCTGTATCTACTCAACTAACTGTGCTGAACATTTCTATTGATAGAGCAGTTTTGAGACACTCTTCTTTTGGAATCTGCAAGTGGATATTTGGATAGATTTGAGGATTTCGTTGGAAACGGGATTATATATAAAAAGTAGACAGCAGCATTCTCAGAAACTTCTTTGTGATGTTTGCATCCAGCTCTCAGAGTTGAACATTCCCTTTCATAGAGTAGGTTTGAAACCCTCTTTTTATAGTGTCTGGAAGCGGGCATTTGGAGCGCTTTCAGGCCTATGCTTAAAATAGGAAATATCTACCTACAGAAACTAGACAGAAGCATTCTGAGAATCACGTTTGTGATGTGGGTACTCAACTAACAGTGTTGATCCATTCTTTTGATACAGCAGTTTTGAACCACACTTTTTGTAGAATCTGCAAGAGGATATTTGGATAGCTGTGAGGATTTCGTTGGAAACGGGAATGTCTTCAAAGAAAATCTAGACAGAAGCATTCTCAGAAACACCTTCGTGATGTTTGCAATCAAGTCACAGAGTTGAACCTTCCGTTTCATAGAGCAGGTTGGAAACACTCTTATTGTAGTATCTGGAAGTGGACATTTGGAGCGCTTTCAGGCCTATGGTGAAAAAGGAAATATCTTCCCATAAAAACGACATAGAAGCTATCTCAGGAACTTGTTTATGATGCATCTAATCAACTAACAGTGTTGAACCTTTGTACTGACAGAGCAGTTTGAAACACTCTTTTTTTGGAATCTGCAAGTGGATATTTGGATCGCTTTGAGGATTTCGTTGGAAACGGGATGCAATATAAAACGTACACAGCAGCATACTCAGAAAATACTTTGCCATATTTCCATTCAAGTCACAGAGTGGAACATTCCCATTCATAGAGCAGGTTTGAAACACTCTTTTTGGAGTATCTGGAAGTGGACATTTGGAGCACTTTCTGAACTATGGTGAAAAAGGAAATATCTTCCAATGAAAACAAGACAGAAGCATTCTGAGAAACTTATTTGTGATGTGTGTCCTCAACAAACGGACTTGAACCTTTCGTTTCATGCAGTACTTCTGGAACACTCTTTTTGAAGATTCTGCATGCGGATATTTGCATAGCTTTGAGGATTTCGTTGGAAACGGGCTTACATATAAAAATTAGACAGCAGCATTCTCAGAAACTTCTTTGTGGTGTCTGCATTCAAGTCACAGAATTGAACTTCCCCTCACATAGAGCAGTTGTGCAGCACTCTATTTGTAGTATCTGGAAGTGGACATTTGGAGGGCTTTGTAGCCTATCTGGAAAAAGGAAATATCTTCCCATGAATGCGAGATAGAAGTAATCTCAGAAACATGTTTATGCTGTATCTACTCAACTAACTGTGCTGAACATTTCTATTGATAGAGCAGTTTTGAGACACTCTTCTTTTGGAATCTGCAAGTGGATATTTGGATAGATTTGAGGATTTCGTTGGAAACGGGATTATATATAAAAAGTAGACAGCAGCATTCTCAGAAACTTCTTTGTGATGTTTGCATCCAGCTCTCAGAGTTGAACATTCCCTTTCATAGAGTAGGTTTGAAACCCTCTTTTTATAGTGTCTGCAAGCGGGCATTTGGAGCGCTTTCAGGCCTATGCTTAAAATAGGAAATATCTACCTACAGAAACTAGACAGAAGCATTCTGAGAATCACGTTTGTGATGTGGGTACTCAACTAACAGTGTTGATCCTTTCTTTTGATACAGCAGTTTTGAACCACACTTTTTGTAGAATCTGCAAGAGGATATTTGGATAGCTGTGAGGATTTCGTTGGAAACGGGAATGTCTTCAAAGAAAATCTAGACAGAAGCATTCTCAGAAACACCTTCGTGATGTTTGCAATCAAGTCACAGAGTTGAACCTTCCGTTTCATAGAGCAGGTTGGAAACACTCTTATTGTAGTATCTGGAAGTGGACATTTGGAGCGCTTTCAGGCCTATGGTGAAAAAGGAAATATCTTCCCATAAAAACGACATAGAAGCTATCTCAGGAACTTGTTTATGATGCATCTAATCAACTAACAGTGTTGAACCTTTGTACTGACAGAGCACTTTGAAACACTCTTTTTTTGGAATCTGCAAGTGGATATTTGGATCGCTTTGAGGATTTCGTTGGAAACGGGATGCAATATAAAACGTACACAGCAGCATACTCAGAAAATACTTTGCCATATTTCCATTCAAGTCACAGAGTGGAACATTCCCATTCATAGAGCAGGTTGGAAACACTCTTTTTGGAGTATCTGGAAGTGGACATTTGGAGCGCTTTCTGAACTATGGTGAAAAAGGAAATATCTTCTAATGAAAACAAGACAGAAGCATTCTGAGAAACTTATTTGTGATGTGTGTCCTCAACAAACGGACTTGAACCTTTCGTTTCATGCAGTACTTCTGGAACACTCTTTTTGAAGATTCTGCATGCGGATATTTGGATAGCTTTGAGGATTTCGTTGGAAACGGGCTTACATGTAAAAATTAGACAGCAGCATTCTCAGAAACTTCTTTGTGGTGTCTGCATTCAAGTCACAGAATTGAACATCCCCTCACATAGAGCAGTTGTGCAGCACTCTATTTGTAGTATCTGGAAGTGGACATTTGGAGGGCTTTGTAGCCTATCTGGAAAAAGGAAATATCTTCCCATGAATGCGAGATAGAAGTAATCTCAGAAACATGTTTATGCTGTATCTACTCAACTAACTGTGCTGAACATTTCTATTGATAGAGCAGTTTTGAGACACTCTTCTTTTGGAATCTGCAAGTGGATATTTGGATAGATTTGAGGATTTCGTTGGAAACGGGATTATATATAAAAAGTAGACAGCAGCATTCTCAGAAACTTCTTTGTGATGTTTTCATCCAGCTCTCAGAGTTGAACATTCCCTTTCATAGAGTAGGTTTGAAACCCTCTTTTTATAGTGTCTGGAAGCGGGCATTTGGAGCGCTTTCAGGCCTATGCTGAAAAAGGAAATATCTACCTATAGAAACTAGACAGAAGCATTCTGAGAATCACGTTTGTGATGTGGGTACTCAACTAACAGTGTTGATCCATTCTTTTGATACAGCAGTTTTGAACCACACTTTTTGTAGAATCTGCAAGTGGATATTTGGATAGCTGTGAGGATTTCGTTGGAAACGGGAATGTCTTCATAGAAAATTTAGACAGAAGCATTCTCAGAACCTTGATTGTGATGTGTGTTCTCCACTAACAGAGTTGAACCTTTCTTTTGACAGAAATGTTCTGAAACATTCTTTTTATAGAATCTGGAAGTGGATATTTGGAAAGCTTTGAGGATTTCGTTGGAAACGGGAATATCTTCAAATAAAATCTAGCCAGAAGCATTCTAAGAAACATCTTAGGGATGTTTACATTCAAGTCACAGAGTTGAACATTCCCTTTCACAGAGCAGGTTTGAAACAATCTTCTCGTACTATCTGGCAGTGGACATTTTGAGCTCCTTGGGGCCTATGCTGAAAAAGGAAATATCTTCCGACAAAAACTAGACAGAAGCATTCGCAGAATCACGTTTGTGATGTGTGCACTCAACTGTCAGAATTGAACCTTGGATTGGACAGAGCACTTTTGAAACACTCTTTTTGTAGAATCTGCAGGTGGATATTTGGCTAGCTTTGAGGATTTCGTTGGAAACGTTAATGTCTTCAAAGAAAATCTAGACAGAAGCATTCTCAGAAACACCTTCGTGATGTTTGCAATCAAGTCACAGAGTTGAACCTTCCGTTTCATAGAGCAGGTTGGAAACACTCTTTTTGTAGTATCTGGAAGTGGACATTTGGAGCGCTTTCAGGCCTATGGTGAAAAAGGAAATATCTTCCCATAAAAACGACATAGAAGCTATCTCAGGAACTTGTTTATGATGCATCTAATCAACTAACAGTGTTGAACCTTTGTACTGACAGAGCAGTTTGAAACACTCTTTTTTTGGAATCTGCAAGTGGATATTTGGATCACTTTGAGGATTTCGTTGGAAACGGGAGGCAATATAAAACGTACACAGCAGCATACTCAGAAAATACTTTGCCATGTTTCCATTCAAGTCACAGAGTGGAACATTCCCATTCATAGAGCAGGTTGGAAACACTCTTTTTGGAGTATCTGGAAGTGGACATTTGGAGCGCTTTCTGAACTATGGTGAAAAAGGAAATATCTTCCAATGAAAACAAGACAGAAGCATTCTGAGAAACTTATTTGTGATGTGTGTCCTCAACAAACGGACTTGAACCTTTCGTTTCATGCAGTACTTCTGGAACACTCTTTTTGAAGATTCTGCATGCGGATATTTGGATAGCTTTGAGGATTTCGTTGGAAACGGGCTTACATGTAAAAATTAGACAGCAGCATTCTCAGAAACTACTTTGTGGTGTCTGCATTCAAGTCACAGAATTGAACTTCCCCTCACATAGAGCAGTTGTGCAGCACTCTATTTGTAGTATCTGGAAGTGGACATTTGGAGGGCTTTGTAGCCTATCTGGAAAAAGGAAATATCTTCCCATGAATGCGAGATAGAAGTAATCTCAGAAACATGTTTATGCTGTATCTACTCAACTAACTGTGCTGAACATTTCTATTGATAGAGCAGTTTTGAGACACTCTTCTTTTGGAATCTGCAAGTGGATATTTGGATAGATTTGAGGATTTCGTTGGAAACGGGATTATATATAAAAAGTAGACAGCAGCATTCTCAGAAACTTCTTTGTGATGTTTGCATCCAGCTCTCAGAGTTGAACATTCCCTTTCATAGAGTAGGTTTGAAACCCTCTTTTTATAGTGTCTGGAAGGCGGGCATTTGGAGCGCTTTCAGGCCTATGCTGAAAAAGGAAATATCTACCTATAGAAACTAGACAGAAGCATTCTGAGAATCACGTTTGTGATGTGGGTACTCAACTAACAGTGTTGATCCATTCTTTTGATACAGCAGTTTTGAACCACACTTTTTGTAGAATCTGCAAGTGGATATTTGGATAGCTGTGAGGATTTCGTTGGAAACGGGAATGTCTTCATAGAAAATTTAGACAGAAGCATTCTCAGAACCTTGATTGTGATGTGTGTTCTCCACTAACAGAGTTGAACCTTTCTTTTGACAGAACTGTTCTGAAACATTCTTTTTATAGTATCTGGAAGTGGATATTTGGAAAGCTTTGAGGATTTCGTTGGAAACGGGAATATCTTCAAATAAAATCTAGCCAGAAGCATTCTAAGAAACATCTCAGGGATGTTTACATTCAAGTCACAGAGTTGAACATTCCCTTTCACAGAGCAGGTTTGAAACAATCTTCTCGTACTATCTGGCAGTGGACATTTTGAGCTCCTTGGGGCCTATGCTGAAAAAGGAAATATCTTCCGACAAAAACTAGACAGAAGCATTCGCAGAATCACGTTTGTGATGTGTGCACTCAACTGTCAGAATTGAACCTTGGTTTGGACAGAGCACTTTTGAAACACTCTTTTTGTAGAATCTGCAGGTGGATATTTGGCTAGCTTTGAGGATTTCGTTGGAAACGGTAATGTCTTCAAAGAAAATCTAGACAGAAACATCCTCAGAAACACCTTCGTGATGTTTGCAATCAAGTCACAGAGTTGAACCTTCCGTTTCATAGAGCAGGTTGGAAACACTCATTTTGTAGTATCTGGAAGTGGACATTTGGAGCGCTTTCAGGCCTATGGTGTAAAAGGAAATATCTTCCCATAAAAGCGACATAGAAGCTATCTCAGGAACTTGTTTATGATGCATCTAATCAACTAACAGTGTTGAACTTTGTACTGACAGAGCAGTTTGAAACACTCTTTTTTTGGAATCTGCAAGTGGATATTTGGATCGCTTTGAGGATTTCGTTGGAAACGGGATGCAATATAAAACGTACACAGCAGCATACTCAGAAAATACTTTGCCATATTTCCATTCAAGTCACAGTGTGGAACATTCCCATTCATAGAGCAGGTTTGAAACACTTTTTTTGGAGTGTCTGGAAGTGGACATTTGGAGCGCTTTCAGAACTATGGTGAAAAAGGAAATATCTTCCAATGAAAACAAGACAGAAGCATTCTGAGAAACTTATTTGTGATGCGTGTCCTCAACTAACGGACTCGAACCTTTCGTTTCATGCAGTACTTCTGGAACACTCTTTTTGAAGATTCTGCATGCGGATATTTGGTTAGCTTTGAGGATTTCGTTGGAAACGGGCTTACATATAAAAATTAGACAGCAGCATTCTCAGAAACTTCTTTGTGGTGTCTGCATTCAAGTCACAGAATTGAACATCCCCTCACATAGAGCAGTTGTGCAGCACTCTATTTGTAGTATCTCGAAGAGGACATTTGGAGGGCTTTGTAGCCTATCTGGAAAAAGGAAATATCTTCCCATGAATGCGAGATAGAAGTAATCTCAGAAACATGTTTATGCTGTATCTACTCAACTAACTGTGCTGAACATTTCTATTGATAGAGCAGTTTTGAGACACTCTTCTTTTGGAATCTGCAAGTGGATATTTGGATAGATTTGAGGATTTCGTTGGAAACGGGATTATATATCAAAAGTAGACAGCAGCATTCTCAGAAACTTCTTTGTGATGTTTGCATCCAGCTCTCAGAGTTGAACATTCCCTTTCATAGAGTAGGTTTGAAACCCTCTTTTTATAGTGTCTGGAAGCGGGCATTTGGAGCGCTTTCAGGCCTATGCTTAAAATAGGAAATATCTACCTACAGAAACTAGACAGAAGCATTCTGAGAATCACGTTTGTGATGTGGGTACTCAACTAACAGTGTTGATCCATTCTTTTGATACAGCAGTTTTGAACCACACTTTTTGTAGAATCTGCAAGAGGATATTTGGATAGCTGTGAGGATTTCGTTGGAAACGGGAATGTCTTCAAAGAAAATCTAGACAGAAGCATTCTCAGAAACACCTTCGTGATGTTTGCAATCAAGTCACAGAGTTGAACCTTCCGTTTCATAGAGCAGGTTGGAAACACTCTTATTGTAGTATCTGGAAGTGGACATTTGGAGCGCTTTCAGGCCTATGGTGAAAAAGGAAATATCTTCCCATAAAAACGACATAGAAGCTATCTCAGGAACTTGTTTATGATGCATCTAATCAACTAACAGTGTTGAACCTTTGTACTGACAGAGCAGTTTGAAACACTCTTTTTTTGGAATCTGCAAGTGGATATTTGGATCGCTTTGAGGATTTCGTTGGAAACGGGATGCAATATAAAACGTACACAGCAGCATACTCAGAAAATACTTTGCCATATTTCCATTCAAGTCACAGAGTGGAACATTCCCATTCATAGAGCAGGTTGGAAACACTCTTTTTGGAGTATCTGGAAGTGGACATTTGGAGCGCTTTCTGAACTATGGTGAAAAAGGAAATATCTTCCAATGAAAACAAGACAGAAGCATTCTGAGAAACTTATTTGTGATGTGTGTCCTCAACAAACGGACTTGAACCTTTCGTTTCATGCAGTACTTCTGGAACACTCTTTTTGAAGATTCTGCATGCGGATATTTGGATAGCTTTGAGGATTTCGTTGGAAACGGGCTTACATGTAAAAATTAGACAGCAGCATTCTCAGAAACTTCTTTGTGGTGTCTGCATTCAAGTCACAGAATTGAACTTCCCCTCACATAGAGCAGTTGTGCAGCACTCTATTTGTAGTATCTGGAAGTGGACATTTGGAGGGCTTTGTAGCCTATCTGGAAAAAGGAAATATCTTCCCATGAATGCGAGATAGAAGTAATCTCAGAAACATGTTTATGCTGTATCTACTCAACTAACTGTGCTGAACATTTCTATTGATAGAGCAGTTTTGAGACACTCTTCTTTTGGAATCTGCAAGTGGATATTTGGATAGATTTGAGGATTTCGTTGGAAACGGGATTATATATAAAAAGTAGACAGCAGCATTCTCAGAAACTTCTTTGTGATGTTTGCATCCAGCTCTCAGAGTTGAACATTCCCTTTCATAGAGTAGGTTTGAAACCCTCTTTTTATAGTGTCTGGAAGCGGGCATTTGGAGCGCTTTCAGGCCTATGCTGAAAAAGGAAATATCTACATATAGAAACTAGACAGAAGCATTCTGAGAATCAAGTTTGTGATGTGGGTACTCAACTAACAGTGTTGATCCATTCTTTTGATACAGCAGTTTTGAACCACACTTTTTGTAGAATCTGCAAGTGGATATTTGGATAGCTGTGAGGATTTCGTTGGAAACGGGAATGTCTTCATAGAAAATTTAGACAGAAGCATTCTCAGAACCTTGATTGTGATGTGTGTTCTCCACTAACAGAGTTGAACCTTTCTTTTGACAGAACTGTTCTGAAACATTCTTTTTATAGAATCTGGAAGTGGATATTTGGAAAGCTTTGAGGATTTCGTTGGAAACGGGAATATCTTCAAATAAAATCTAGCCAGAAGTATTCTAAGAAACATCTTAGGGATGTTTACATTCAAGTCACAGAGTTGAACATTCCCTTTCACAGAGCAGGTTTGAAACAATCTTCTCGTACTATCTGGCAGTGGACATTTTGAGCTCTTTGGGGCCTATGCTGAAAAAGGAAATATCTTCCGACAAAAACTAGTCAGAAGCATTCGCAGAATCATGTTTGTGATGTGTGCACTCAACTGTCAGAATTGAACCTTGGTTTGGACAGAGCACTTTTGAAACACTCTTTTTGTAGAATCTGCAGGTGGATATTTCGCTAGCTTTGAGGATTTCGTTGGAAACGGTAATGTCTTCAAAGAAAATCTAGACAGAAACATCCTCAGAAACACCTTCGTGATGTTTGCAATCAAGTCACAGAGTTGAACCTTCCGTTTCATAGAGCAGGTTGGAAACACTCATTTTGTAGTATCTGGAAGTGGACATTTGGAGCGCTTTCAGGCCTATGGTGTAAAAGGAAATATCTTCCCATAAAAGCGACATAGAAGCTATCTCAGGAACTTGTTTATGATGCATCTAATCAACTAACAGTGTTGAACCTTTGTACTGACAGAGCAGTTTGAAACACTCTTTTTTTGGAATCTGCAAGTGGATATTTGGATCGCTTTGAGGATTTCGTTGGAAACGGGATGCAATATAAAACGTACACAGCAGCATACTCAGAAAATACTTTGCCATATTTCCATTCAAGTCACAGAGTGGAACATTCCCATTCATAGAGCAGGTTGGAAACACTCTTTTTGGAGTATCTGGAAGTGGACATTTGGAGCGCTTTCTGAACTATGGTGAAAAAGGAAATATCTTCCAATGAAAACAAGACAGAAGCATTCTGAGAAACTTATTTGTGATGTGTGTCCTCAACAAACGGACTTGAACCTTTCGTTTCATGCAGTACTTCTGGAACACTCTTTTTGAAGATTCTGCATGCGGATATTTGGATAGCTTTGAGGATTTCGTTGGAAACGGGCTTACATGTAAAAATTAGACAGCAGCATTCTCAGAAACTTCTTTGTGGTGTCTGCATTCAAGTCACAGAATTGAACTTCCCCTCACATAGAGCAGTTGTGCAGCACTCTATTTGTAGTATCTGGAAGTGGACATTTGGAGGGCTTTGTAGCCTATCTGGAAAAAGGAAATATCTTCCCATGAATGCGAGATAGAAGTAATCTCAGAAACATGTTTATGCTGTATCTACTCAACTAACTGTGCTGAACATTTCTATTGATAGAGCAGTTTTGAGACACTCTTCTTTTGGAATCTGCAAGTGGATATTTGGATAGATTTGAGGATTTCGTTGGAAACGGGATTATATATAAAAAGTAGACAGCAGCATTCTCAGAAACTTCTTTGTGATGTTTGCATCCAGCTCCCAGAGTTGAACATTCCCTTTCATAGAGTAGGTTTGAAACCCTCTTTTTATAGTGTCTGGAAGCGGGCATTTGGAGCGCTTTCAGGCCTATGCTGAAAAAGGAAATATCTACCTATAGAAACTAGACAGAAGCATTCTGAGAATCACGTTTGTGATGTGGGTACCTCAACTAACAGTGTTGATCCATTCTTTTGATACAGCAGTTTTGAACCACACTTTTTGTAGAATCTGCAAGTGGATATTTGGATAGCTGTGAGGATTTCGTTGGAAACGGGAATGTCTTCATAGAAAATTTAGACAGAAGCATTCTCAGAACCTTGATTGTGATGTGTGTTCTCCACTAACAGGGTTGAACCTTTCTTTTGACAGAACTGTTCTGAAACATTCTTTTTATAGAATCTGGAAGTGGATATTTGGAAAGCTTTGAGGATTTCGTTTGAAACGGGAATATCTTCAAATCAAATCTAGCCAGAAGCATTCTAAGAAACATCTTAGGGATGTTTACATTCAAGTCACAGAGTTGAACATTCCCTTTCACAGAGCAGGTTTGAAACAATCTTCTCGTACTATCTGGCAGTGGACATTTTGAGCTCCTTGGGGCCTATGCTGAAAAAGGAAATATCTTCCGACAAAAACTAGACAGAAGCATTCGCAGAATCACGTTTGTGATGTGTGCACTCAACTGTCAGAATTGAACCTTGGTTTGGACAGAGCACTTTTGAAACACTCTTTTTGTAGAATCTGCAGGTGGATATTTGGCTAGCTTTGAGGATTTCGATGGAAACGGTAATGTCTTCAAAGAAAATCTAGACAGAAGCATTCTCAGAAACACCTTCGTGATGTTTGCAATCAAGTCACAGAGTTGAACCTTCCGTTTCATAGAGCAGGTTGGAAACACTCTTTTTGTAGTATCTGGAAGTGGACATTTGGAGGGCTTTGTAGCCTATGTGGAAAAAGGAAATATCTTCCCATGAATGCGAGATAGAAGTAATCTCAGAAACATGTTTATGCTGTATCTACTCAACTAACTGTGCTGAACATTTCTATTGATAGAGCAGTTTTGAGACACTCTTCTTTTGGAATCTGCAAGTGGATATTTGGAGAGATTTGAGGATTTCGTTGGAAACGGGATTATATATAAAAAGTAGACAGCAGCATTCTCAGAAACTTCTTTGTGATGTTTGCATCCAGCTCTCAGAGTTGAACATTCCCTTTCATAGAGTAGGTTTGAAACCCTCTTTTTATAGTGTCTGGAAGCGGGCATTTGGAGCGCTTTCAGACCTATGCTTAAAATAGGAAATATCTACCTACAGAAACTAGACAGAAGCATTCTGAGAATCTCGTTTGTGATGTGGGTACTCAACTAACAGTGTTGATCCATTCTTTTGATACAGCAGTTTTGAACCACACTTTTTGTAGAATCTGCAAGAGGATATTTGGATAGCTGTGAGGATTTCGTTGGAAACGGGAATGTCTTCAAAGAAAATCTAGACAGAAACATTCTCAGAAACACCTTCGTGATGTTTGCAATCAAGTCACAGAGTTGAACCTTCCGTTTCATAGAGCAGGTTGGAAACACTCTTATTGTAGTATCTGGAAGTGGACATTTGGAGCGCTTTCAGGCCTATGGTGAAAAAGGAAATATCTTCCCATAAAAGCGACATAGAAGCTATCTCAGGAACTTGTTTATGAGGCATCTAATCAACTAACAGTGTTGAACCTTTGTACTGACAGAGCAGTTTGAAACACTCTTTTTTTGGAATCTGCAAGTGGATATTTGGATCGCTTTGAGGATTTCGTTGGAAACGGGATGCAATATAAAACGTACACAGCAGCATACTCAGAAAATTCTTTGCCATATTTCCATTCAAGTCACAGAGTGGAACATTCCCATTCATAGAGCAGGTTGGAAACACTCTTTTTGGAGTATCTGGAAGTGGACATTTGGAGCGCTTTCTGAACTATGGTGAAAAAGGAAATATCTTCCAATGAAAACAAGACAGAAGCATTCTGAGAAACTTATTTGTGATGTGTGTCCTCAACAAACGGACTTGAACCTTTCGTTTCATGCAGTACTTCTGGAACACTCTTTTTGAAGATTCTGCATGCGGATATTTGGATAGCTTTGAGGATTTCGTTGGAAACGGGCTTACATGTAAAAATTAGACAGCAGCATTCTCAGAAACTTCTTTGTGGTGTCTGCATTCAAGTCACAGAATTGAACATCCCCTCACATAGAGCAGTTGTGCAGCACTCTATTTGTAGTATCTGGAAGTGGACATTTGGAGGGCTTTGTAGCCTATGTGGAAAAAGGAAATATCTTCCCATGAATGCGAGATAGAAGTAATCTCAGAAACATGTTTATGCTGTACCTACTCAACTAACTGTGCTGAACATTTCTATTGATAGAGCAGTTTTGAGACACTCTTCTTTTGGAATCTGCAAGTGGATATTTGGATAGATTTGAGGATTTCGTTGGAAACGGGATTATATATCAAAAGTAGACAGCAGCATTCTCAGAAACTTCTTTGTGATGTTTGCATCCAGCTCTCAGAGTTGAACATTCCCTTTCATAGAGTAGGTTTGAAACCCTCTTTTTATAGTGTCTGGAAGCGGGCATTTGGAGCGCTTTCAGGCCTATGCTGAAAAAGGAAATATCTACCTATAGAAACTAGACAGAAGCATTCTGAGAATCACGTTTGTGATGTGGGTACTCAACTAACAGTGTTGATCCATTCTTTTGATACAGCAGTTTTGAACCACACTTTTTGTAGAATCTGCAAGTGGATATTTGGATAGCTGTGAGGATTTCGTTGGAAACGGGAATGTCTTCATAGAAAATTTAGACAGAAGCATTCTCAGAACCTTGATTGTGATGTGTGTTCTCCACTAACAGAGTTGAACCTTTCTTTTGACAGAACTGTTCTGAAACATTCTTGTTATAGAATCTGGAAGTGGATATTTGGAAAGCTTTGAGGATTTCGTTGGAAACGGGAATATCTTCAAATCAAATCTAGCCAGAAGCATTCTAAGAAACATCTTAGGGATGTTTACATTCAAGTCACAGAGTTGAACATTCCCTTTCACAGAGCAGGTTTGAAACAATCTTCTCGTACTATCTGGCAGTGGACATTTTGAGCTCCTTGGGGCCTATGCTGAAAAAGGAAATATCTTCCGACAAAAACTAGACAGAAGCATTCGCAGAATCACGTTTGTGATGTGTGCACTCAACTGTCAGAATTGAACCTTGGTTTGGACAGAGCACTTTTGAAACACTCTTTTTGTAGAATCTGCAGGTGGATATTTGGCTAGCTTTGAGGATTTCGTTGGAAACGGTAATGTCTTCAAAGAAAATCTAGACAGAAGCATTCTCAGAAACACCTTCGTGATGTTTGCAATCAAGTCACAGAGTTGAACCTTCCGTTTCATAGAGCAGGTTGGAAACACTCTTTTTGTAGTATCTGGAAGTGGACATTTGGAGGGCTTTGTAGCCTATCTGGAAAAAGGAAATATCTTCCCATGAATGCGAGATAGAAGTAATCTCAGAAACATGTTTATGCTGTATCTACTCAACTAACTGTGCTGAACATTTCTATTGATAGAGCAGTTTTGAGACACTCTTCTTTTGGAATCTGCAAGTGGATATTTGGATAGATTTGAGGATTTCGTTGGAAACGGGATTATATATAAAAAGTAGACAGCAGCATTCTCAGAAACTTCTTTGTGATGTTTGCATCCAGCTCTCAGAGTTGAACATTCCCTTTCATAGAGTAGGTTTGAAACCCTCTTTTTATAGTGTCTGGAAGCGGGCATTTGGAGCGCTTTCAGGCCTATGCTTAAAATAGGAAATATCTACCTACAGAAACTAGACAGAAGCATTCTGAGAATCACGTTTGTGATGTGGGTACTCAACTAACAGTGTTGATCCATTCTTTTGATACAGCAGTTTTGAACCACACTTTTTGTAGAATCTGCAAGAGGATATTTGGATAGCTGTGAGGATTTCGTTGGAAACGGGAATGTCTTCAAAGAAAATGCTAGACAGAAGCATTCTCAGAACCTTGATTGTGATGTGTGTTCTCCACTAACAGAGTTGAACCTTTCTTTTGACAGAACTGTTCTGAAACATTCTTTTTATAGAATCTGGAAGTGGATATTTGGAAAGATTTGAGGATTTCGTTGGAAACGGGAATATCTTCAAATAAAATCTAGCCAGAAGCATTCTAAGAAACATATTAGGGATGTTTACATTCAAGTCACAGAGTGGAACATTCCCTTTCGCAGAACAGGTTTGAAACAATCTTCTCGTACTATCTGGAAGTGGACATTTTGAGCTCCTTGGGGCCTATGCTGAAAAAGGAAATATCTTCCGACAAAAACTAGATAGAAGCATTCGCAGAATCACGTTTGTGATGTGTGCACTCAACTGTCAGAATTGAACCTTGGTTTGGACAGAGCACTTTTGAAACACTCTTTTTGTAGAATCTGCAGGTGGATATTTGGCTAGCTTTGAGGATTTCGTTGGAAACGGAAATGTCTTCAAAGAAAATCTAGACAGAAACATTCTCAGAAACACCTTCGTGATGTTTGCAATCAAGTCACAGAGTTGAACCTTCCGTTTCATAGAGCAGGTTGGAAACACTCTTTTTGTAGTATCTGGAAGTGGACATTTGGAGCGCTTTCAGGCCTCTGGTGAAAAAGGAAATATCTTCCCATAAAAACGACATAGAATCTATCTCAGGAACTTGTTTATGACGCATCTAATCAACTAACAGTGTTGAACCTTTGTACTGACAGAGCCGTTTGAAACACTCTTTTTTTTGGAATCTGCAAGTGGATATTTGGATCGCTTTGAGGATTTCGTTGGAAACGGGATGCAATATAAAACGTACACAGCAGCATACTCAGAAAATACTTTGCCATATTTCCATTCAAGTCACAGAGTGGAACATTCCCATTCATAGAGCAGGTTTGAAACAGTCTTTTTGGAGTATCTGGAAGTGGACATTTGGAGCGCTTTCTGAACTATGGTGAAAAAGGAAATATCTTCCAATGAAAACAAGACAGAAGCATTCTGAGAAACTTATTTGTGATGTGTGTCCTCAACTAACGGACTTGAACCTTTCGTTTCATGCAGTACTTCTGGAACACTCTTTTTGAAGATTCTGCATGCGGATCTTTGGATAGCTTTGAGGATTTCGTTGGAAACGGGCTTACATGTAAAAATTAGACAGCAGCATTCTCAGAAACTTCTTTGTGGTGTCTGCGTTCAAGTCACAGAATTGAACATCCCCTCACATAGAGCAGTTGTGCAGCACTCTATTTGTAGTATCTCGAAATGTACATTTGGAGGGCTTTGTAGCCTATCTGGAAAAAGGAAATATCTTTCCATGAATGCGAGATAGAAGTAATCTCAGAAACATGTTTATGCTGTATCTACTCAACTAACTGTGCTGAACATCTCTATTGATAGAGCAGTTTTGAGACACTCTTCTTTTGGAATCTGCAAGTGGATATTTGGATAGATTTGAGGATTTCGTTGGCAACGGGATTATATATCAAAAGTAGACAGCAGCATTCTCAGAAACTTCTTTGTGATGTTTGCATCCAGCTCTCAGAGTTGAACATTCCCTTTCATAGAGTAGGTTTGAAACCCTCTTTTTATAGTGTCTGGAAGCGGGCATTTGGAGCGCTTTCAGGCCTATGCTGAAAAAGGAAATATCTACCTATAGAAACTAGACAGAAGCATTCTGAGAATCACGTTTGTGATGTGGGTACTCAACTAACAGTGTTGATCCATTCTTTTGATACAGCAGTTTTGAACCACACTTTTTGTAGAATCTGCAAGTGGATATTTGGATAGCTGTGAGGATTTCGTTGGAAACGGGAATGTCTTCATAGAAAATTTAGACAGAAGCATTCTCAGAACCTTGATTGTGATGTGTGTTCTCCACTAACAGAGTTGAACCTTTCTTTTGACAGAACTGTTCTGAAACATTCTTTTTATAGAATCTGGAAGTGGATATTTGGAAAGCTTTGAGGATTTCGTTGGAAACGGGAATATCTTCAAATCAAATCTAGCCAGAAGCATTCTAAGAAACATCTTAGGGATGTTTACATTCAAGTCACAGAGTTGAACATTCCCTTTCACAGAGCAGGTTTGAAACAATCTTCTCGTACTATCTGGCAGTGGACATTTTGAGCTCCTTGGGGCCTATGCTGAAAAAGGAAATATCTTCCGACAAAAACTAGACAGAAGCATTCGCAGAATCACGTTTGTGATGTGTGCACTCAACTGTCAGAATTGAACCTTGGTTTGGACAGAGCACTTTTGAAACACTCTTTTTGGAGAATCTGCAGGTGGATATTTGGCTAGCTTTGAGGATTTCGTTGGAAACGGTAATGTCTTCAAAGAAAATCTAGACAGAAGCATTCTCAGAAACACCTTCGTGATGTTTGCAATCAAGTCACAGAGTTGAACCTTCCGTTTCATAGAGCAGGTTGGAAACACTCTTATTGTAGTATCTGGAAGTGGACATTTGGAGCGCTTTCAGGCCTATGGTGAAAAAGGAAATATCTTCCCATAAAAACGACATAGAAGCTATCTCAGGAACTTGTTTATGAGGCATCTAATCAACTAACAGTGTTGAACCTTTGTACTGACAGAGCAGTTTGAAACACTCTTTTTTGGGAATCTGCAAGTGGATATTTGGATCGCTTTGAGGATTTCGTTGGAAACGGGATGCAATATAAAACGTACACAGCAGCATACTCAGAAAATACTTTGCCATATTTCCATTCAAGTCACAGAGTGGAACATTCCCATTCATAGAGCAGGTTGGAAACACTCTTTTTGGAGTATCTGGAAGTGGACATTTGGAGCGCTTTCTGAACTATGGTGAAAAAGGAAATATCTTCCAATGAAAACAAGACAGAAGCTTTATGAGAAACTTATTTGTGGTGTGTGTCCTCAACAAACGGACTTGAACCTTTCGTTTCATGCAGTACTTCTGGAACACTCTTTTTGAAGATTCTGCATGCGGATATTTGGATAGCTTTGAGGATTTCATTGGAAACGGGCTTACAAGTAAAAATTAGACAGCAGCATTCTCAGAAACTTCTTTGTGGTGTCTGCATTCAAGTCACAGAATTGAACATCCCCTCACATAGAGCAGTTGTGCAGCACTCTATTTGTAGTATCTGGAAGTGGACATTTGGAGGGCTTTGTAGCCTATCTGGAAAAAGGAAATATCTTCCCATGAATGCGAGATAGAAGTAATCTCAGAAACATGTTTATGCTGTATCTACTCAACTAACTGTGCTGAACATTTCTATTGATAGAGCAGTTTTGAGACACTCTTCTTTTGGAATCTGCAAGTGGATATTTGGATAGATTTGAGGATTTTCGTTGGAAACGGGATTATATATCAAAAGTAGACAGCAGCATTCTCAGAAACTTCTTTGTGATGTTTGCATCCAGCTCTCAGAGTTGAACATTCCCTTTCATAGAGTAGGTTTGAAACCCTCTTTTTATAGTGTCTGGAAGCGGGCATTTGGAGCGCTTTCAGGCCTATGCTGAAAAAGGAAATATCTACCTATAGAAACTAGACAGAAGCATTCTGAGAATCACGTTTGTGATGTGTGTACTCAACTAACAGTGTTGATCCATTCTTTTGATACAGCAGTTTTGAACCACACTTTTTGTAGAATCTGCAAGTGGATATTTGGATAGCTGTGAGGATTTCGTTGGAAACGGGAATGTCTTCATAGAAAATTTAGACAGAAGCATTCTCAGAACCTTGATTGTGATGTGTGTTCTCCACTAACAGAGTTGAACCTTTCTTTTGACAGAACTGTTCTGAAACATTCTTTTTATAGAATCTGGAAGTGGATATTTGGAAAGCTTTGAGGATTTCGTTGGAAACGGGAATATCTTCAAATCAAATCTAGCCAGAAGCATTCTAAGAAACATCTTAGGGATGTTTACATTCAAGTCACAGAGTTGAACATTCCCTTTCACAGAGCAGGTTTGAAACAATCTTCTCGTACTATCTGGCAGTGGACATTTTGAGCTCCTTGGGGCCTATGCTGAAAAAGGAAATATCTTCCGACAAAAACTAGACAGAAGCATTCGCAGAATCACGTTTGTGATGTGTGCACTCAACTGTCAGAATTGAACCTTGGTTTGGACAGAGCACTTTTGAAACACTCTTTTTGTAGAATCTGCAGGTGGATATTTGGCTAGCTTTGAGGATTTCGTTGGAAACGGTAATGTCTTCAAAGAAAATCTAGACAGAAGCATTCTCAGAAACACCTTCGTGATGTTTGCAATCAAGTCACAGAGTTGAACCTTCCGTTTCATAGAGCAGGTTGGAAACACTCTTTTTGTAGTATCTGGAAGTGGACATTTGGAGCGCTTTCAGGCCTATGGTGAAAAAGGAAATATCTTCCCATAAAAACGACATAGAAGCTATCTCAGGAACTTGTTTATGATGCATCTAATCAACTAACAGTGTTGAACCTTTGTACTGACAGAGCAGTTTGAAACACTCTTTTTTTGGAATCTGCAAGTGGATATTTGGATCGCTTTGAGGATTTCGTTGGAAACGGGATGCAATATAAAACGTACACAGCAGCATACTCAGAAAATACTTTGCCATATTTCCATTCAAGTCACAGAGTGGAACATTCCCATTCATAGAGCAGGTTTGAAACACTCTTTTTGGAGTATCTGGAAGTGGACATTTGGAGCGCTTTCTGAACTATGGTGAAAAAGGAAATATCTTCCAATGAAAACAAGACAGAAGCATTCTGAGAAACTTATTTGTGATGTGTGTCCTCAACAAACGGACTTGAACCTTTCGTTTCATGCAGTACTTCTGGAACACTCTTTTTGAAGATTCTGCATGCGGATATTTGGATAGCTTTGAGGATTTCGTTGGAAACGGGCTTACATGTAAAAATTAGACAGCAGCATTCTCAGAAACTTCTTTGTGGTGTCTGCATTCAAGTCACAGAATTGAACTTCCCCTCACATAGAGCAGTTGTGCAGCACTCTATTTGTAGTATCTGGAAGTGGACATTTGGAGGGCTTTGTAGCCTATCTGGAAAAAGGAAATATCTTCCCATGAATGCGAGATAGAAGTAATCTCAGAAACATGTTTATGCTGTATCTACTCAACTAACTGTGCTGAACATTTCTATTGATAGAGCAGTTTTGAGACACTCTTCTTTTGGAATCTGCAAGTGGATATTTGGATAGATTTGAGGATTTCGTTAGAAACGGGATTATATATAAAAAGTAGACAGCAGCATTCTCAGAAACTTCTTTGTGATGTTTGCATCCAGCTCTCAGAGTTGAACATTCCCTTTCATAGAGTAGGTTTGAAACCCTCTTTTTATAGTGTCTGGAAGCGGGCATTTGGAGCGCTTTCAGGCCTATGCTGAAAAAGGAAATATCTACCTATAGAAACTAGACAGAAGCATTCTGAGAATCACGTTTGTGATGTGGGTACTCAACTAACAGTGTTGATCCATTCTTTTGATACAGCAGTTTTGAACCACACTTTTTGTAGAATCTGCAAGTGGATATTTGGATAGCTGTGAGGATTTCGTTGGAAACGGGAATGTCTTCATAGAAAATTTAGACAGAAGCATTCTCAGAACCTTGATTGTGATGTGTGTTCTCCACTAACAGAGTTGAACCTTTCTTTTGACAGAACTGTTCTGAAACATTCTTTTTATAGAATCTGGAAGTGGATATTTGGAAAGCTTTGAGGATTTCGTTGGAAACGGGAATATCTTCAAATCAAATCTAGCCAGAAGCATTCTAAGAAACATCTTAGGGATGTTTACATTCAAGTCACAGAGTTGAACATTCCCTTTCACAGAGCAGGTTTGAAACAATCTTCTCGTACTATCTGGCAGTGGACATTTTGAGCTCCTTGGGGCCTATGCTGAAAAAGGAAATATCTTCCGACAAAAACTAGACAGAAGCATTCGCAGAATCACGTTTGTGATGTGTGCACTCAACTGTCAGAATTGAACCTTGGTTTGGACAGAGCACTTTTGAAACACTCTTTTTGTAGAATCTGCAGGTGGATATTTGGCTAGCTTTGAGGATTTCGTTGGAAACGGTAATGTCTCAAAGAAAATCTAGACAGAAGCATTCTCAGAAACACCTTCGTGATGTTTGCAATCAAGTCACAGAGTTGAACCTTCCGTTTCATAGAGCAGGTTGGAAACACACTTTTTGTAGTATCTGGAAGTGGACATTGGGAGGGCTTTGTAGCCTTTCTGGAAAAAGGAAATATCTTCCCATGAATACGAGATAGAAGCTATCTCAGGAACTTGTTTATGATGCATCCAATCAACTAACAGTGTTGAACTTTTGTACTGACAGAGCAGTGTGAAACACTCTTTTTTTTCGAATCTGCAAGTGGATATTTGGATCGCTTTGAGGATTTCGTTGGAAACGGGATGCAATATAAATCGCACACAGCAGCATACTCAGAAAATACTTTGCCATATTTCCATTCAAGTCACAGAGTGGAACATTCCCATTCATAGAGCAGGTTGGAAACACTCCTTTTGTAGTATCTGGAAGTGGACATTTGGAGCGCTTTCTGAACTATGGTGAAAGAGGAAATATCTTCCAATGAAAACAAGACAGAAGCATTCTGAGAAACTTATTTTTGATGTGTGTCCTCCACTAACGGACTTGAACCTTTCGTTTCATGCAGTACTTCTGGAACACTCTTTTTGAAGATTCTGCATGCGGATATTTGGATAGCTTTGAGGATTTCTTTGGAAACGGGCTTACATATAAAAATTAGACAGCAGCATTATCAAAACTTCTTTGTGGTGTCTGTATTCAAGTCACAGAATTGAACATCCCCTCACATAGAGCAGCTGTGCAGCACTCTATTTGTAGTATCTCGAAGTGGACATTTGGAGGGCTTTGTAGCCTATCTGGATAAAGGAAATATCTTCCCATGAATGCGAGATAGAAGTAATCTCAGAAACATGTTTATGCTGTATCTACTCCACTAACTGTGCTGAACATTTCTATTGATAGAGCAGTTTTGAGACACTCTTCTTTTGGAATCTGCAAGTGGATATTTGGAAAGATTTGAGGATTTCGTTGGCAACGGGATTATATATAAAAAGTAGACAGCCGCATTCTCAGAAACTTCTTTGTGATGTTTGCATCCAGCTCTCAGAGTTGAACATTCCCTTTCGTAGAGTAGGTTTGAAACCCTCTTTTTATAGTGTCTGGAAGCGGGCATTTGGAGCGCTTTCAGGCCTATGCTGAAAAAGGAAATATCTACCTATAGAAACTAGACAGAAGCATTCTGAGAATCACGTTTGTGATGTGGGTACTCAACTAACAGTGTTGATCCATTCTTTTGATACAGCAGTTTTGAACCACACTTTTTGTAGAATCTGCAAGTGGATATTTGGATAGCTGTGAGGATTTCCTTGGAAACGGGAATGTCTTCATAGAAAATTTAGACAGAAGCATTCTCAGAACCTTGATTGTGATGTGTGTTCTCCACTAACAGGGTTGAACCTTTCTTTTGACAGAACTGTTCTGAAACATTCTTTGTATAGAATCTGGAAGTGGATATTTGGAAAGCTTTGAGGATTTCGTTTGAAACGGGAATATCTTCAAATCAAATCTAGCCAGAAGCATTCTATGAAACATTTTAGGGATGTTTACATTCAAGTCACAGAGTTGAACATTCCCTTTCACAGAGCAGGTTTGAAACAATCTTCTCGTACTATCTGGAAGTGGACATTTTGAGCTCCTTGGGGCCTATGCTGAAAAAGGAAATATCTTCCGACAAAAACTAGACAGAAGCATTCGCAGAATCACGTTTGTGATGTGTGCACTCAACTGTCGGAATTGAACCTTTGTTTGGACAGAGCACTTTTGAAACACTCTTTTTGTAGAATCTGCAGGTGGATATTTGACTAGCTTTGAGGATTTCGTTGGAAACGGTAATGTCTTCAAAGAAAATCTAGACAGAAACATTCTCAGAAACACCTTCGTGATGTTTGAAATCAAGTCACAGAGTTGAACCTTCCCTTTCATAGAGCAGGTTGGAAACACTCTTTTTGTAGTATCTGGAAGTGGACATTTGGAGCGCTTTCAGGCCTATGGTGAAAAAGGAAATATCTTCCCATAAAAACGACATAGAAGCTATCTCAGGAACTTGTTTATGATGCATCCAATCAACTAACAGTGTTGAACCTTTGTACTGACAGAGCAGTGTGAAACACTCTTTTTTTTGGAATCTGCAAGTGGATATTTGGATCGCTTTGAGGATTTCGTTGGAAACGGGATGCAATATAAAAGTAAACAGCAGCATACTCAGAAAATACTTTGCCATATTTCCATTCAAGTCACAGAGTGGAACATTCCCATTCATAGAGCAGGTTTGACACACTCTTTTTGTAGTATCTGGAAGTGGACATTTGGAGCGCTTTCTGAACTATGGTGAAAAAGGAAATATCTTCCAATGAAAACAAGACAGAAGCATTCTGAGAAACTTATTTGTGATGTGTGTCCTCAACTAACGGACTTGAACCTTTCGTTTCATGCAGTACTTCTGGAACACTCTTTTTGAAGATTCTGCATGCGGATATTTGGATAGCTTTGAGGATTTCGTTGGAAACGGGCTTACATATAAAAATTAGACAGCAGCATTCTCAGAAACTTCTCTGTGGTGTCTGCATCCAAGTCACAGAATTGAACATCCCCTCACATAGAGCAGTTGTGCAGCACTCTATTTGTAGTATCTCGAAGTGGGCATTTGGAGGGCTTTGTAGCCTATCTGGAAAAAGGAAATATCTTCCCATGAATGCGAGATAGAAGTAATCTCAGAAACATGTTTATGCTGTATCTACTCAACTAACTGTGCTGAACATTTCTATTGATAGAGCAGTTTTTAGACACTCTTCTTTTGGAATCTGCAAGTGGATATTTGGAAAGATTTGAGGATTTCGTTGGCAACGGGATTATATATAAAAAGTAGACAGCCGCATTCTCAGAAACTTCTTTGTGATGTTTGCATCCAGCTCTCAGAGTTGAACATTCCCTTTCGTAGAGTAGGTTTGAAACCCTCTTTTTATAGTGTCTGGAAGCGGGCATTTGGAGCGCTTTCAGGCCTATGCTGAAAAAGGAAATATCTACCTATAGAAACTAGACAGAAGCATTCTGAGAATCACGTTTGTGATGTGGGTACTCAACTAACAGTGTTGATCCATTCTTTTGATACAGCAGTTTTCAACCACACTTTTTGTAGAATCTGCAAGTGGATATTTGGATAGCTGTGAGGATTTCCTTGGAAACGGGAATGCCTCCATAGAAAATTTAGACAGAAGCATTCTCAGAACCTTGATTGTGATGTGTTTTTTCCACTAACAGAGTTGAACCTTTCTTTTGACAGAACTGTTCTGAAACATTCTTTTTATAGAATCTGGAAGTGGATATTTGGAAAGCTTTGAGGATTTCATTGGAAACGGGAATATCTTCAAATCAAATCTAGCCAGAAGCATTCTAAGAAACATCTTAGGGATGTTTACATTCAAGTCACAGAGTTGAACATTCCCTTTCACAGAGCAGGTTTGAAACAATCTTCTCGTACTATCTGGAAGTGGACATTTTGTGCTCCTTGGGGCCTATGCTGAAAAAGGAAATATCTTCCGACAAAAACTAGACAGAAGCATTCGCAGAATCACGTTTGTGATGTGTGCACTCAACTGTCAGAATTGAACCTTGGTTTGGAGATTGCACTCTTGAAACACTCTTTTTGTAGAATCTGCAGGTGGATATTTGGCTAGCTTTGAGGATTTCGTTGGAAACGGTAATGTCTTCAAAGAAAATCTAGACAGAAGCATTCTCAGAAACACCTTCGTGATGTTTGCAATCAAGTCACAGAGTTGAACCTTCCGTTTCATAGAGCAGGTTGGAAACACTCTTTTTGTAGTATCTGGAAGTGGACATTTGGAGTGCTTTCAGGCCTATGGTGAAAAAGGAAATATCTTCCCATAAAAACGACATAGAAGCTATCTCAGGAACTTGTTTATGATGCATCTAATCAACTAACAGTGTTGAACCTTTGTACTGACAGAGCACTTTGAAACACTCTTTTTTTGGAATCTGCAAGTGGATATTTGGATCGCTTTGAGGATTTCGTTGGAAACGGGATGCAATATAAAACGTACACAGCAGCATACTCAGGAAAATACTTTGCCATATTTCCATTCAAGTCACAGAATGGAACATTCTCATTCATAGAGCAGGTTGGAAACACTCCTTTTGTAGTATCTGGAAGTGGACATTTGGAGCGCTTTCTGAACTATGGTGAAAAAGGAAATATCTTCCAATGAAAACAAGACAGAAGCATTCTGAGAAACTTATTTGTGATGTGTGTCCTCAACAAACGGACTTGAACCTTTCGTTTCATGCAGTACTTCTGGAACACTCTTTTTGAAGATTCTGCATGCGGATATTTGGATAGCTTTGAGGATTTCGTTGGAAACGGGCTTACATGTAAAAATTAGACAGCAGCATTCTCAGAAACTTCTTTGTGGTGTCTGCATTCAAGTCACAGAATTGAACATCCCCTCACATAGAGCAGTTGTGCAGCACTCTATTTGTAGTATCTGGAAGTGGACATTTGGAGGGCTTTGTAGCCTATGTGGAAAAAGGAAATATCTTCCCATGAATGCGAGATAGAAGTAATCTCAGAAACATGTTTATGCTGTATCTACTCAACTAACTGTGCTGAACATTTCTATTGATAGAGCAGTTTTGAGACACTCTTCTTTTGGAATCTGCAAGTGGATATTTGGATAGATTTGAGGATTTCGTTGGAAACGGGATTATATATAAAAAGTAGACAGCAGCATTCTCAGAAACTTCTTTGTGATGTTTGCATCCAGCTCTCAGAGTTGAACATTCCCTTTCATAGAGTAGGTTTGAAACCCTCTTTTTATAGTGTCTGGAAGCGGGCATTTGGAGCGCTTTCAGGCCTATGCTGAAAAAGGAAATATCTACCTATAGAAACTAGACAGAAGCATTCTGAGAATCACGTTTGTGATGTGGGTACTCAACTAACAGTGTTGATCCATTCTTTTGATACAGCAGTTTTGAACCACACTTTTTGTAGAATCTGCAAGTGGATATTTGGATAGCTGTGAGGATTTCGTTGGAAACGGGAATGTCTTCATAGAAAATTTAGACAGAAGCATTCTCAGAACCTTGATTGTGATGTGTGTTCTCCACTAACAGAGTTGAACCTTTCTTTTGACAGAACTGTTCTGAAACATTCTTTTTATAGAATCTGGAAGTGGATATTTGGAAAGCTTTGAGGATTTCGTTGGAAACGGGAATATCTTCAAATCAAATCTAGCCAGAAGCATTCTAAGAAACATCTTAGGGATGTTTACATTCAAGTCACAGAGTTGAACATTCCCTTTCACAGAGCAGGTTTGAAACAATCTTCTCGTACTATCTGGCAGTGGACATTTTGAGCTCCTTGGGGCCTATGCTGAAAAAGGAAATATCTTCCGACAAAAACTAGACAGAAGCATTCGCAGAATCACGTTTGTGATGTGTGCACTCAACTGTCAGAATTGAACCTTGGTTTGGACAGAGCACTTTTGAAACACTCTTTTTGTAGAATCTGCAGGTGGATATTTGGCTAGCTTTGAGGATTTCGTTGGAAACGGTAATGTCTTCAAAGAAAATCTAGACAGAAGCATTCTCAGAAACACCTTCGTGATGTTTGCAATCAAGTCACAGAGTTGAACCTTCCGTTTCATAGAGCAGGTTGGAAACACTCTTTTTGTAGTATCTGGAAGTGGACATTTGGAGGGCTTTGTAGCCTATCTGGAAAAAGGAAATATCTTCCCATGAATGCGAGATAGAAGTAATCTCAGAAACATGTTTATGCTGTATCTACTCAACTAACTGTGCTGAACATTTCTATTGATAGAGCAGTTTTGAGACACTCTTCTTTTGGAATCTGCAAGTGGATATTTGGATAGATTTGAGGATTTCGTTGGAAACGGGATTATATATAAAAAGTAGACAGCAGCATTCTCAGAAACTTCTTTGTGATGTTTGCATCCAGCTCTCAGAGTTGAACATTCCCTTTCATAGAGTAGGTTTGAAACCCTCTTTTTATAGTGTCTGGAAGCGGGCATTTGGAGCGCTTTCAGGCCTATGCTTAAAATAGGAAATATCTACCTACAGAAACTAGACAGAAGCATTCTGAGAATCACGTTTGTGATGTGGGTACTCAACTAACAGTGTTGATCTATTCTTTTGATACAGCAGTTTTGAACCACACTTTTTGTAGAATCTGCAAGAGGATATTTGGATAGCTGTGAGGATTTCGTTGGAAACGGTAATGTCTTCAAAGAAAATCTAGACAGAAGCATTCTCAGAAATACCTTCGTGATGTTTGCAATCAAGTCACAGAGTTGAACCTTCCGTTTCATAGAGCAGGTTGGAAACACTCTTATTGTAGTATCTGGAAGTGGACATTTGGAGCGCTTTCAGGCCTATGGTGAAAAAGGAAATATCTTCCCATAAAAACGATATAGAAGCTATCTCAGGAACTTGTTTATGATGCATCTAATCAACTAACAGTGTTGAACCTTTGTACTGACAGAGCAGTTTGAAACACTCTTTTTTTGGAATCTGCAAGTGGATATTTGGATCGCTTTGAGGATTTCGTTGGAAACGGGATGCAATATAAAACGTACACAGCAGCATACTCAGAAAATACTTTGCCATATTTCCATTCAAGTCACAGAGTGGAACATTCCCATTCATAGAGCAGGTTGGAAACACTCCTTTTGTAGTATCTGGAAGTGGACATTTGGAGCGCTTTCTGAACTATGGTGAAAGAGGAAATATACTTCCAATGAAAACAAGACAGAAGCATTCTGAGAAACTTATTTGTGATGTGTGTCCTCAACAAACGGACTTGAACCTTTCGTTTCATGCAGTACTTCTGGAACACTCTTTTTGAAGATTCTGCATGCGGATATTTGGATAGCTTTGAGGATTTCGTTGGAAACGGGCTTACATGTAAAAATTAGACAGCAGCATTCTCAGAAACTTCTTTGTGGTGTCTGCATTCAAGTCACAGAATTGAACTTCCCCTCACATAGAGCAGTTGTGCAGCACTCTATTTGTAGTATCTGGAAGTGGACATTTGGAGGGCTTTGTAGCCTATCTGGAAAAAGGAAATATCTTCCCATGAATGCGAGATAGAAGTAATCTCAGAAACATGTTTATGCTGTATCTACTCAACTAACTGTGCTGAACATTTCTATTGATAGAGCAGTTTTGAGACACTCTTCTTTTGGAATCTGCAAGTGGATATTTGGATAGATTTGAGGATTTCGTTGGAAACGGGATTATATATAAAAAGTAGACAGCAGCATTCTCAGAAACTTCTTTGTGATGTTTGCATCCAGCTCTCAGAGTTGAACATTCCCTTTCATAGAGTAGGTTTGAAACCCTCTTTTTATAGTGTCTGGAAGCGGGCATTTGGAGCGCTTTCAGGCCTATGCTTAAAATAGGAAATATCTACCTACAGAAACTAGACAGAAGCATTCTGAGAATCACGTTTGTGATGTGGGTACTCAACTAACAGTGTTGATCCATTCTTTTGATACAGCAGTTTTGAACCACACTTTTTGTAGAATCTGCAAGAGGATATTTGGATAGCTGTGAGGATTTCGTTGGAAACGGGAATGTCTTCAAAGAAAATCTAGACAGAAGCATTCTCAGAAACACCTTCGTGATGTTTGCAATCAAGTCACAGAGTTGAACCTTCCGTTTCATAGAGCAGGTTGGAAACACTCTTATTGTAGTATCTGGAAGTGGACATTTGGAGCGCTTTCAGGCCTATGGTGAAAAAGGAAATATCTTCCCATAAAAACGACATAGAAGCTATCTCAGGAACTTGTTTATGATGCATCTAATCAACTAACAGTGTTGAACCTTTGTACTGACAGAGCAGTTTGAAACACTCTTTTTTTGGAATCTGCAAGTGGATATTTGGATCACTTTGAGGATTTCGTTGGAAACGGGATGCAATATAAAACGTACACAGCAGCATACTCAGAAAATACTTTGCCATGTTTCCATTCAAGTCACAGAGTGGAACATTCCCATTCATAGAGCAGGTTGGAAACACTCTTTTTGGAGTATCTGGAAGTGGACATTTGGAGCGCTTTCTGAACTATGGTGAAAAAGGAAATATCTTCCAATGAAAACAAGACAGAAGCATTCTGAGAAACTTATTTGTGATGTGTGTCCTCAACAAACGGACTTGAACCTTTCGTTTCATGCAGTACTTCTGGAACACTCTTTTTGAAGATTCTGCATGCGGATATTTGGATAGCTTTGAGGATTTCGTTGGAAACGGGCTTACATGTAAAAATTAGACAGCAGCATTCTCAGAAACTTCTTTGTGGTGTCTGCATTCAAGTCACAGAATTGAACTTCCCCTCACATAGAGCAGTTGTGCAGCACTCTATTTGTAGTATCTCGAAGTGGACATTTGGAGGGCTTTGTAGCCTATCTGGAAAAAGGAAATATCTTCCCATGAATGCGAGATAGAAGTAATCTCAGAAACATGTTTATGCTGTATCTTCTCAACTAACTGTGCTGAACATTTCTATTGATAGAGCAGTTTTGAGACACTCTTCTTTTGGAATCTGCAAGTGGATATTTGGATAGATTTGAGGATTTCGTTGGAAACGGGATTATATATAAAAAGTAGACAGCAGCATTCTCAGAAACTTCTTTGTGATGTTTGCATCCAGCTCTCAGAGTTGAACATTCCCTTTCATAGAGTAGGTTTGAAACCCTCTTTTTATAGTGTCTGGAAGCGGGCATTTGGAGCGCTTTCAGGCCTATGCTTAAAATAGGAAATATCTACCTACAGAAACTAGACAGAAGCATTCTGAGAATCACGTTTGTGATGTGGGTACTCAACTAACAGTGTTGATCCATTCTTTTGATACAGCAGTTTTGAACCACACTTTTTGTAGAATCTGCAAGAGGATATTTGGATAGCTGTGAGGATTTCGTTGGAAACGGGAATGTCTTCAAAGAAAATCTAGACAGAAGCATTCTCAGAAACACCTTCGTGATGTTTGCAATCAAGTCACAGAGTTGAACCTTCCGTTTCATAGAGCAGGTTGGAAACACTCTTATTGTAGTATCTGGAAGTGGACATTTGGAGCGCTTTCAGGCCTATGGTGAAAAAGGAAATATCTTCCCATAAAAACGACATAGAAGCTATCTCAGGAACTTGTTTATGATGCATCTAATCAACCAACAGTGTTGAACCTTTGTACTGACAGAGCACTTTGAAACACTCTTTTTTTGGAATCTGCAAGTGGATATTTGGATCGCTTTGAGGATTTCGTTGGAAACGGGATGCAATATAAAACGTACACAGCAGCATACTCAGAAAATTCTTTGCCATATTTCCATTCAAGTCACAGAGTGGAACATTCCCATTCATAGAGCAGGTTGGAAACACTCTTTTTGGAGTATCTGGAAGTGGACATTTGGAGCGCTTTCTGAACTATGGTGAAAAAGGAAATATCTTCCAATGAAAACAAGACAGAAGCATTCTGAGAAACTTATTTGTGATGTGTGTCCTCAACAAACGGACTTGAACCTTTCGTTTCATGCAGTACTTCTGGAACACTCTTTTTGAAGATTCTGCATGCGGATATTTGGATAGCTTTGAGGATTTCGTTGGAAACGGGCTTACATGTAAAAATTATACAGCAGCATTCTCAGAAACTTCTTTGTGGTGTCTGCATTCAAGTCACAGAATTGAACATCCCCTCACATAGAGCAGTTGTGCAGCACTCTATTTGTAGTATCTGGAAGTGGACATTTGGAGGGCTTTGTAGCCTATCTGGAAAAAGGAAATATCTTCCCATGAATGCGAGATAGAAGTAATCTCAGAAACATGTTTATGCTGTATCTACTCAACTAACTGTGCTGAACATTTCTATTGATAGAGCAGTTTTGAGACACTCTTCTTTTGGAATCTGCAAGTGGATATTTGGATAGATTTGAGGATTTCGTTGGAAACGGGATTATATATAAAAAGTAGACAGCAGCATTCTCAGAAACTTCTTTGTGATGTTTGCATCCAGCTCTCAGAGTTGAACATTCCCTTTCATAGAGTAGGTTTGAAACCCTCTTTTTATAGTGTCTGGAAGCGGGCATTTGGAGCGCTTTCAGGCCTATGCTGAAAAAGGAAATATCTACCTATAGAAACTAGACAGAAGCATTCTGAGAATCACGTTTGTGATGTGGGTACTCAACTAACAGTGTTGATCCATTCTTTTGATACAGCAGTTTTGAACCACACTTTTTGTAGAATCTGCAAGTGGATATTTGGATAGCTGTGAGGATTTCGTTGGAAACGGGAATGTCTTCATAGAAAATTTAGACAGAAGCATTCTCAGAACCTTGATTGTGATGTGTGTTCTCCACTAACAGAGTTGAACCTTTCTTTAGACACAACTGTTCTGAAACATTCTTTTTATAGAATCTGGAAGTGGATATTTGGAAAGCTTTGAGGATTTCGTTGGAAACGGGAATATCTTCAAATCAAATCTAGCCAGAAGCATTCTAAGAAACATCTTAGGGATGTTTACATTCAAGTCACAGAGTTGAACATTCCCTTTCACAGAGCAGGTTTGAAACAATCTTCTCGTACTATCTGGCAGTGGACATTTTGAGCTCCTTGGGGCCTATGCTGAAAAAGGAAATATCTTCCGACAAAAACTAGACAGAAGCATTCGCAGAATCACGTTTGTGATGTGTGCACTCAACTGTCAGAATTGAACCTTGGTTTGGAGAGAGCACTTTTGAAACACACTTTTTGTAGAATCTGCAGGTGGATATTTGGCTAGCTTTGAGGATTTCGTTGGAAACGGTAATGTCTTCAAAGAAAATACTAGACAGAAGCATTCTCAGAAACACCTTCGTGATGTTTGCAATCAAGTCACAGAGTTGAACCTTCCGTTTCATAGAGCAGGTTGGAAACACTCTTATTGTAGTATCTGGAAGTGGACATTTGGAGCGCTTTCAGGCCTATGGTGAAAAAGGAAATATCTTCCCATAAAAACGACATAGAAGCTATCTCAGGAACTTGTTTATGATGCATCTAATCAACTAACAGTGTTGAACCTTTGTACTGACAGAGCACTTTGAAACACTCTTTTTTTGGAATCTGCAAGTGGATATTTGGATCGCTTTGAGGATTTCGTTGGAAACGGGATGCAATATAAAACGTACACAGCAGCATACTCAGAAAATACTTTGCCATATTTCCATTCAAGTCACAGAGTGGAACATTCCCATTCATAGAGCAGGTTGGAAACACTCTTTTTGGAGTATCTGGAAGTGGACATTTGGAGCGCTTTCTGAACTATGGTGAAAAAGGAAATATCTTCCAATGAAAACAAGACAGAAGCATTCTGAGAAACTTATTTGTGATGTGTGTCCTCAACAAACGGACTTGAACCTTTCGTTTCATGCAGTACTTCTGGAACACTCTTTTTGAAGATTCTGCATGCGGATATTTGGATAGCTTTGAGGATTTCGTTGGAAACGGGCTTACATGTAAAAATTAGACAGCAGCATTCTCAGAAACTTCTTTGTGGTGTCTGCATTCAAGTCACAGAATTGAACTTCCCCTCACATAGAGCAGTTGTGCAGCACTCTATTTGTAGTATCTGGAAGTGGACATTTGGAGGGCTTTGTAGCCTATCTGGAAAAAGGAAATATCTTCCCATGAATGCGAGATAGAAGTAATCTCAGAAACATGTTTATGCTGTATCTAATCAACTAACTGTGCTGAACATTTCTATTGATAGAGCAGTTTTGAGACACTCTTCTTTTGGAATCTGCAAGTGGATATTTGGATAGATTTGAGGATTTCGTTGGAAACGGGATTATATATAAAAAGTAGACAGCAGCATTCTCAGAAACTTCTTTGTGATGTTTGCATCCAGCTCTCAGAGTTGAACATTCCCTTTCATAGAGTAGGTTTGAAACCCTCTTTTTATAGTGTCTGGAAGCGGGCATTTGGAGCGCTTTCAGGCCTATGCTTAAAATAGGAAATATCTACCTACAGAAACTAGACAGAAGCATTCTGAGAATCACGTTTGTGATGTGGGTACTCAACTAACAGTGTTGATCCATTCTTTTGATACAGCAGTTTTGAACCACACTTTTTGTAGAATCTGCAAGTGGATATTTGGATAGCTGTGAGGATTTCGTTGGAAACGGGAATGTCTTCATAGAAAATGTAGACAGAAGCATTCTCAGAACCTTGATTGTGATGTGTGTTCTCCACTAACAGAGTTGAACCTTTCTTTTGACAGAACTGTTCTGAAACATTCTTTTTATAGAATCTGGAAGTGGATATTTGGAAAGCTTTGAGGATTTCGTTGGAAACGGGAATATCTTCAAATAAAATCTAGCCAGAAGCATTCTAAGAAACATCTTAGGGATGTTTACATTCAAGTCACAGAGTTGAACATTCCCTTTCACAGAGCAGGTTTGAAACAATCTTCTCGTACTATCTGGCAGTGGACATTTTGAGCTCCTTGGGGCCTATGCTGAAAAAGGAAATATCTTCCGACAAAAACTAGACAGAAGCATTCGCAGAATCACGTTTGTGATGTGTGCACTCAACTGTCAGAATTGAACCTTGGTTTGGACAGAGCACTTTTGAAACACTCTTTTTGTAGAATCTGCAGGTGGATATTTGGCTAGCTTTGAGGATTTCGTTGGAAACGGTAATGTCTTCAAAGAAAATCTAGACAGAAGCATTCTCAGAAACACCTTCGTGATGTTTGCAATCAAGTCACAGAGTTGAACCTTCCGTTTCATAGAGCAGGTTGGAAACACTCTTTTTGTAGTATCTGGAAGTGGACATTTGGAGGGCTTTGTAGCCTATCTGGAAAAAGGAAATATCTTCCCATGAATGCGAGATAGAAGTAATCTCAGAAACATGTTTATGCTGTATCTACTCAACTAACTGTGCTGAACATTTCTATTGATAGAGCAGTTTTGAGACACTCTTCTTTTGGAATCTGCAAGTGGATATTTGGATAGATTTGAGGATTTCGTTGGAAACAGGGATTATATATAAAAAGTAGACAGCAGCATTCTCAGAAACTTCTTTGTGATGTTTGCATCCAGCTCTCAGAGTTGAACATTCCCTTTCATAGAGTAGGTTTGAAACCCTCTTTTTATAGTGTCTGGAAGCGGGCATTTGGAGCGCTTTCAGGCCTATGCTTAAAATAGGAAATATCTACCTACAGAAACTAGACAGAAGCATTCTGAGAATCACGTTTGTGATGTGGGTACTCAACTAACAGTGTTGATCCATTCTTTTGATACAGCAGTTTTGAACCACACTTTTTGTAGAATCTGCAAGAGGATATTTGGAAAGCTGTGAGGATTTCGTTGGAAACGGGAATGTCTTCAAAGAAAATCTAGACTGAAGCATTCTCAGAAACACCTTCGTGATGTTTGCAATCAAGTCACAGAGTTGAACCTTCCGTTTCATAGAGCAGGTTGGAAACACTCTTTTTGTAGTTTGTGGAAGTGGACATTTGGAGCGCTTTGAGGCCTATGGTGAAAAAGGAAATATCTTCCCATAAAAACGACATAGAAGCTATCTCAGGAACTTGTTTATGATGCATCTAATCAACTAACAGTGTTGAACCTTTGTACTGACAGAGCAGTTTGAAACACTCTTTTTTTGGAATCTGCAAGTGGATATTTGGATCGCTTTGAGGATTTCGTTGGAAACGGGATGCAATATAAAACGTACACAGCAGCATACTCAGAAAATACTTTGCCATATTTCCATTCAAGTCACAGAGTGGAACATTCCCATTCATAGAGCAGGTTGGAAACACTCTTTTTGGAGTATCTGGAAGTGGACATTTGGAGCGCTTTCTGAACTATGGTGAAAAAGGAAATATCTTCCAATGAAAACAAGACAGAAGCATTCTGAGAAACTTATTTGTGATGTGTGTCCTCAACAAACGGACTTGAACCTTTCGTTTCATGCAGTACTTCTGGAACACTCTTTTTGAAGATTCTGCATGCGGATATTTGGATAGCTTTGAGGATTTCGTTGGAAACGGGCTTACATGTAAAAATTAGACAGCAGCATTCTCAGAAACTTCTTTGTGGTGTCTGCATTCAAGTCACAGAATTGAACATCCCCTCACATAGAGCAGTTGTGCAGCACTCTATTTGTAGTATCTGGAAGTGGACATTTGGAGGGCTTTGTAGCCTATCTGGAAAAAGGAAATATCTTCCCATGAATGCGAGATAGAAGTAATCTCAGAAACATGTTTATGCTGTATCTACTCAACTAACTGTGCTGAACATTTCTATTGATAGAGCAGTTTTGAGACACTCTTCTTTTGGAATCTGCAAGTGGATATTTGGATAGATTTGAGGATTTCGTTGGAAACGGGATTATATATAAAAAGTAGACAGCAGCATTCTCAGAAACTTCTTTGTGATGTTTGCATCCAGCTCTCAGAGTTGAACATTCCCTTTCATAGAGTAGGTTTGAAACCCTCTTTTTATAGTGTCTGGAAGCGGGCATTTGGAGCGCTTTCAGGCCTATGCTGAATAAGGAAATATCTACCTATAGAAACTAGACAGAAGCATTCTGAGAATCACGTTTGTGATGTGGGTACCTCAACTAACAGTGTTGATCCATTCTTTTGATACAGCAGTTTTGAACCACACTTTTTGTAGAATCTGCAAGAGGATATTTGGATAGCTGTGAGGATTTCGTTGGAAACGGGGATGTCTTCAAAGAAAATCTAGACAGAAGCATTCTTAGAACCTTGATTGTGATGTGTGTTCTCCACTAACAGGGTTGAACCTTTCTTTTGACAGAACTGTTCTGAAACATTCTTTTTATAGAATCTGGAAGTGGATATTTGGAAAGCTTTGAGGATTTCGTTGGAAACGGGAATATCTTCAAATAAAATCTAGCCAGAAGCATTCTAAGAAACATCTTAGGGATGTTTACATTCAAGTCACAGAGTTGAACATTCCCTTTCACAGAGCAGGTTTGAAACAATCTTCTCGTACTATCTGGAAGTGGACATTTTGAGCTCCTTGGGGCCTATGCTGAGAAAGGAAATATCTTCCGACAAAAACTAGACAGAAGCATTCGCAGAATCACGTTTGTGATGTGTGCACTCAACTGTCAGAATTGAACCTTTGTTTGGACAGAGCACTTTTGAAACACTCTTTTTGTAGAATCTGCAGGTGGATATTTGGCTAGCTTTGAGGATTTCGTTGGAAACGGTAATGTCTTCAAAGAAAATCTAGACAGAAACATTCTCAGAAACACCTTCGTGATGTTTGCAATCAAGTCACAGAGTTGAACCTTCCGTTTCATAGAGCAGGTTGGAAACACTCTTTTTGTAGTATCTGGAAGTGGACATTTGGAGCGCTTTCAGGCCTATGGTGAGAAAGGAAATATCTTCCCATAAAAACGACATAGAAGCTATCTCAGGAACTTGTTTATGATGCATCCAATCAACTAACAGTGTTGAACCTTTGTACTGACAGAGCAGTGTGAAACACTCTTTTTTTTGGAATCTGCAAGTGGATATTTGGATCGCTTTGAGGATTTCGTTGGAAACGGGATGCAATATAAAACGTACACAGCAGCATACTCAGAAAATACGTTGCCATATTTCCATTCAAGTCACAGAGTGGAACATTCCCATTCATAGAGCAGGTAGGAAACACTCTTTTTGTAGTATGTGGAAGTGGACATTTGGAGGGCTTTCTGAACTATGGTGAAAAAGGAAATATCTTCCAATGAAAACAAGACAGAAGCATTCTGAGAAACTTATTTGTGATGTGTGTCCTCAACTAACGGACTTGAACCTTTCGTTTCATGCACTACTTCTGGAACACTCTTTTTGAAGATTCTGCATGCGGATCTTTGGATAGCTTTGAGGATTTCGTTGGAAACGGGCTTACATATAAAAATTAGACAGCAGCATTCTCAGAAACTTCTTTGTGGTGTCTGCATTCAAGTCACAGAATTGAACATCCCCTCACATAGAGCAGTTGTGCAGCACTCTATTTGTAGTATCTCGAAGTGGACATTTGGAGGGCTTTGTAGCCTATCTGGAAAAAGGAAATATCTTCCCATGAATGCGAGATAGAAGTAATCTCAGAAACATGTTTATGCTGTATCTACTCAACTAACTGTGCTGAACATTTCTATTGATAGAGCAGTTTTGAGACACTCTTCTTTTGGAATCTGCAAGTGGATATTTGGATAGATTTGAGGATTTCGTTGGAAACGGGATTATATATAAAAAGTAGACAGCCGCATTCTCAGAAACTTCTTTGTGATGTTTGCATCCAGCTCTCAGAGTTGAACATTCTCTTTCGTAGAGTAGGTTTGAAACCCTCTTTTTATAGTGTGTGGAAGCGGGCATTTGGAGCGCTTTCAGGCCTATGCTGAAAAAGGAAATATCTACCTATAGAAACTAGACAGAAGCATTCTGAGAATCACGTTTGTGATGTGGGTACTCAACTAACAGTGTTGATCCATTCTTTTGATACAGCAGTTTTGAACCACACTTTTTGTAGAATCTGCAAGTGGATATTTGGATAGCTGTGAGGATTTCCTTGGAAACGGGAATGCCTTCATAGAAAATTTAGACAGAAGCATTCTCAGAACCTTGATTGTGATGTGTGTTCTCCACTAACAGTGTTGAACCTTTCTTTTGACAGAACTGTTCTGAAACATTCTTTTTATAGAATCTGCAAGTGGATATTTGGATCGCTTTGAGTATTTCGTTGGAAACGGGATGCAATATAAAACGTACACAGCAGCATTCTAATAAACATCTTAGGGGATGTTTACATTCAAGTCACAGAGTCGAACATTCCCTTTCGCAGAGCAGGTTTGAAACAATCTTCTCGTACTATCTGGAAGTGGACATTTTGAGCTCCTTGGGGCCTATGCTGAAAAAGGAAATATCTTCCGACAAAAACTAGACAGAAGCATTCGCAGAATCACGTTTGTGATGTGTGCACTCAACTGTCAGAATTGAACCTTTGTTTGGACAGAGCACTTTTGAAACACTCTTTTTGTAGAATCTGCAGGTGGATATTTGGCTAGCTTTGAGGATTTCGTTGGAAACGGTAATGTCTTCAAAGAAAATCTAGACAGAAACATTCTCAGAAACACCTTCGTGATGTTTGCAATCAAGTCACAGAGTTGAACCTTCCGTTTCATAGAGCAGGTTGGAAACACTCTTTTTGTAGTATCTGGAAGTGGACATTTGGAGCGCTTTCAGGCCTATGGTGAGAAAGGAAATATCTTCCCATAACAACGACATAGAAGCTATCTCAGGAACTTGTTTATGATGCATCCAATCAACTAACAGTGTTGAACCTTTGTACTGACAGAGCAGTGTGAAACACTCTTTTTTTTGGAATCTGCAAGTGGATATTTGGATCGCTTTGAGGATTTCGTTGGAAACGGGATGCAATATAAAACGTACACAGCAGCATACTCAGAAAATACTTTGCCATATTTCCATTCAAGTCACAGAGTGGAACATTCCCATTCATAGAGCAGCTTGGAAACACTCTTTTTGTAGTATCTGGAAGTGGACATTTGGAGCGCTTTCTGAACTATGGTGAAAAAGGAAATATCTTCCAATGAAAACAAGACAGAAAGCATTCTGAGCAAACTTATTTGTGATGTGTGTCCTCAACAAACGGACTTGAACCTTTCGTTTCATGCAGTACTTCTGGAACACTCTTTTTGAAGATTCTGCATGCGGATATTTGGATAGCTTTGAGGATTTCGTTGGAAACGGGCTTACATGTAAAAATTAGACAGCAGCATTCTCAGAAACTTCTTTGTGGTGTCTGCATTCAAGTCACAGAATTGAACATCCCCTCACATAGAGCAGCTGTGCAGCACTCTATTTGTAGTATCTCGAAGTGGACATTTGGAGGGCTTTGTAGCCTATCTGGAAAAAGGAAATATCTTCCCATGAATGCGAGATAGAAGTAATCTCAGAAACATGTTTATGCTGTATCTACTCAACTAACTGTGCTGAACATTTCTATTGATAGAGCAGTTTTGAGACACTCTTCTTTTGGAATCTGCAAGTGGATATTTGGATAGATTTGAGGATTTCCTTGGAAACGGGATTCTATATCAAAAGTAGACAGCAGCATTCTCAGAAACTTCTTTGTGATGTTTGCATCCAGCTCTCAGAGTTGAACATTCCCTTTCGTAGAGTAGGTTTGAAACCCTCTTTTTATAGTGTCTGGAAGCGGGCATTTGGAGCGCTTTCAGGCCTATGCTGAAAAAGGAAATATCTACCTATAGAAAGTAGACAGAAGCATTCTGAGAATCACGTTTGTGATGTGGGTACTCAACTAACAGTGTTGATCCATTCTTTTGATACAGCAGTTTTGAACCACACTTTTTGTAGAATCTGCAAGTGGATATTTGGATAGCTGTGAGGATTTCCTTGGAAACGGGAATGTCTTCATAGAAAATTTAGACAGAAGCATTCTCAGAACCTTGATTGTGATGTGTGTTCTCCACTAACAGGGTTGAACCTTTCTTTTGACAGAACTGTTTTGAAACATTCTTTTTATAGAATCTGGAAGTGGATATTTGGAAAGCTTTGAGGATTTCATTGTAAACGGGAATATCTTCAAATCAAATCTAGCCAGAAGCATTCTAAGAAACATCTTAGGGATGTTTACATTCAAGTCACAGGGTTGAACATTCCCTTTCACAGAGCAGGTTTGAAACAATCTTCTCGTACTATCTGGAAGTGGACATTTTGAGCTCCTTGGGGCCTATGCTGAAAAAGGAAATATCTTCCGACAAAAACTAGACAGAAACATTCGCAGAATCACGTTTGTGATGTGTGCACTCAACTGTCAGAATTGAACCTTTGTTTGGACAGAGCACTTTTGAAACACTCTTTTTGTAGAATCTGCAGGTGGATATTTGACTAGCTTTGAGGATTTCGTTGGAAACGGTAATGTCTTCAAAGAAAATCTAGACAGAAACATTCTCAGAAACACCTTCGTGATGTTTGCAATCAAGTCACAGAGTTGAACCTTCCGTTTCATAGAGCAGGTTGGAAACACTCTTTTTGTAGTATCTGGAAGTGGACATTTGGAGCGCTTTCAGGCCTATGGTGAAAAAGGAAATATCTTCCCATAAAAACGACATAGAAGCTATCTCAGGAACTTGTTTATGATGCATCCAATCAACTAACAGTGTTGAACCTTTGTACTGACAGAGCAGTGTGAAACACTCTTTTTTTTGGAATCTGCAAGTGGATATTTGGATCGCTTTGAGGATTTCGTTGGAAACGGGATGCAATATAAAACGTACACAGCAGCATACTCAGAAAATACTTTGCCATATTTCCATTCAAGTCACAGAGTGGAACATTCCCATTCATAGAGCAGGTTGGAAACACTCCTTTTGTAGTATCTGGAAGTGGACATTTGGAGCGCTTTCTGAACTATGGTGAAAAAGGAAATATCTTCGAATGAAAACAAGACAGAAGCATTCTGAGAAACTTATTTGTGATGTGTGTCCTCAACTAACGGACTTGAACCTTTCGTTTCATGCAGTATTTCTGGAACACTCTTTTTGAAGATTCTGCATGCGGATATTTGGATAGCTTTGAGGATTTCTTTGGAAACGGGCTTACATATAAAAATTAGACAGCAGCATTCTCAGAAACTTCTTTGTGGTGTCTGCATTCAAGTCACAGAATTGAACATCCCCTCACATAGAGCAGTTGTGCAGCACTCTATTTGTAGTATCTCGAAGTGGACATTTGGAGGGCTTTGTAGCCTATCTGGAAAAAGGAAATATCTTCCCATGAATGCGAGATAGAAGTAATCTCAGAAACATGTTTATGCTGTATCTACTCAACTAACTGTGCTGAACATTTCTATTGATAGAGCAGTTTTGAGACACTCTTCTTTTGGAATCTGCAAGTGGATATTTGGATAGATTTGAGGATTTCGTTGGAAACGGGATTATATATAAAAAGTAGACAGCAGCATTCTCAGAAACTTCTTTGTGATGTTTGCATCCAGCTCTCAGAGTTGAACATTCCCTTTCATAGAGTAGGTTTGAAACCCCCTTTTTATAGTGTCTGGAAGCGGGCATTTGGAGCGCTTTCAGGCCTATGCTGAAAAAGGAAATATCTACCTACAGAAACTAGACAGAAGCATTCTGAGAATCACGTTTGTGATGTGGGTACTCAACTAACAGTGTTGATCCATTCTTTTGATACAGCAGTTTTGAACCACACTTTTTGTAGAATCTGCAAGTGGATATTTGGATAGCTGTGAGGATTTCGTTGGAAACGGGAATGTCTTCATAGAAAATTTAGACAGAAGCATTCTCAGAACCTTGATTGTGATGTGTGTTCTCCACTAACAGAGTTCAACCTTTCTTTTGACAGAACTGTTCTGAAACATTCTTTTTATAGAATCTGGAAGTGGATATTTGGAAAGCTTTGAGGATTTCATTGGAAACGGGAATATCTTCAAATAAAATCTAGCCAGAAGCATTCTAAGAAACATCTTAGGGATGTTTACATTCAAGTCACAGAGTTGAACATTCCCTTTCACAGAGCAGGTTTGAAACAATCTTCTCGTACTATCTGGCAGTGGACATTTTGAGCTCCTTGGGGCCTATGCTGAAAAAGGAAATATCTTCCGACAAAAACTAGACAGAAGCATTCGCAGAATCACGTTTGTGATGTGTGCACTCAACTGTCAGAATTGAACCTTTGTTTGGACAGAGCACTTTTGAAACACTCTTTTTGTAGGATCTGCAGGTGGATATTTGGCTACCTTTGAGGATTTCGTTGGAAACGGTAATGTCTTCAAAGAAAATCTAGACAGAAACATCCTCTGAAACACCTTCGTGATGTTTGCAATCAAGTCACAGTAGTTGAACCTTCCGTTTCATGGAGCAGGTTTGAAACACTCATTTTGTAGTATCTGGAAGTGGACATTTGGAGCGCTTTCAGGCCTATGGTGTAAAAGGAAATATCTTCCCATAAAAGCGACATAGAAGCTATCTCAGGAACTTGTTTATGATGCATCTAATCAACTAACAGTGTTGAACCTTTGTACTGACAGAGCAGTTTGAAACACTCTTTTTTTGGAATCTGCAAGTGGATATTTGGATCGCTTTGAGGATTTCGTTGGAAACGGGATGCAATATAAAACGTACACAGCAGCATACTCAGAAAATACTTTGCCATATTTCCATTCAAGTCACAGAGTGGAACATTCCCATTCATAGAGCAGGTTGGAAACACTCTTTTTGGAGTATCTGGAAGTGGACATTTGGAGCGCTTTCTGAACTATGGTGAAAAAGGAAATATCTTCCAATGAAAACAAGACAGAAGCATTCTGAGAAACTTATTTGTGATGTGTGTCCTCAACAAACGGACTTGAACCTTTCGTTTCATGCAGTACTTCTGGAACACTCTTTTTGAAGATTCTGCATGCGGATATTTGGATAGCTTTGAGGATTTCGTTGGAAACGGGCTTACATGTAAAAATTAGACAGCAGCATTCTCAGAAACTTCTTTGTGGTGTCTGCATTCAAGTCACAGAATTGAACTTCCCCCTCACATAGAGCAGTTGTGCAGCACTCTATTTGTAGTATCTGGAAGTGGACATTTGGAGGGCTTTGTAGCCTATCTGGAAAAAGGAAATATCTTCCCATGAATGCGAGATAGAAGTAATCTCAGAAACATGTTTATGCTGTATCTACTCAACTAACTGTGCTGAACATTTCTATTGATAGAGCAGTTTTGAGACACTCTTCTTTTGGAATCTGCAAGTGGATATTTGGATAGATTTGAGGATTTCGTTGGAAACGGGATTATATATAAAAAGTAGACAGCAGCATTCTCAGAAACTTCTTTGTGATGTTTGCATCCAGCTCTCAGAGTTGAACATTCCCTTTCATAGAGTAGGTTTGAAACCCTCTTTTTATAGTGTCTGGAAGCGGGCATTTGGAGAGCTTTCAGGCCTATGCTGAAAAAGGAAATATCTACCTATAGAAACTAGACAGAAGCATTCTGAGAATCACGTTTCTGATGTGGGTACTCAACTAACAGTGTTGATCCATTCTTTTGATACAGCAGTTTTGAACCACACTTTTTGTAGAATGTGCAAGTGGATATTTGGATAGCTGTGAGGATTTCGTTGGAAACGGGAATGTCTTCATAGAAAATTTAGACAGAAGCATTCTCAGAACCTTGATTGTGATGTGTGTTCTCCACTAACAGAGTTGAACCTTTCTTTTGACAGAACTGTTCTGAAACATTCTTTTTATAGAATCTGGAAGTGGATATTTGGAAAGCTTTGAGGATTTCATTGGAAACGGGAATATCTTCAAATCAAATCTAGCCAGAAGCATTCTAAGAAACATCTTAGGGATGTTTACATTCAAGTCACAGAGTTGAACATTCCCTTTCACAGAGCAGGTTTGAAACAATCTTCTCGTACTATCTGGCAGTGGACATTTTGAGCTCCTTGGGGCCTATGCTGAAAAAGGAAATATCTTCCGACAAAAACTAGACAGAAGCATTCGCAGAATCACGTTTGTGATGTGTGCACTCAACTGTCAGAATTGAACCTTGGTTTGGACAGAGCACTTTTGAAACACTCTTTTTGTAGAATCTGCAGGTGGATATTTGGCTAGCTTTGAGGATTTCGTTGGAAACGGTAATGTCTTCAAAGAAAATCTAGACAGAAGCATTCTCAGAAACACCTTCGTGATGTTTGCAATCAAGTCACAGAGTTGAACCTTCCGTTTCATAGAGCAGGTTGGAAACACTCTTTTTGTAGTATCTGGAAGTGGACATTGGGAGGGCTTTGTAGCCTATGTGGAAAAAGGAAATATCTTCCCATGAATGCGAGATAGAAGTAATCTCAGAAACATGTTTATGCTGTATCTACTCAACTAACTGTGCTGAACATTTCTATTGATAGAGCAGTTTTGAGACACTCTTCTTTTGGAATCTGCAAGTGGATATTTGGATAGATTTGAGGATTTCGTTGGAAACGGGATTATATATAAAAAGTAGACAGCAGCATTCTCAGAAACTTCTTTGTGATGTTTGCATCCAGCTCTCAGAGTTGAACATTCCCTTTCATAGAGTAGGTTTGAAACCCTCTTTTTATAGTGTCTGGAAGCGGGCATTTGGAGCGCTTTCAGGCCTATGCTGAAAAAGGAAATATCTACCTATAGAAACTAGACAGAAGCATTCTGAGAATCACGTTTGTGATGTGGGTACTCAACTAACAGTGTTGATCCATTCTTTTGATACAGCAGTTTTGAACCACACTTTTTGTAGAATCTGCAAGTGGATATTTGGATAGCTGTGAGGATTTCGTTGGAAACGGGAATGTCTTCATAGAAAATTTAGACAGAAGCATTCTCAGAACCTTGATTGTGATGTGTGTTCTCCACTAACAGAGTTGAACCTTTCTTTTGACAGAACTGTTCTGAAACATTCTTTTTATAGAATCTGGAAGTGGATATTTGGAAAGCTTTGAGGATTTCGTTGGAAACGGGAATATCTTCAAATAAAATCTAGCCAGAAGCATTCTAAGAAACATCTTAGGGATGTTTACATTCAAGTCACAGAGTTGAACATTCCCTTTCACAGAGCAGGTTTGAAACAATCTTCTCGTACTATCTGGCAGTGGACATTTTGAGCTCCTTGGGGCCTATGCTGAAAAAGGAAATATCTTCCGACAAAAACTAGACAGAAGCATTTGCAGAATCACGTTTGTGATGTGTGCACTCAACTGTCAGAATTGAACCTTGGTTTGGACAGAGCACTTTTGAAACACTCTTTTTGTAGAATCTGCAGGTGGATATTTGGCTAGCTTTGAGGATTTCGTTGGAAACGGTAATGTCTTCAAAGAAAATCTAGACAGAAGCATTCTCAGAAACACCTTCGTGATGTTTGCAATCAAGTCACAGAGTTGAACCTTCCGTTTCATAGAGCAGGTTGGAAACACTCTTTTTGTAGTATCTGGAAGTGGACATTTGGAGGGCTTTTTAGCCTATCTGGAAAAAGGAAATATCTTCCCATGAATGCGAGATAGAAGTAATCTCAGAAACATGTTTATGCTGTATCTACTCAACTAACTGTGCTGAGCATTTCTATTGATAGAGCAGTTTTGAGACACTCTTCTTTTGGAATCTGCAAGTGGATATTTGGATAGATTTGAGGATTTCGTTGGAAACGGGATTATATATAAAAAGTAGACAGCAGCATTCTCAGAACTTCTTTGTGATGTTTGCATCCAGCTCTCAGAGTTGAACATTCCCTTTCATAGAGTAGGTTTGAAACCCTCTTTTTATAGTGTCTGGAAGCGGGCATTTGGAGCGCTTTCAGGCCTATGCTGAAAAAGGAAATATCTACCTATAGAAACTAGACAGAAGCATTCTGAGAATCACGTTTGTGATGTGGGTACTCAACTAACAGTGTTGATCCATTCTTTTGATACAGCAGTTTTGAACCACACTTTTTGTAGAATCTGCAAGTGGATATTTGGATAGCTGTGAGGATTTCGTTGGAAACGGGAATGTCTTCATAGAAAATTTAGACAGAAGCATTCTCAGAACCTTGATTGTGGTGTGTGTTCTCCACTAACAGAGTTGAACCTTTCTTTTGACAGAACTGTTCTGAAACATTCTTTTTATAGAATCTGGAAGTGGATATTTGGAAAGCTTTGAGGATTTCATTGGAAACGGGAATATCTTCAAATAAAATCTAGCCAGAAGCATTCTAAGAAACATCTTAGGGATGTTTACATTCAAGTCACAGAGTTGAACATTCCCTTTCACAGAGCAGGTTTGAAACAATCTTCTCGTACTATCTGGCAGTGGACATTTTGAGCTCCTTGGGGCCTATGCTGAAAAAGGAAATATCTTCCGACAAAAACTAGACAGAAGCATTCGCAGAATCACGTTTGTGATGTGTGCACTCAACTGTCAGAATTGAACCTTGGTTTGGACAGAGCACTTTTGAAACACTCTTTTTGTAGAATCTGCAGGTGGATATTTGGCTAGCTTTGAGGATTTCGTTGGAAACGGTAATGTCTTCAAAGAAAATCTAGACAGAAGCATTCTCAGAAACACCTTCGTGATGTTTGCAATCAAGTCACAGAGTTGAACCTTCCGTTTCATAGAGCAGGTTGGAAACACTCTTTTTGTAGTATCTGGAAGTGGACATTTGGAGCGCTTTCAGGCCTATGGTGAAAAAGGAAATATCTTCCCATAAAAACGACATGGAAGCTATCTCAGGAACTTGTTTATGATGCATCTAATCAACTAACAGTGTTGAACCTTTGTACTGACAGAGCAGTTTGAAACACTCTTTTTTTGGAATCTGCAAGTGGATATTTGGATCGCTTTGAGGATTTCGTTGGAAACGGGATGCAATATAAAACGTACACAGCAGCATACTCAGAAAATACTTTGCCATATTTCCATTCAAGTCACAGAGTGGAACATTCCCATTCATAGAGCAGGTTGGAAACACTCTTTTTGGAGTATCTGGAAGTGGACATTTGGAGCGCTTTCTGAACTATGGTGAAAAAGGAAATATCTTCCAATGAAAACAAGACAGAAGCATTCTGAGAAACTTATTTGTGATGTGTGTCCTCAACAAACGGACTTGAACCTTTCGTTTCATGCAGTACTTCTGGAACACTCTTTTTGAAGATTCTGCATGCGGATATTTGGATAGCTTTGAGGATTTCGTTGGAAACGGGCTTACATGTAAAAATTAGACAGCAGCATTTTCAGAAACTTCTTTGTGGTGTCTGCATTCAAGTCACAGAATTGAACTTCCCCTCACATAGAGCAGTTGTGCAGCACTCTATTTGTAGTATCTGGAAGTGGACATTTGGAGGGCTTTGTAGCCTATCTGGAAAAAGGAAATATCTTCCCATGAATGCGAGATAGAAGTAATCTCAGAAACATGTTTATGCTGTATCTACTCAACTAACTGTGCTGAACATTTCTATTGATAGAGCAGTTTTGAGACACTCTTCTTTTGGAATCTGCAAGTGGATATTTGGATAGATTTGAGGATTTCGTTGGAAACGGGATTATATATCAAAAGCAGACAGCAGCATTCTCAGAAACTTCTTTGTGATGTTTGCATCCAGCTCTCAGAGTTGAACATTCCCTTTCATAGAGTAGGTTTGAAACCCTCTTTTTATAGTGTCTGGAAGCGGGCATTTGGAGCGCTTTCAGGCCTATGCTGAAAAAGGAAATATCTACCTATAGAAACTAGACAGAAGCATTCTGAGAATCACGTTTGTGATGTGGGTACTCAACTAACAGTGTTGATCCATTCTTTTGATACAGCAGTTTTGAACCACACTTTTTGTAGAATCTGCAAGTGGATATTTGGATAGCTGTGAGGATTTCCTTGGAAACGGGAATGTCTTCATAGAAAATTTAGACAGAAGCATTCTCAGAACCTTGATTGTGATGTGTGTTCTCCACTAACAGGGTTGAACCTTTCTTTTGACAGAACTGTTCTGAAACATTCTTTGTATAGAATCTGGAAGTGGATATTTGGAAAGCTTTGAGGATTTCGTTGGAAACGGGAATATCTTCAAATCAAATCTAGCCAGAAAGCATTCTAAGAAACATCTTAGGGATGTTTACATTCAAGTCACAGAGTTGAACATTCCCTTTCACAGAGCAGGTTTGAAACAATCTTCTCGTAGTATCTGGAAGTGGACATTTTGAGCTCCTTGGGGCCTATGCTGAAAAAGGAAATATCTTCCGACAAAAACTAGACAGAAGCATTCGCAGAATCACGTTTGTGATGTGTGCACTCAACTGTCAGAATTGAACCTTGGTTTGGACAGAGCACTTTTGAAACACTCTTTTTGTAGAATCTGCAGGTGGATATTTGGCTAGCTTTGAGGATTTCGTTGGAAACGGTAATGTCTTCAAAGAAAATCTAGACAGAAGCATTCTCAGAAACACCTTCGTGATGTTTGCAATCAAGTCACAGAGTTGAACCTTCCGTTTCATAGAGCAGGTTGGAAACACTCTTTTTGTAGTATCTGGAAGTGGACATTTGGAGGGCTTTGTAGCCTATCTGGAAAAAGGAAATATCTTCCCATGAATGCGAGATAGAAGTAATCTCAGAAACATGTTTATGCTGTATCTACTCAACTAACTGTGCTGAACATTTCTATTGATAGAGCAGTTTTGAGACACTCTTCTTTTGGAATCTGCAAGTGGATATTTGGATAGATTTGAGGATTTCGTTGGAAACGGGATTATATATAAAAAGTAGACAGCAGCATTCTCAGAAACTTCTTTGTGATGTTTGCATCCAGCTCTCAGAGTTGAACATTCCCTTTCATAGAGTAGGTTTGAAACCCTCTTTTTATAGTGTCTGGAAGCGGGCATTTGGAGCGCTTTCAGGCCTATGCTGAAAAAGGAAATATCTACCTATAGAAACTAGACAGAAGCATTCTGAGAATCACGTTTGTGATGTGGGTACTCAACTAACAGTGTTGATCCATTCTTTTGATACAGCAGTTTTGAACCACACTTTTTGTAGAATCTGCAAGTGGATATTTGGATAGCTGTGAGGATTTCGTTGGAAACGGGAATGTCTTCATAGAAAATTTAGACAGAAGCATTCTCAGAACCTTGATTGTGATGTGTGTTCTCCACTAACAGAGTTGAACCTTTCTTTTGACAGAACTGTTCTGAAACATTCTTTTTATAGAATCTGGAAGTGGATATTTGGAAAGCTTTGAGGATTTCGTTGGAAACGGGAATATCTTCAAATCAAATCTAGCCAGAAGCATTCTAAGAAACATCTTAGGGATGTTTACATTCAAGTCACAGAGTTGAACATTCCCTTTCACAGAGCAGGTTTGAAACAATCTTCTCGTACTATCTGGCAGTGGACATTTTGAGCTCCTTGGGGCCTATGCTGAAAAAGGAAATATCTTCCGACAAAAACTAGACAGAAGCATTCGCAGAATCACGTTTGTGATGTGTGCACTCAACTGTCAGAATTGAACCTTGGTTTGGACAGAGCACTTTTGAAACACTCTTTTTGTAGAATCTGCAGGTGGATATTTGGCTAGCTTTGAGGATTTCGTTGGAAACGGTAATGTCTTCAAAGAAAATCTAGACAGAAGCATTCTCAGAAACACCTTCGTGATGTTTGCAATCAAGTCACAGAGTTGAACCTTCCGTTTCATAGAGCAGGTTGGAAACACTCTTTTTGTAGTATCTGGAAGTGGACATTTGGAGGGCTTTGTAGCCTATGTGGAAAAAGGAAATATCTTCCCATGAATGCGAGATAGAAGTAATCTCAGAAACATGTTTATGCTGTATCTACTCAACTAACTGTGCTGAACATTTCTATTGATAGAGCAGTTTTGAGACACTCTTCTTTTGGAATCTGCAAGTGGATATTTGGATAGATTTGAGGATTTCGTTGGAAACGGGATTATATATCAAAAGTAGACAGCAGCATTCTCAGAAACTTCTTTGTGATGTTTGCATCCAGCTCTCAGAGTTGAACATTCCCTTTCATAGAGTAGGTTTGAAACCCTCTTTTTATAGTGTCTGGAAGCGGGCATTTGGAGCGCTTTCAGGCCTATGCTGAAAAAGGAAATATCTACCTATAGAAACTAGACAGAAGCATTCTGAGAATCACGTTTGTGATGTGGGTACTCAACTAACAGTGTTGATCCATTCTTTTGATACAGCAGTTTTGAACCACACTTTTTGTAGAATCTGCAAGTGGATATTTGGATAGCTGTGAGGATTTCGTTGGAAACGGGAATGTCTTCATAGAAAATTAGACAGAAGCATTCTCAGAACCTTGATTGTGATGTGTGTTCTCCACTAACAGAGTTGAACCTTTCTTTTGACAGAACTGTTCTGAAACATTCTTTTTATAGAATCTGGAAGTGGATATTTGGAAAGCTTTGAGGATTTCGTTGGAAACGGGAATATCTTCAAATAAAATCTAGCCAGAAGCATTCTAAGAAACATCTTAGGGATGTTTACATTCAAGTCACAGAGTTGAACATTCCCTTTCACAGAGCAGGTTTGAAACAATCTTCTCGTACTATCTGGCAGTGGACATTTTGAGCTCCTTGGGGCCTATGCTGAAAAAGGAAATATCTTCCGACAAAAACTAGACAGAAGCATTCGCAGAATCACGTTTGTGATGTGTGCACTCAACTGTCAGAATTGAACCTTGGTTTGGACAGAGCACTTTTGAAACACTCTTTTTGTAGAATCTGCAGGTGGATATTTGGCTAGCTTTGAGGATTTCGTTGGAAACGGTAATGTCTTCAAAGAAAATCTAGACAGAAGCATTCTCAGAAACACCTTCGTGATGTTTGCAATCAAGTCACAGAGTTGAACCTTCCGTTTCATAGAGCAGGTTGGAAACACTCTTTTTGTAGTATCTGGAAGTGGACATTTGGAGGGCTTTGTAGCCTATCTGGAAAAAGGAAATATCTTCCCATGAATGCGAGATAGAAGTAATCTCAGAAACATGTTTATGCTGTATCTACTCAACTAACTGTGCTGAACATTTCTATTGATAGAGCAGTTTTGAGACACTCTTCTTTTGGAATCTGCAAGTGGATATTTGGATAGATTTGAGGATTTCGTTGGAAACGGGATTATATATCAAAAGTAGACAGCAGCATTCTCAGAAACTTCTTTGTGATGTTTGCATCCAGCTCTCAGAGTTGAACATTCCCTTTCATAGAGTAGGTTTGAAACCCTCTTTTTATAGTGTCTGGAAGCGGGCATTTGGAGCGCTTTCAGGCCTATGCTGAAAAAGGAAATATCTACCTATAGAAACTAGACAGAAGCATTCTGAGAATCACGTTTGTGATGTGGGTACTCAACTAACAGTGTTGATCCATTCTTTTGATACAGCAGTTTTGAACCACACTTTTTGTAGAATCTGCAAGTGGATATTTGGATAGCTGTGAGGATTTCGTTGGAAACGGGAATGTCTTCATAGAAAATTTAGACAGAAGCATTCTCAGAACCTTGATTGTGATGTGTGTTCTCCACTAACAGAGTTGAACCTTTCTTTTGACAGAACTGTTCTGAAACATTCTTTTTATAGAATCTGGAAGTGGATATTTGGAAAGCTTTGAGGATTTCGTTGGAAACGGGAATATCTTCACATAAAATCTAGCCAGAAAGCATTCTAAGAAACATCTTAGGGATGTTTACATTCAAGTCACAGAGTTGAACATTCCCTTTCACAGAGCAGGTTTGAAACAATCTTCTCGTACTATCTGGCAGTGGACATTTTGAGCTCCTTGGGGCCTATGCTGAAAAAGGAAATATCTTCCGACAAAAACTAGACAGAAGCATTCGCAGAATCACGTTTGTGATGTGTGCACTCAACTGTCAGAATTGAACCTTGGTTTGGACAGAGCACTTTTGAAACACTCTTTTTGTAGAATCTGCAGGTGGATATTTGGCTAGCTTTGAGGATTTCGTTGGAAACGGTAATGTCTTCAAAGAAAATCTAGACAGAAGCATTCTCAGAAACACCTTCGTGATGTTTGCAATCAAGTCACAGAGTTGAACCTTCCGTTTCATAGAGCAGGTTGGAAACACACTTTTTGTAGTATCTGGAAGTGGACATTTGGAGGGCTTTGTAGCCTATCTGGAAAAAGGAAATATCTTCCCATGAATGCGAGATAGAAGCTATCTCAGGCAACTTGTTTATGATGCATCTAATCAACTAACAGTGTTGAACCTTTGTACTGACAGAGCAGTTTGAAACACTCTTTTTTTGGAATCTGCAAGTGGATATTTGGATCGCTTTGAGGATTTCGTTGGAAACGGGATGCAATAAAAAACGTACACAGCAGCATACTCAGAAAATACTTTGCCATATTTCCATTCAAGTCACAGAGTGGAACATTCCCATTCATAGAGCAGGTTGGAAACACTCTTTTTGGAGTATCTGGAAGTGGACATTTGGAGCGCTTTCTGAACTATGGTGAAAAAGGAAATATCTTCCAATGAAAACAAGACAGAAGCATTCTGAGAAACTTATTTGTGATGTGTGTCCTCAACAAACGGGACTTGAACCTTTCGTTTCATGCAGTACTTCTGGAACACTCTTTTTGAAGATTCTGCATGCGGATATTTGGATAGCTTTGAGGATTTCGTTGGAAACGGGCTTACATGTAAAAATTAGACAGCAGCATTCTCAGAAACTTCTTTGTGGTGTCTGCATTCAAGTCACAGAATTGAACATCCCCTCACATAGAGCAGTTGTGCAGCACTCTATTTGTAGTATCTGGAAGTGGACATTTGGAGGGCTTTGTAGCCTATCTGGAAAAAGGAAATATCTTCCCATGAATGCGAGATAGAAGTAATCTCAGAAACATGTTTATGCTGTATCTACTCAACTAACTGTGCTGAACATTTCTATTGATAGAGCAGTTTTCAGACACTCTTCTTTTGGAATCTGCAAGTGGATATTTGGATAGATTTGAGGATTTCGTTGGAAACGGGATTATATATAAAAAGTAGACAGCAGCATTCTCAGAAACTTCTTTGTGATGTTTGCATCCAGCTCTCAGAGTTGAACATTCCCTTTCATAGAGTAGGTTTGAAACCCTCTTTTTATAGTGTCTGGAAGCGGGCATTTGGAGCGCTTTCAGGCCTATGCTGAAAAAGGAAATATCTACCTATAGAAACTAGACAGAAGCATTCTGAGAATCACGTTTGTGATGTGGGTACTCAACTAACAGTGTTGATCCATTCTTTTGATACAGCAGTTTTGAACCACCCTTTTTGTAGAATCTGCAAGTGGATATTTGGATAGCTGTGAGGATTTCGTTGGAAACGGGAATGTCTTCATAGAAAATTTAGACAGAAGCATTCTCAGAACCTTGATTGTGATGTGTGTTCTCCACTAACAGAGTTGAACCTTTCTTTTGACAGAACTGTTCTGAAACATTCTTTTTATAGAATCTGGAAGTGGATATTTGGAAAGCTTTGAGGATTTCGTTGGAAACGGGAATATCTTCAAATCAAATCTAGCCAGAAGCATTCTAAGAAACAACTTAGGGATGTTTACATTCAAGTCACAGAGTTGAACATTCCCTTTCACAGAGCAGGTTTGAAACAATCTTCTCGTACTATCTGGAAGTGGACATTTTGAGCTCCTTGGGGCCTATGCTGAAAAAGGAAATATCTTCCGACAAAAACTAGACAGAAGCATTCGCAGAATCACGTTTGTGATGTGTGCACTCAACTCTCAGAATTGAACCTTGGTTTGGACAGAGCACTTTTGAAACACTCTTTTTGTAGAATCTGCAGGTGGATATTTGGCTAGCTTTGAGGATTTCGTTGGAAACGGTAATGTCTTCAAAGAAAATCTAGACAGAAGCATTCTCAGAAACACCTTCGTGATGTTTGCAATCAAGTCACAGAGTTGAACCTTCCGTTTCATAGAGCAGGTTGGAAACACTCTTTTTGTAGTATCTGGAAGTGGACATTTGGAGGGCTTTGTAGCCTATCTGGAAAAAGGAAATATCTTCCCATGAATGCGAGATAGAAGTAATCTCAGAAACATGTTTATGCTGTATCTACTCAACTAACTGTGCTGAACATTTCTATTGATAGAGCAGTTTTGAGACACTCTTCTTTTGGAATCTGCAAGTGGATATTTGGATAGATTTGAGGATTTCGTTGGAAACGGGATTATATATAAAAAGTAGACAGCAGCATTCTCAGAAACTTCTTTGTGATGTTTGCATCCAGCTCTCAGAGTTGAACATTCCCTTTCATAGAGTAGGTTTGAAACCCTCTTTTTATAGTGTCTGGAAGCGGGCATTTGGAGCGCTTTCAGGCCTATGCTTAAAATAGGAAATATCTACCTACAGAAACTAGACAGAAGCATTCTGAGAATCACGTTTGTGATGTGGGTACTCAACTAACAGTGTTGATCCATTCTTTTGATACAGCAGTTTTGAACCACACTTTTTGTAGAATCTGCAAGAGGATATTTGGATAGCTGTGAGGATTTCGTTGGAAACGGGAATGTCTTCAAAGAAAATCTAGACAGAAACATTCTCAGAAACACCTTCGTGATGTTTGCAATCAAGTCACAGAGTTGAACCTTCCGTTTCATAGAGCAGGTTGGAAACACTCTTATTGTAGTATCTGGAAGTGGACATTTGGAGCGCTTTCAGGCCTATGGTGAAAAAGAAATATCTTCCCATAAAAACGACATAGAAGCTATCTCAGGAACTTGTTTATGATGCATCTAATCAACTAACAGTGTTGAACATTTGTACTGACAGAGCAGTTTGAAACACTCTTTTTTTGGAATCTGCAAGTGGATATTTGGATCACTTTGAGGATTTCGTTGGAAACGGGATGCAATATAAAACGTACACAGCAGCATACTCAGAAAATACTTTGCCATATTTCCATTCAAGTCACAGAGTGGAACATTCCCATTCATAGAGCAGGTTGGAAACACTCTTTTTGGAGTATCTGGAAGTGGACATTTGGAGCGCTTTCTGAACTATGGTGAAAAAGGAAATATCTTCCAATGAAAACAAGACAGAAGCATTCTGAGAAACTTATTTGTGATGTGTGTCCTCAACAAACGGACTTGAACCTTTCGTTTCATGCAGTACTTCTGGAACACTCTTTTTGAAGATTCTGCATGCGGATATTTGGATAGCTTTGAGGATTTCGTTGGAAACGGGCTTACATGTAAAAATTAGACAGCAGCATTCTCAGAAACTTCTTTGTGGTGTCTGCATTCAAGTCACAGAATTGAACTTCCCCTCACATAGAGCAGTTGTGCAGCACTCTATTTGTAGTATCTGGAAGTGGACATTTGGAGGGCTTTGTAGCCTATCTGGAAAAAGGAAATATCTTCCCATGAATGCGAGATAGAAGTAATCTCAGAAACATGTTTATGCTGTATCTACTCAACTAACTGTGCTGAACATTTCTATTGATAGAGCAGTTTTGAGACACTCTTCTTTTGGAATCTGCAAGTGGATATTTGGATAGATTTGAGGATTTCGTTGGAAACGGGATTATATATCAAAAGTAGACAGCAGCATTCTCAGAAACTTCTTTGTGATGTTTGCATCCAGCTCTCAGAGTTGAACATTCCCTTTCATAGAGTAGGTTTGAAACCCTCTTTTTATAGTGTCTGGAAGCGGGCATTTGGAGCGCTTTCAGGCCTATGCTGAAAAAGGAAATATCTACCTATAGAAACTAGACAGAAGCATTCTGAGAATCACGTTTGTGATGTGGGTACTCAACTAACAGTGTTGATCCATTCTTTTGATACAGCAGTTTTGAACCACACTTTTTGTAGAATCTGCAAGTGGATATTTGGATAGCTGTGAGGATTTCGTTGGAAACGGGAATGTCTTCATAGAAAATTTAGACAGAAGCATTCTCAGAACCTTGATTGTGATGTGTGTTCTCCACTAACAGAGTTGAACCTTTCTTTTGACAGAACTGTTCTGAAACATTCTTTTTATAGAATCTGGAAGTGGATATTTGGAAAGCTTTGAGGATTTCATTGGAAACGGGAATATCTTCAAATAAAATCTAGCCAGAAGCATTCTAAGAAACATCTTAGGGATGTTTACATTCAAGTCACAGAGTTGAACATTCCCTTTCACAGAGCAGGTTTGAAACAATCTTCTCGTACTATCTGGCAGTGGACATTTTGAGCTCCTTGGGGCCTATGCTGAAAAAGGAAATATCTTCCGACAAAAACTAGACAGAAGCATTCGCAGAATCACGTTTGTGATGTGTGCACTCAACTGTCAGAATTGAACCTTGGTTTGGACAGAGCACTTTTGAAACACTCTTTTTGTAGAATCTGCAGGTGGATATTTAGCTAGCTTTGAGGATTTCGTTGGAAACGGTAATGTCTTCAAAGAAAATCTAGACAGAAGCATTCTCAGAAACACCTTCGTGATGTTTGCAATCAAGTCACAGAGTTGAACCTTCCATTTCATAGAGCAGGTTGGAAACACTCTTTTTGTAGTATCTGGAAGTGGACATTTGGAGGGCTTTGTAGCCTATCTGGAAAAAGGAAATATCTTCCCATGAATGCGAGATAGAAGCTATCTCAGGAACTTGTTTATGATGCATCTAATCAACTAACAGTGTTGAACCTTTGTACTGACAGAGCAGTTTGAAACACTCTTTTTTTGGAATCTGCAAGTGGATATTTGGATCGCTTTGAGGATTTCGTTGGAAACGGGATGCAATATAAAACGTACACAGCAGCATACTCAGAAAATACTTTGCCATATTTCCATTCAAGTCAGAGAGTGGAACATTCCCATTCATAGAGCAGGTTTGAAACACTCTTTTTGGAGTATCTGGAAGTGGACATTTGGAGCGCTTTCTGAACTATGGTGAAAAAGGAAATATCTTCCAATGAAAACAAGACAGAAGCATTCTGAGAAACTTATGTGTGATGTGTGTCCTCAACAAACGGACTTGAACCTTTCGTTTCATGCAGTACTTCTGGAACACTCTTTTTGAAGATTCTGCATGCGGATATTTGGATAGCTTTGAGGATTTCGTTGGAAACGGGCTTACATGTAAAAATTAGACAGCAGCATTCTCAGAAACTTCTTTGTGGTGTCTGCATTCAAGTCACAGAATTGAACATCCCCTCACATAGAGCAGTTGTGCAGCACTCTATTTGTAGTATCTGGAAGTGGACATTTGGAGGGCTTTGTAGCCTATCTGGAAAAAGGAAATATCTTCCCATGAATGCGAGATAGAAGTAATCTCAGAAACATGTTTATGCTGTATCTACTCAACTAACTGTGCTGAACATTTCTATTGATAGAGCAGTTTTGAGACACTCTTCTTTTGGAATCTGCAAGTGGATATTTGGATAGATTTGAGGATTTCGTTGGAAACGGGATTATATATCAAAAGTAGACAGCAGCATTCTCAGAAACTTCTTTGTGATGTTTGCATCCAGCTCTCAGAGTTGAACATTCCCTTTCATAGAGTAGGTTTGAAACCCTCTTTTTATAGTGTCTGGAAGCGGGCATTTGGAGCGCTTTCAGGCCTATGCTGAAAAAGGAAATATCTACCTATAGAAACTAGACAGAAGCATTCTGAGAATCACGTTTGTGATGTGGGTACTCAACTAACAGTGTTGATCCATTCTTTTGATACAGCAGTTTTGAACCACACTTTTTGTAGAATCTGCAAGTGGATATTTGGATAGCTGTGAGGATTTCGTTGGAAACGGGAATGTCTTCATAGAAAATTTAGACAGAAGCATTCTCAGAACCTTGATTGTGATGTGTGTTCTCCACTAACAGATTTGAACCTTTCTTTTGACAGAACTGTTCTGAAACATTCTTTTTATAGAATCTGGAAGTGGATATTTGGAAAGCTTTGAGGATTTCATTGGAAACGGGAATATCTTCAAATAAAATCTAGCCAGAAGCATTCTAAGAAACATCTTAGGGATGTTTACATTCAAGTCACAGAGTTGAACATTCCCTTTCACAGAGCAGGTTTGAAACAATCTTCTCGTACTATCTGGCAGTGGACATTTTGAGCTCCTTGGGGCCTATGCTGAAAAAGGAAATATCTTCCGACAAAAACTAGACAGAAGCATTCGCAGAATCACGTTTGTGATGTGTGCACTCAACTGTCAGAATTGAACCTTGGATTGGACAGAGCACTTTTGAAACACTCTCTTTGTAGAATCTGCAGGTGGATATTTGGCTAGCTTTGAGGATTTCGTTGGAAACGGTAATGTCTTCAAAGAAAATCTAGACAGAAGCATTCTCAGAAACACCTTCGTGATATTTGCAATCAAGTCACAGAGTTGAACCTTCCGTTTCATAGAGCAGGTTGGAAACACTCTTTTTGTAGTATCTGGAAGTGGACATTTGGAGGGCTTTGTAGCCTATCTGGAAAAAGGAAATATCTTCCCATGAATGCGAGATAGAAGTAATCTCAGAAACATGTTTATGCTGTATCTACTCAACTAACTGTGCTGAACATTTCTATTGATAGAGCAGTTTTGAGACACTCTTCTTTTGGAATCTGCAAGTGGATATTTGGATAGATTTGAGGATTTCGTTGGAAACGGGATTATATATCAAAAGTAGACAGCAGCATTCTCAGAAACTTCTTTGTGATGTTTGCATCCAGCTCTCAGAGTTGAGCATTCCCTTTCATAGAGTAGGTTTGAAACCCTCTTTTTATAGTGTCTGGAAGCAGGCATTTGGAGCGCTTTCAGGCCTATGCTTAAAATAGGAAATATCTACCTACAGAAACTAGACAGAAGCATTCTGAGAATCACGTTTGTGATGTGGGTACTCAACTAACAGTGTTGATCCATTCTTTTGATACAGCAGTTTTGAACCACACTTTTTGTAGAATCTGCAAGAGGATATTTGGATAGCTGTGAGGATTTCGTTGGAAACGGGAATGTCTTCAAAGAAAATCTAGACAGAAGCATTCTCAGAAACACCTTCGTGATGTTTGCAATCAAGTCACAGAGTTGAACCTTCCGTTTCATAGAGCAGGTTGGAAACACTCTTATTGTAGTATCTGGAAGTGGACATTTGGAGCGCTTTCAGGCCTATGGTGAAAAAGGAAATATCTTCCCATAAAAACGACATAGAAGCTATCTCAGGAACTTGTTTATGATGCATCTAATCAACTAACAGTGTTGAACCTTTGTACTGACAGAGCAGTTTGAAACACTCTTTTTTTGGAATCTGCAAGTGGATATTTGGATCGCTTTGAGGATTTCGTTGGAAACGGGATGCAATATAAAACGTACACAGCAGCATACTCAGAAAATACTTTGCCATATTTCCATTCAAGTCACAGAGCGGAACATTCCCATTCATAGAGCAGGTTTGAAACACTCTTTTTGGAGTATCTGGAAGTGGACATTTGGAGCGCTTTCTGAACTATGGTGAAAAAGGAAATATCTTCCAATGAAAACAAGACAGAAGCATTCTGAGAAACTTATTTGTGATGTGTGTCCTCAACAAACGGACTTGAACCTTTCGTTTCATGCAGTACTTCTGGAACACTCTTTTTGAAGATTCTGCATGCGGATATTTGGATAGCTTTGAGGATTTCGTTGGAAACGGGCTTACATGTAAAAATTAGACAGCAGCATTCTCAGAAACTTCTTTGTGGTGTCTGCATTCAAGTCACAGAATTGAACTTCCCCTCACATAGAGCAGTTGTGCAGCACTCTATTTGTAGTATCTGGAAGTGGACATTTGGAGGGCTTTGTAGCCTATCTGGAAAAAGGAAATATCTTCCCATGAATGCGAGATAGAAGTAATCTCAGAAACATGTTTATGCTGTATCTACTCAACTAACTGTGCTGAACATTTCTATTGATAGAGCAGTTTTGAGACACTCTTCTTTTGAAATCTGCAAGTGGATATTTGGATAGATTTGAGGATTTCGTTGGAAACGGGATTATATATAAAAAGTAGACAGCAGCATTCTCAGAAACTTCTTTGTGATGTTTGCATCCAGCTCCCAGAGTTGAACATTCCCTTTCATAGAGTAGGTTTGAAACCCTCTTTTTATAGTGTCTGGAAGCGGGCATTTGGAGCGCTTTCAGGCCTATGCTTAAAATAGGAAATATCTACCTACAGAAACTAGACAGAAGCATTCTGAGAATCACGTTTGTGATGTGGGTACTCAACTAACAGTGTTGATCCATTCTTTTGATACAGCAGTTTTGAACCACACTTTTTGTAGAATCTGCAAGAGGATATTTGGATAGCTGTGAGGATTTCGTTGGAAACGGGAATGTCTTCAAAGAAAATCTAGACAGAAGCATTCTCAGAAACACCTTCGTGATGTTTGCAATCAAGTCACAGAGTTGAACCTTCCGTTTCATAGAGCAGGTTGGAAACACTCTTATTGTAGTATCTGGAAGTGGACATTTGGAGCGCTTTCAGGCCTATGGTGAAAAAGGAAATATCTTCCCATAAAAACGACATAGAAGCTATCTCAGGAACTTGTTTATGATGCATCTAATCAACTAACAGTGTTGAACCTTTGTACTGACAGAGCACTTTGAAACACTCTTTTTTTGGAATCTGCAAGTGGATATTTGGATCGCTTTGAGGATTTCGTTGGAAACGGGATGCAATATAAAACGTACACAGCAGCATACTCAGAAAATACTTTGCCATATTTCCATTCAAGTCACAGAGTGGAACATTCCCATTCATAGAGCAGGTTGGAAACACTCTTTTTGGAGTATCTGGAAGTGGACATTTGGAGCGCTTTCTGAACTATGGTGAAAAAGGAAATATCTTCCAATGAAAACAAGACAGAAGCATTCTGAGAAACTTATTTGTGATGTGTGTCCTCAACAAACGGACTTGAACCTTTCGTTTCATGCAGTAATTCTGGAACACTCTTTTTGAAGATTCTGCATGCGGATATTTGGATAGCTTTGAGGATTTCGTTGGAAACGGGCTTACATGTAAAAATTAGACAGCAGCATTCTCAGAAACTTCTTTGTGGTGTCTGCATTCAAGTCACAGAATTGAACTTCCCCTCACATAGAGCAGTTGTGCAGCACTCTATTTGTAGTATCTGGAAGTGGACATTTGGAGGACTTTGTAGCCTATCTGGAAAAAGGAAATATCTTCCCATGAATGCGAGATAGAAGTAATCTCAGAAACATGTTTATGCTGTATCTACTCAACTAACTGTGCTGAACATTTCTATTGATAGAGCAGTTTTGAGACACTCTTCTTTTGGAATCTGCAAGTGGATATTTGGATAGATTTGAGGATTTCGTTGGAAACGGGATTATATATCAAAAGTAGACAGCAGCATTCTCAGAAACTTCTTTGTGATGTTTGCATCCAGCTCTCAGAGTTGAACATTCCCTTTCATAGAGTAGGTTTGAAACCCTCTTTTTATAGTGTCTGGAAGCGGGCATTTGGAGCGCTTTCAGGCCTATGCTTAAAATAGGAAATATCTACCTACAGAAACTAGACAGAAGCATTCTGAGAATCACGTTTGTGATGTGGGTACTCAACTAACAGTGTTGATCCATTCTTTTGATACAGCAGTTTTGAACCACACTTTTTGTAGAATCTGCAAGAGGATATTTGGATAGCTGTGAGGATTTCGTTGGAAACGGGAATGTCTTCAAAGAAAATCTAGACAGAAACATTCTCAGAAACACCTTCGTGATGTTTGCAATCAAGTCACAGAGTTGAACCTTCCGTTTCATAGAGCAGGTTGGAAACACTCTTATTGTAGTATCTGGAAGTGGACATTTGGAGCGCTTTCAGGCCTATGGTGAAAAAGGAAATATCTTCCCATAAAAACGACATAGAAGCTATCTCAGGAACTTGTTTATGATGCATCTAATCAACTAACAGTGTTGAACCTTTGTACTGACAGAGCAGTTTGAAACACTCTTTTTTTGGAATCTGCAAGTGGATATTTGGATCGCTTTGAGGATTTCGTTGGAAACGGGATGCAATATAAAACGTACACAGCAGCATACTCAGAAAATTCTTTGCCATATTTCCATTCAAGTCACAGAGTGGAACATTCCCATTCATAGAGCAGGTTGGAAACACTCTTTTTGGAGTATCTGGAAGTGGACATTTGGAGCGCTTTCTGAACTATGGTGAAAAAGGAAATATCTTCCAATGAAAACAAGACAGAAGCATTCTGAGAAACTTATTTGTGATGTGTGTCCTCAACAAACGGACTTGAACCTTTCGTTTCATGCAGTACTTCTGGAACACTCTTTTTGAAGATTCTGCATGCGGATATTTGGATAGCTTTGAGGATTTCGTTGGAAACGGGCTTACATGTAAAAATTAGACAGCAGCATTCTCAGAAACTTCTTTGTGGTGTCTGCATTCAAGTCACAGAATTGAACATCCCCTCACATAGAGCAGTTGTGCAGCACTCTATTTGTAGTATCTGGAAGTGGACATTTGGAGGGCTTTGTAGCCTATGTGGAAAAAGGAAATATCTTCCCATGAATGCGAGATAGAAGTAATCTCAGAAACATGTTTATGCTGTATCTACTCAACTAACTGTGCTGAACATTTCTATTGATAGAGCAGTTTTGAGACACTCTTCTTTTGGAATCTGCAAGTGGATATTTGGATAGATTTGAGGATTTCGTTGGAAACGGGATTATAATATAAAAAGTAGACAGCAGCATTCTCAGAAACTTCTTTGTGATGTTTGCATCCAGCTCTCAGAGTTGAACATTCCCTTTCATAGAGTAGGTTTGAAACCCTCTTTTTATAGTGTCTGGAAGCGGGCATTTGGAGCGCTTTCAGGCCTATGCTTAAAATAGGAAATATCTACCTACAGAAACTAGACAGAAGCATTCTGAGAATCACGTTTGTGATGTGGGTACCTCAACTAACAGTGTTGATCCATTCTTTTGATACAGCAGTTTTGAACCACACTTTTTGTAGAATCTGCAAGAGGATATTTGGATAGCTGTGAGGATTTCGTTGGAAACGGGAATGTCTTCAAAGAAAATCTAGACAGAAGCATTCTCAGAACCTTGATTGTGATGTGTGTTCTCCACTAACAGAGTTGAACCTTTCTTTTGACAGAACTGTTCTGAAACATTCTTTTTATAGAATCTGGAAGTGGATATTTGGAAAGCTTTGAGGATTTCGTTGGAAACGGGAATATCTTCAAATCAAATCTAGCCAGAAGCATTCTAAGAAACAGCTTAGGGATGTTTACATTCAAGTCACAGAGTTGAACATTCCCTTTCACAGAGCAGGTTTGAAACAATCTTCTCGTACTATCTGGCAGTGGACATTTTGAGCTCCTTGGGGCCTATGCTGAAAAAGGAAATATCTTCCGACAAAAACTAGACAGAAGCATTCGCAGAATCACGTTTGTGATGTGTGCACTCAACTGTCAGAATTGAACCTTGGTTTGGAGATTGCACTCTTGAAACACTCTTTTTGTAAAATCTGCAGGTGGATATTTGGCTAGCTTTGAGGATTTCGTTGGAAACGGTAATGTCTTCAAAGAAAATCTAGACAGAAGCATTCTCAGAAACACCTTCGTGATGTTTGCAATCAAGTCACAGAGTTGAACCTTCCGTTTCATAGAGCAGGTTGGAAACACTCTTTTTGTAGTATCTGGAAGTGGACATTTGGAGCGCTTTCAGGCCTATGGTGAAAAAGGAAATATCTTCCCATAAAAACGACATAGAAGCTATCTCAGGAACTTGTTTATGATGCATCTAATCAACTAACAGTGTTGAACCTTTGTACTGACAGAGCAGTTTGAAACACTCTTTTTTTGGAATCTGCAAGTGGATATTTGGATCGCTTTGAGGATTTCGTTGGAAACGGGATGCAATATAAAACGTACACAGCAGCATACTCAGAAAATACTTTGCCATATTTCCATTCAAGTCACAGAGTGGAACATTCCCATTCATAGAGCAGGTTTGAAACACTCTTTTTGGAGTATCTGGAAGTGGACATTTGGAGCGCTTTCTGAACTATGGTGAAAAAGGAAATATCTTCCAATGAAAACAAGACAGACAAGCATTCTGAGAAACTTATTTGTGATGTGTGTCCTCAACAAACGGACTTGAACCTTTCGTTTCATGCAGTACTTCTGGAACACTCTTTTTGAAGATTCTGCATGCGGATATTTGGATAGCTTTGAGGATTTCGTTGGAAACGGGCTTACATGTAAAAATTAGACAGCAGCATTCTCAGAAACTTCTTTGTGGTGTCTGCATTCAAGTCACAGAATTGAACATCCCCTCACATAGAGCAGTTGTGCAGCACTCTATTTGTAGTATCTCGAAGTGGACATTTGGAGGGCTTTGTAGCCTATCTGGAAAAAGGAAATATCTTCCCATGAATGCGAGATAGAAGTAATCTCAGAAACATGTTTATGCTGTATCTACTCAACTAACTGTGCTGAACATTTCTATTGATAGAGCAGTTTTGAGACACTCTTCTTTTGGAATCTGCAAGTGGATATTTGGATAGATTTGAGGATTTCCTTGGAAACGGGATTATATATCAAAAGTAGACAGCAGCATTCTCAGAAACTTCTTTGTGATGTTTGCATCCAGCTCTCAGAGTTGAACATTCCCTTTCGTAGAGTAGGTTTGAAACCCTCTTTTTATAGTGTCTGGAAGCGGGCATTTGGAGCGCTTTCAGGCCTATGCTGAAAAAGGAAATATCTACCTATAGAAACTAGACAGAAGCATTCTGAGAATCACGTTTGTGATGTGGGTACTCAACTAACAGTGTTGATCCATTCTTTTGATACAGCAGTTTGGAACCACACTTTTTGTAGAATCTGCAAGTGGATATTTGGATAGCTTTGAGGATTTCCTTGGAAACGGGAATGTCTTCATAGAAAATTTAGACAGAAGCATTCTTAGAACCTTGATTGTGATGTGTGTTCTCCACTAACAGGGTTGAACCTTTCTTTTGACAGAACTGTTCTGAAACATTCTTTTTATAGAATCTGGAAGTGGATATTTGGAAAGCTTTGAGGATTTCGTTGGAAACGGGAATATCTTCAAATAAAATCTAGCCAGAAGCATTCTAAGAAACATCTTAGGGATGTTTACATTCAAGTCACAGAGTTGAACATTCCCTTTCACAGAGCAGGTTTGAAACAATCTTCTCGTACTATCTGGCAGTGGACATTTTGAGCTCTTTGGGGCCTATGCTGAAAAAGGAAATATCTTCCGACAAAAACTAGACAGAAGCATTCGCAGAATCACGTTTGTGATGTGTGCACTCAACTGTCAGAATTGAACCTTGGATTGGACAGAGCACTTTTGAAACACTCTTTTTGTAGAATCTGCAGGTGGATATTTGGCTAGCTTTGAGGATTTCGTTGGAAACGGTAATGTCTTCAAAGAAAATCTAGACAGAAGCATTCTCAGAAACACCTTCGTGATGTTTGCAATCAAGTCACAGAGTTGAACCTTCCGTTTCATAGAGCAGGTTGGAAACACTCTTTTTGTAGTATCTGGAAGTGGACATTTGGAGGGCTTTGTAGCCTATCTGGAAAAAGGAAATATCTTCCCATGAATGCGAGATAGAAGTAATCTCAGAAACATGTTTATGCTGTATCTACTCAACTAACTGTGCTGAACATTTCTATTGATAGAGCAGTTTTGAGACACTCTTCTTTTGGAATCTGCAAGTGGATATTTGGATAGATTTGAGGATTTCGTTGGAAACGGGATTATATTTAAAAAGTAGACAGCAGCATTCTCAGAAACTTCTTTGTGATGTTTGCATCCAGCTCTCAGAGTTGAACATTCCCTTTCATAGAGTAGGTTTGAAACCCTCTTTTTATAGTGTCTGGAAGCGGGCATTTGGAGCGCTTTCAGGCCTATGCTTAAAATAGGAAATATCTACCTACAGAAACTAGACAGAAGCATTCTGAGAATCACGTTTGTGATGTGGGTACTCAACTAACAGTGTTGATCCATTCTTTTGATACAGCAGTTTTGAACCACACTTTTTGTAGAATCTGCAAGAGGATATTTGGATAGCTGTGAGGATTTCGTTGGAAACGGGAATGTCTTCAAAGAAAATCTAGACAGAAGCATTCTCAGAAACACCTTTCGTGATGTTTGCAATCAAGTCACAGAGTTGAACCTTCCGTTTCATAGAGCAGGTTGGAAACACTCTTATTGTAGTATCTGGAAGTGGACATTTGGAGCGCTTTCAGGCCTATGGTGAAAAAGGAAATATCTTCCCATAAAAACGACATAGAAGCTATCTCAGGAACTTGTTTGTGATGCATCTAATCAACTAACAGTGTTGAACCTTTGTACTGACAGAGCAGTTTGAAACACTCTTTTTTTGGAATCTGCAAGTGGATATTTGGATCGCTTTGAGGATTTCGTTGGAAACGGGATGCAATATAAAACGTACACAGCAGCATACTCAGAAAATACTTTGCCATATTTCCATTCAAGTCACAGAGTGGAACATTCCCATTCATAGAGCAGGTTGGAAACACTCTTTTTGGAGTATCTGGAAGTGGACATTTGGAGCGCTTTCTGAACTATGGTGAAAAAGGAAATATCTTCCAATGAAAACAAGACAGAAGCATTCTGAGAAACTTATTTGTGATGTGTGTCCTCAACAAACGGACTTGAACCTTTCGTTTCATGCAGTACTTCTGGAACACTCTTTTTGAAGATTCTGCATGCGGATATTTGGATAGCTTTGAGGATTTCGTTGGAAACGGGCTTACATGTAAAAATTAGACAGCAGCATTCTCAGAAACTTCTTTGTGGTGTCTGCATTCAAGTCACAGAATTGAACTTCCCCTCACATAGAGCAGTTGTGCAGCACTCTATTTGTAGTATCTGGAAGTGGACATTTGGAGGGCTTTGTAGCCTATCTGGAAAAAGGAAATATCTTCCCATGAATGCGAGATAGAAGTAATCTCAGAAACATGTTTATGCTGTATCTACTCAACTAACTGTGCTGAACATTTCTATTGATAGAGCAGTTTTGAGACACTCTTCTTTTGGAATCTGCAAGTGGATATTTGGATAGATTTGAGGATTTCGTTGGAAACGGGATTATATATAAAAAGTAGACAGCAGCATTCTCAGAAACTTCTTTGTGATGTTTGCATCCAGCTCTCAGAGTTGAACATTCCCTTTCATAGAGTAGGTTTGAAACCCTCTTTTTATAGTGTCTGGAAGCGGGCATTTGGAGCGCTTTCAGGCCTATGCTGAAAAAGGAAATATCTACATATAGAAACTAGACAGAAGCATTCTGAGAATCAAGTTTGTGATGTGGGTACTCAACTAACAGTGTTGATCCATTCTTTTGATACAGCAGTTTTGAACCACACTTTTTGTAGAATCTGCAAGTGGATATTTGGATAGCTGTGAGGATTTCGTTGGAAACGGGAATGTCTTCATAGAAAATTTAGACAGAAGCATTCTCAGAACCTTGATTGTGATGTGTGTTCTCCACTAACAGAGTTGAACCTTTCTTTTGACAGAACTGTTCTGAAACATTCTTTTTATAGAATCTGGAAGTGGATATTTGGAAAGCTTTGAGGATTTCGTTGGAAACGGGAATATCTTCAAATAAAATCTAGCCAGAAGCATTCTAAGAAACATCTTAGGGATGTTTACATTCAAGTCACAGAGTTGAACATTCCCTTTCACAGAGCAGGTTTGAAACAATCTTCTCGTACTATCTGGCAGTGGACATTTTGAGCTCTTTGGGGCCTATGCTGAAAAAGGAAATATCTTCCGACAAAAACTAGTCAGAAGCATTCGCAGAATCACGTTTGTGATGTGTGCACTCAACTGTCAGAATTGAACCTTGGTTTGGAGAGAGCACTTTTGAAACACACTTTTTGTAGAATCTGCAGGTGGATATTTGGCTAGCTTTGAGGATTTCGTTGGAAACGGTAATGTCTTCAAAGAAAATCTAGACAGAAGCATTCTCAGAAACACCTTCGTGATGTTTGCAATCAAGTCACAGAGTTGAACCTTCCGTTTCATAGAGCAGGTTGGAAACACTCTTTTTGTAGTATCTGGAAGTGGACATTTGGAGGGCTTTGTAGCCTATCTGGAAAAAGGAAATATCTTCCCATGAATGCGAGATAGAAGTAATCTCAGAAACATGTTTATGCTGTATCTACTCAACTAACTGTGCTGAACATTTCTATTGATAGAGCAGTTTTGAGACACTCTTCTTTTGGAATCTGCAAGTGGATATTTGGATAGATTTGAGGATTTCGTTGGAAACGGGATTATATATAAAAAGTAGACAGCAGCATTCTCAGAAACTTCTTTGTGATGTTTGCATCCAGCTCCCAGAGTTGAACATTCCCTTTCATAGAGTAGGTTTGAAACCCTCTTTTTATAGTGTCTGGAAGCGGGCATTTGGAGCGCTTTCAGGCCTATGCTGAAAAAGGAAATATCTACCTGTAGAAACTAGACAGAAGCATTCTGAGAATCACGTTTGTGATGTGGGTACTCAACTAACAGTGTTGATCCATTCTTTTGATACAGCAGTTTTGAACCACACTTTTTGTAGAATCTGCAAGAGGATATTTGGATAGCTGTGAGGATTTCGTTGGAAACGGGAATGTCTTCAAAGAAAATCTAGACAGAAGCATTCTCAGAAACACCTTCGTGATGTTTGCAATCAAGTCACAGAGTTGAACCTTCCGTTTCATAGAGCAGGTTGGAAACACTCTTATTGTAGTATCTGGAAGTGGACATTTGGAGCGCTTTCAGGCCTATGGTGAAAAAGGAAATATCTTCCCATAAAAACGACATAGAAGCTATCTCAGGAACTTGTTTATGATGCATCTAATCAACTAACAGTGTTGAACCTTTGTACTGACAGAGCAGTTTGAAACACTCTTTTTTTGGAATCTGCAAGTGGATATTTGGATCGCTTTGAGGATTTCGTTGGAAACGGGATGCAATATAAAACGTACACAGCAGCATACTCAGCAAAATACTTTGCCATATTTCCATTCAAGTCACAGAGTGGAACATTCCCATTCATAGAGCAGGTTGGAAACACTCTTTTTGGAGTATCTGGAAGTGGACATTTGGAGCGCTTTCTGAACTATGGTGAAAAAGGAAATATCTTCCAATGAAAACAAGACAGAAGCATTCTGAGAAACTTATTTGTGATGTGTGTCCTCAACAAACGGACTTGAACCTTTCGTTTCATGCAGTACTTCTGGAACACTCTTTTTGAAGATTCTGCATGCGGATATTTGGATAGCTTTGAGGATTTCGTTGGAAACGGGCTTACATGTAAAAATTAGACAGCAGCATTCTCAGAAACTTCTTTGTGGTGTCTGCATTCAAGTCACAGAATTGAACATCCCCTCACATAGAGCAGTTGTGCAGCACTCTATTTGTAGTATCTGGAAGTGGACATTTGGAGGGCTTTGTAGCCTATCTGGAAAAAGGAAATATCTTCCCATGAATGCGAGATAGAAGTAATCTCAGAAACATGTTTATGCTGTATCTACTCAACTAACTGTGCTGAACATTTCTATTGATAGAGCAGTTTTGAGACACTCTTCTTTTGGAATCTGCAAGTGGATATTTGGATAGATTTGAGGATTTCGTTGGAAACGGGATTATATATAAAAAGTAGACAGCAGCATTCTCAGAAACTTCTTTGTGATGTTTGCATCCAGCTCTCAGAGTTGAACATTCCCTTTCATAGAGTAGGTTTGAAACCCTCTTTTTATAGTGTCTGGAAGCGGGCATTTGGAGCGCTTTCAGGCCTATGCTGAAAAAGGAAATATCTACCTATAGAAACTAGACAGAAGCATTCTGAGAATCACGTTTGTGATGTGGGTACTCAACTAACAGTGTTGATCCATTCTTTTGATACAGCAGTTTTGAACCACACTTTTTGTAGAATCTGCAAGTGGATATTTGGATAGCTGTGAGGATTTCGTTGGAAACGGGAATGTCTTCATAGAAAATTTAGACAGAAGCATTCTCAGAACCTTGATTGTGATGTGTGTTCTCCACTAACAGAGTTGAACCTTTCTTTTGACAGAACTGTTCTGAAACATTCTTGTTATAGAATCTGGAAGTGGATATTTGGAAAGCTTTGAGGATTTCGTTGGAAACGGGAATATCTTCAAATCAAATCTAGCCAGAAGCATTCTAAGAAACATCTTAGGGATGTTTACATTCAAGTCACAGAGTTGAACATTCCCTTTCACAGAGCAGGTTTGAAACAATCTTCTCGTACTATCTGGCAGTGGACATTTTGAGCTCCTTGGGGCCTATGCTGAAAAAGGAAATATCTTCCGACAAAAACTAGACAGAAGCATTCGCAGAATCACGTTTGTGATGTGTGCACTCAACTGTCAGAATTGAACCTTGGTTTGGACAGAGCACTTTTGAAACACTCTTTTTGTAGAATCTGCAGGTGGATATTTGGCTAGCTTTGAGGATTTCGTTGGAAACGGTAATGTCTTCAAAGAAAATCTAGACAGAAGCATTCTCAGAAACACCTTCGTGATGTTTGCAATCAAGTCACAGAGTTGAACCTTCCGTTTCATAGAGCAGGTTGGAAACACTCTTTTTGTAGTATCTGGAAGTGGACATTTGGAGGGCTTTGTAGCCTATGTGGAAAAAGGAAATATCTTCCCATGAATGCGAGATAGAAGTAATCTCAGAAACATGTTTATGCTGTATCTACTCAACTAACTGTGCTGAACATTTCTATTGATAGAGCAGTTTTGAGACACTCTTCTTTTGGAATCTGCAAGTGGATATTTGGATAGATTTGAGGATTTCGTTGGAAACGGGATTATATATAAAAAGTAGACAGCAGCATTCTCAGAAACTTCTTTGTGATGTTTGCATCCAGCTCTCAGAGTTGAACATTCCCTTTCATAGAGTAGGTTTGAAACCCTCTTTTTATAGTGTCTGGAAGCGGGCATTTGGAGCGCTTTCAGGCCTATGCTTAAAATAGGAAATATCTACCTACAGAAACTAGACAGAAGCATTCTGAGAATCACGTTTGTGATGTGGGTACTCAAGTAACAGTGTTGATCCATTCTTTTGATACAGCAGTTTTGAACCACACTTTTTGTAGAATCTGCAAGAGGATATTTGGATAGCTGTGAGGATTTCGTTGGAAACGGGAATGTCTTCAAAGAAAATCTAGACAGAAGCATTCTCAGAAACACCTTCGTGATGTTTGCAATCAAGTCACAGAGTTGAACCTTCCGTTTCATAGAGCAGGTTGGAAACACTCTTATTGTAGTATCTGGAAGTGGACATTTGGAGCGCTTTCAGGCCTATGGTGAAAAAGGAAATATCTTCCCATAAAAACGACATAGAATCTATATCAGGAACTTGTTTATGATGCATCTAATCAACTAACAGTGTTGAACCTTTGTACTGACAGAGCAGTTTGAAACACTCTTTTTTTGGAATCTGCAAGTGGATATTTGGATCGCTTTGAGGATTTCGTTGGAAACGGGATGCAATATAAAACGTACACAGCAGCATACTCAGAAAATACTTTGCCATATTTCCATTCAAGTCACAGAGTGGAACATTCCCATTCATAGAGCAGGTTGGAAACACTCTTTTTGGAGTATCTGGAAGTGGACATTTGGAGCGCTTTCTGAACTATGGTGAAAAAGGAAATATCTTCCAATGAAAACAAGACAGAAGCATTCTGAGAAACTTATTTGTGATGTGTGTCCTCAACAAACGGACTTGAACCTTTCGTTTCATGCAGTACTTCTGGAACACTCTTTTTGAAGATTCTGCATGCGGATATTTGGATAGCTTTGAGGATTTCGTTGGAAACGGGCTTACATGTAAAAATTAGACAGCAGCATTCTCAGAAACTTCTTTGTGGTGTCTGCATTCAAGTCACAGAATTGAACTTCCCCTCACATAGAGCAGTTGTGCAGCACTCTATTTGTAGTATCTCGAAGTGGACATTTGGAGGGCTTTGTAGCCTATCTGGAAAAAGGAAATATCTTCCCATGAATGCGAGATAGAAGTAATCTCAGAAACATGTTTATGCTGTATCTACTCAACTAACTGTGCTGAACATTTCTATTGATAGAGCAGTTTTGAGACACTCTTCTTTTGGAATCTGCAAGTGGATATTAGGATAGATTTGAGGATTTCGTTGGAAACGGGATTATATATCAAAAGTAGACAGCAGCATTCTCAGAAACTTCTTTGTGATGTTTGCATCCAGCTCTCAGAGTTGAACATTCCCTTTCATAGAGTAGGTTTGAAACCCTCTTTTTATAGTGTCTGGAAGCGGGCATTTGGAGCGCTTTCAGGCCTATGCTGAAAAAGGAAATATCTACCTATAGAAACTAGACAGAAGCATTCTGAGAATCACGTTTGTGATGTGGGTACTCAACTAACAGTGTTGATCCATTCTTTTGATACAGCAGTTTTGAACCACACTTTTTGTAGAATCTGCAAGTGGATATTTGGATAGCTGTGAGGATTTCGTTGGAAACGGGAATGTCTTCATAGAAAATTTAGACAGAAGCATTCTCAGAACCTTGATTGTGATGTGTGTTCTCCACTAACAGAGTTGAACCTTTCTTTTGACAGAACTGTTCTGAAACATTCTTTTTATAGAATCTGGAAGTGGATATTTGGAAAGCTTTGAGGATTTCGTTGGAAACGGGAATATCTTCAAATAAAATCTAGCCAGAAGCATTCTAAGAAACATCTTAGGGATGTTTACATTCAAGTCACAGAGTTGAACATTCCCTTTCACAGAGCAGGTTTGAAACAATCTTCTCGTACTATCTGGCAGTGGACATTTTGAGCTCCTTGGGGCCTATGCTGAAAAAGGAAATATCTTCCGACAAAAACTAGACAGAAGCATTCGCAGAATCACGTTTGTGATGTGTGCACTCAATTGTCAGAATTGAACCTTGGTTTGGACAGAGCACTTTTGAAACACTCTTTTTGTAGAATCTGCAGGTGGATATTTGGCTAGCTTTGAGGATTTCGTTGGAAACGGTAATGTCTTCAAAGAAAATCTAGACAGAAGCATTCTCAGAAACACCTTCGTGATGTTTGCAATCAAGTCACAGAGTTGAACCTTCCGTTTCATAGAGCAGGTTGGAAACACTCTTATTGTAGTATCTGGAAGTGGACATTTGGAGCGCTTTCAGGCCTATGGTGAAAAAGGAAATATCTTCCCATAAAAACGACATAGAAGCTATCTCAGGAACTTGTTTATGATGCATCTAATCAACTAACAGTGTTGAACCTTTGTACTGACAGAGCAGTTTGAAACACTCTTTTTTTGGAATCTGCAAGTGGATATTTGGATCGCTTTGAGGATTTCGTTGGAAACGGGATGCAATATAAAACGTACACAGCAGCATACTCAGAAAATACTTTGCCATATTTCCATTCAAGTCACAGAGTGGAACATTCCCATTCATAGAGCAGGTTGGAAACACTCTTTTTGGAGTATCTGGAAGTGGACATTTGGAGCGCTTTCTGAACTATGGTGAAAAAGGAAATATCTTCCAATGAAAACAAGACAGAAGCATTCTGAGAAACTTATTTGTGATGTGTGTCCTCAACAAACGGGACTTGAACCTTTCGTTTCATGCAGTACTTCTGGAACACTCTTTTTGAAGATTCTGCATGCGGATATTTGGATAGCTTTGAGGATTTCGTTGGAAACGGGCTTACATGTAAAAATTAGACAGCAGCATTCTCAGAAACTTCTTTGTGGTGTCTGCATTCAAGTCACAGAATTGAACATCCCCTCACATAGAGCAGTTGTGCAGCACTCTATTTGTAGTATCTGGAAGTGGACATTTGGAGGGCTTTGTAGCCTATCTGGAAAAAGGAAATATCTTCCCATGAATGCGAGATAGAAGTAATCTCAGAAACATGTTTATGCTGTATCTACTCAACTAACTGTGCTGAACATTTCTATTGATAGAGCAGTTTTGAGACACTCTTCTTTTGGAATCTGCAAGTGGATATTTGGATAGATTTGAGGATTTCGTTGGAAACGGGATTATATATAAAAAGTAGACAGCAGCATTCTCAGAAACTTCTTTGTGATGTTTGCATCCAGCTCTCAGAGTTGAACATTCCCTTTCATAGAGTAGGTTTGAAACCCTCTTTTTATAGTGTCTGGAAGCGGGCATTTGGAGCGCTTTCAGGCCTATGCTGAAAAAGGAAATATCTACCTATAGAAACTAGACAGAAGCATTCTGAGAATCACGTTTGTGATGTGGGTACTCAACTAACAGTGTTGATCCATTCTTTTGATACAGCAGTTTTGAACCACACTTTTTGTAGAATCTGCAAGTGGATATTTGGATAGCTGTGAGGATTTCGTTGGAAACGGGAATGTCTTCATAGAAAATTTAGACAGAAGCATTCTCAGAACCTTGATTGTGATGTGTGTTCTCCACTAACAGAGTTGAACCTTTCTTTTGACAGAACTGTTCTGAAACATTCTTTTTATAGAATCTGGAAGTGGATATTTGGAAAGCTTTGAGGATTTCGTTGGAAACGGGAATATCTTCAAATAAAATCTAGCCAGAAGCATTCTAAGAAACATCTTAGGGATGTTTACATTCAAGTCACAGAGTTGAACATTCCCTTTCACAGAGCAGGTTTGAAACAATCTTCTCGTACTATCTGGCAGTGGACATTTTGAGCTCCTTGGGGCCTATGCTGAAAAAGGAAATATCTTCCGACAAAAACTAGACAGAAGCATTCGCAGAATCACGTTTGTGATGTGTGCACTCAACTGTCAGAATTGAACCTTGGTTTGGACAGAGCACTTTTGAAACACTCTTTTTGTAGAATCTGCAGGTGGATATTTGGCTAGCTTTGAGGATTTCGTTGGAAACGGTAATGTCTTCAAAGAAAATCTAGACAGAAGCATTCTCAGAAACACCTTCGTGATGTTTGCAATCAAGTCACAGAGTTGAACCTTCCGTTTCATAGAGCAGGTTGGAAACACTCTTTTTGTAGTATCTGGAAGTGGACATTTGGAGGGCTTTGTAGCCTATGTGGAAAAAGGAAATATCTTCCCATGAATGCGAGATAGAAGTAATCTCAGAAACATGTTTATGCTGTATCTACTCAACTAACTGTGCTGAACATTTCTATTGATAGAGCAGTTTTGAGACACTCTTCTTTTGGAATCTGCAAGTGGATATTTGGAGAGATTTGAGGATTTCGTTGGAAACGGGATTATATATAAAAAGTAGACAGCAGCATTCTCAGAAACTTCTTTGTGATGTTTGCATCCAGCTCTCAGAGTTGAACATTCCCTTTCATAGAGTAGGTTTGAAACCCTCTTTTTATAGTGTCTGGAAGCGGGCATTTGGAGCGCTTTCAGGCCTATGCTTAAAATAGGAAATATCTACCTACAGAAACTAGACAGAAGCATTCTGAGAATCTCGTTTGTGATGTGGGTACTCAACTAACAGTGTTGATCCATTCTTTTGATACAGCAGTTTTGAACCACACTTTTTGTAGAATCTGCAAGAGGATATTTGGATAGCTGTGAGGATTTCGTTGGAAACGGGAATGTCTTCAAAGAAAATCTAGACAGAAACATTCTCAGAAACACCTTCGTGATGTTTGCAATCAAGTCACAGAGTTGAACCTTCCGTTTCATAGAGCAGGTTGGAAACACTCTTATTGTAGTATCTGGAAGTGGACATTTGGAGCGCTTTCAGGCCTATGGTGAAAAAGGAAATATCTTCCCATAAAAACGACATAGAAGCTATCTCAGGAACTTGTTTATGATGCATCTAATCAACTAACAGTGTTGAACCTTTGTACTGACAGAGCAGTTTGAAACACTCTTTTTTTGGAATCTGCAAGTGGATATTTGGATCGCTTTGAGGATTTCGTTGGAAACGGGATGCAATATAAAACGTACACAGCAGCATACTCAGAAAATACTTTGCCATATTTCCATTCAAGTCACAGAGTGGAACATTCCCATTCATAGAGCAGGTTGGAAACACTCTTTTTGGAGTATCTGGAAGTGGACATTTGGAGCGCTTTCTGAACTATGGTGAAAAAGGAAATATCTTCCAATGAAAACAAGACAGAAGCATTCTGAGAAACTTATTTGTGATGTGTGTCCTCAACAAACGGACTTGAACCTTTCGTTTCATGCAGTACTTCTGGAACACTCTTTTTGAAGATTCTGCATGCGGATATTTGGATAGCTTTGAGGATTTCGTTGGAAACGGGCTTACATGTAAAAATTAGACAGCAGCATTCTCAGAAACTTCTTTGTGGTGTCTGCATTCAAGTCACAGAATTGAACTTCCCCTCACATAGAGCAGTTGTGCAGCACTCTATTTGTAGTATCTCGAAGTGGACATTTGGAGGGCTTTGTAGCCTATCTGGAAAAAGGAAATATCTTCCCATGAATGCGAGATAGAAGTAATCTCAGAAACATGTTTATGCTGTATCTACTCAACTAACTGTGCTGAACATTTCTATTGATAGAGCAGTTTTGAGACACTCTTCTTTTGGAATCTGCAAGTGGATATTTGGATAGATTTGAGGATTTCGTTGGAAACGGGATTATATATCAAAAGTAGACAGCAGCATTCTCAGAAACTTCTTTGTGATGTTTGCATCCAGCTCTCAGAGTTGAACATTCCCTTTCATAGAGTAGGTTTGAAACCCTCTTTTTATAGTGTCTGGAAGCGGGCATTTGGAGCGCTTTCAGGCCTATGCTTAAAATAGGAAATATCTACCTACAGAAACTAGACAGAAGCATTCTGAGAATCACGTTTGTGATGTGGGTACTCAACTAACAGTGTTGATCCATTCTTTTGATACAGCAGTTTTGAACCACACTTTTTGTAGAATCTGCAAGAGGATATTTGGATAGCTGTGAGGATTTCGTTGGAAACGGGAATGTCTTGAAAGAAAATCTAGACAGAAGCATTCTCAGAAACACCTTCGTGATGTTTGCAATCAAGTCACAGAGTTGAACCTTCCGTTTCATAGAGCAGGTTGGAAACACTCTTATTGTAGTATCTGGAAGTGGACATTTGGAGCGCTTTCAGGCCTATGGTGAAAAAGGAAATATCTTCCCATAAAAACGACATAGAAGCTATCTCAGGAACTTGTTTATGATGCATCTAATCAACTAACAGTGTTGAACCTTTGTACTGACAGAGCAGTTTGAAACACTCCTTTTTTGGAATCTGCAAGTGGATATTTGGATCGCTTTGAGGATTTCGTTGGAAACGGGATGCAATATAAAACGTACACAGCAGCATACTCAGAAAATACTTTGCCATATTTCCATTCAAGTCACAGAGTGGAACATTCCCATTCATAGAGCAGGTTGGAAACACTCTTTTTGGAGTATCTGGAAGTGGACATTTGGAGCGCTTTCTGAACTATGGTGAAAAAGGAAATATCTTCCAATGAAAACAAGACAGAAGCATTCTGAGAAACTTATTTGTGATGTGTGTCCTCAACTAACGGACTTGAACCTTTCGCTTCATGCAGTACTTCTGGAACACTCTTTTTGAAGATTCTGCATGCGGATATTTGGATAGCTTTGAGGATTTCGTTGGAAACGGGCTTACATATAAAAATTAGACAGCAGCATTCTCAGAAACTTCTTTGTGGTGTCTGCATTCAAGTCACAGAATTGAACATCCCCTCACATAGAGCAGCTGTGCAGCACTCTATTTGTAGTATCTCGAAGTGGACATTTGGAGGGCTTTGTAGCCTATCTGGAAAAAGGAAATATCTTCCCATGAATGCGAGATAGAAGTAATCTCAGAAACATGTTTATGCTGTATCTACTCAACTAACTGTGCTGAACATTTCTATTGATAGAGCAGTTTTGAGACACTCTTCTTTTGGAATCTGCAAGTGGATATTTGGATAGATTTGAGGATTTCGTTGGAAACGGGATTATATATCAAAAGTAGACAGCAGCATTCTCAGAAACTTCTTTGTGATGTTTGCATCCAGCTCTCAGAGTTGAACATTCCCTTTCATAGAGTAGGTTTGAAACCCTCTTTTTATAGTGTCTGGAAGCGGGCATTTGGAGCGCTTTCAGGCCTATGCTGAAAAAGGAAATATCTACCTATAGAAACTAGACAGAAGCATTCTGAGAATCACGTTTGTGATGTGGGTACTCAACTAACAGTGTTGATCCATTCTTTTGATACAGCAGTTTTGAACCACACTTTTTGTAGAATCTGCAAGTGGATATTTGGATAGCTGTGAGGATTTCGTTGGAAACGGGAATGTCTTCATAGAAAATTTAGACAGAAGCATTCTCAGAACCTTGATTGTGATGTGTGTTCTCCACTAACAGAGTTGAACCTTTCTTTTGACAGAACTGTTCTGAAACATTCTTTTTATAGAATCTGGAAGTGGATATTTGGAAAGCTTTGAGGATTTCGTTGGAAACGGGAATATCTTCAAATAAAATCTAGCCAGAAGCATTCTAAGAAACATCTTAGGGATGTTTACATTCAAGTCACAGAGTTGAACATTCCCTTTCACAGAGCAGGTTTGAAACAATCTTCTCGTACTATCTGGCAGTGGACATTTTGAGCTCCTTGGGGCCTATGCTGAAAAAGGAAATATCTTCCGACAAAAACTAGACAGAAGCATTCGCAGAATCACGTTTGTGATGTGTGCACTCAACTGTCAGAATTGAACCTTGGTTTGGACAGAGCACTTTTGAAACACTCTTTTTGTAGAATCTGCAGGTGGATATTTGGCTAGCTTTGAGGATTTCGTTGGAAACGGTAATGTCTTCAAAGAAAATCTAGACAGAAGCATTCTCAGAAACACCTTCGTGATGTTTGCAATCAAGTCACAGAGTTGAACCTTCCGTTTCATAGAGCAGGTTGGAAACACTCTTTTTGTAGTATCTGGAAGTGGACATTTGGAGGGCTTTGTAGCCTATGTGGAAAAAGGAAATATCTTCCCATGAATGCGAGATAGAAGTAATCTCAGAAACATGTTTATGCTGTATCTACTCAACTAACTGTGCTGAACATTTCTATTGATAGAGCAGTTTTGAGACACTCTTCTTTTGGAATCTGCAAGTGGATATTTGGAGAGATTTGAGGATTTCGTTGGAAACGGGATTATATATAAAAAGTAGACAGCAGCATTCTCAGAAACTTCTTTGTGATGTTTGCATCCAGCTCTCAGAGTTGAACATTCCCTTTCATAGAGTAGGTTTGAAACCCTCTTTTTATAGTGTCTGGAAGCGGGCATTTGGAGCGCTTTCAGGCCTATGCTTAAAATAGGAAATATCTACCTACAGAAACTAGACAGAAGCATTCTGAGAATCACGTTTGTGATGTGGGTACTCAACTAACAGTGTTGATCCATTCTTTTGATACAGCAGTTTTGAACCACACTTTTTGTAGAATCTGCAAGAGGATATTTGGATAGCTGTGAGGATTTCGTTGGAAACGGGGATGTCTTCAAAGAAAATCTAGACAGAAGCATTCTCAGAAACACCTTCGTGATGTTTGCAATCAAGTCACAGAGTTGAACCTTCCGTTTCATAGAGCAGGTTGGAAACACTCTTATTGTAGTATCTGGAAGTGGACATTTGGAGCGCTTTCAGGCCTATGGTGAAAAAGGAAATATCTTCCCATAAAAACGACATAGAAGCTATCTCAGGAACTTGTTTATGATGCATCTAATCAACTAACAGTGTTGAACCTTTGTACTGACAGAGCAGTTTGAAACACTCTTTTTTTGGAATCTGCAAGTGGATATTTGGATCGCTTTGAGGATTTCGTTGGAAACGGGATGCAATATAAAACGTACACAGCAGCATACTCAGAAAATACTTTGCCATATTTCCATTCAAGTCAGAGAGTGGAACATTCCCATTCATAGAGCAGGTTTGAAACACTCTTTTTGGAGTATCTGGAAGTGGACATTTGGAGCGCTTTCTGAACTATGGTGAAAAAGGAAATATCTTCCAATGAAAACAAGACAGAAGCATTCTGAGAAACTTATTTGTGATGTGTGTCCTCAACAAACGGACTTGAACCTTTCGTTTCATGCAGTACTTCTGGAACACTCTTTTTGAAGATTCTGCATGCGGATATTTGGATAGCTTTGAGGATTTCGTTGGAAACGGGCTTACATGTAAAAATAGACAGCAGCATTCTCAGAAACTTCTTTGTGGTGTCTGCATTCAAGTCACAGAATTGAACTTCCCCTCACATAGAGCAGTTGTGCAGCACTCTATTTGTAGTATCTGGAAGTGGACATTTGGAGGGCTTTGTAGCCTATCTGGAAAAAGGAAATATCTTCCCATGAATGCGAGATAGAAGTAATCTGAGAAACATGTTTATGCTGTATCTACTCAACTAACTGTGCTGAACATTTCTATTGATAGAGCAGTTTTGAGACACTCTTCTTTTGGAATCTGCAAGTGGATATTTGGATAGATTTGAGGATTTCGTTGGAAACGGGATTATATATAAAAAGTAGACAGCAGCATTCTCAGAAACTTCTTTGTGATGTTTGCATCCAGCTCTCAGAGTTGAACATTCCCTTTCATAGAGTAGGTTTGAAACCCTCTTTTTATAGTGTCTGGAAGCGGGCATTTGGAGCGCTTTCAGGCCTATGCTTAAAATAGGAAATATCTACCTACAGAAACTAGACAGAAGCATTCTGAGAATCACGTTTGTGATGTGGGTACTCAACTAACAGTGTTGATCCATTCTTTTGATACAGCAGTTTTGAACCACACTTTTTGTAGAATCTGCAAGAGGATATTTGGATAGCTGTGAGGATTTCGTTGGAAACGGGGATGTCTTCAAAGAAAATCTAGACAGAAGCATTCTCAGAAACACCTTCGTGATGTTTGCAATCAAGTCACAGAGTTGAACCTTCCGTTTCATAGAGCAGGTTGGAAACACTCTTATTGTAGTATCTGGAAGTGGACATTTGGAGCGCTTTCAGGCCTATGGTGAAAAAGGAAATATCTTCCCATAAAAACGACATAGAAGCTATCTCAGGAACTTGTTTATGATGCATCTAATCAACTAACAGTGTTGAACCTTTGTACTGACAGAGCAGTTTGAAACACTCTTTTTTTGGAATCTGCAAGTGGATATTTGGATCGCTTTGAGGATTTCGTTGGAAACGGGATGCAATATAAAACGTACACAGCAGCATACTCAGAAAATACTTTGCCATATTTCCATTCAAGTCACAGAGTGGAACATTCCCATTCATAGAGCAGGTTTGAAACACTCTTTTTGGAGTATCTGGAAGTGGACATTTGGAGCGCTTTCTGAACTATGGTGAAAAAGGAAATATCTTCCAATGAAAACAAGACAGAAGCATTCTGAGAAACTTATTTGTGATGTGTGTCCTCAACAAACGGACTTGAACCTTTCGTTTCATGCAGTACTTCTGGAACACTCTTTTTGAAGATTCTGCATGCGGATATTTGGATAGCTTTGAGGATTTCGTTGGAAACGGGCTTACATGTAAAAATTAGACAGCAGCATTCTCAGAAACTTCTTTGTGGTGTCTGCATTCAAGTCACAGAATTGAACTTCCCCTCACATAGAGCAGTTGTGCAGCACTCTATTTGTAGTATCTGGAAGTGGACATTTGGAGGGCTTTGTAGCCTATCTGGAAAAAGGAAATATCTTCCCATGAATGCGAGATAGAAGTAATCTCAGAAACATGTTTATGCTGTATCTACTCAACTAACTGTGCTGAACATTTCTATTGATAGAGCAGTTTTGAGACACTCTTCTTTAGGAATCTGCAAGTGGATATTTGGATAGATTTGAGGATTTCGTTGGAAACGGGATTATATATCAAAAGTAGACAGCAGCATTCTCAGAAACTTCTTTGTGATGTTTGCATCCAGCTCTCAGAGTTGAACATTCCCTTTCATAGAGTAGGTTTGAAACCCTCTTTTTATAGTGTCTGGAAGCGGGCATTTGGAGCGCTTTCAGGCCTATGCTGAAAAGGAAATATCTACCTATGGAAACTAGACAGAAGCATTCTGAGAATCACGTTTGTGATGTGGGTACTCAACTAACAGTGTTGATCCATTCTTTTGATACAGCAGTTTTGAACCACACTTTTTGTAGAATCTGCAAGTGGATATTTGGATAGCTGTGAGGATTTCGTTGGAAACGGGAATGTCTTCATAGAAAATTTAGACAGAAGCATTCTCTGAACCTTGATTGTGATGTGTGTTCTCCACTAACAGAGTTGAACCTTTCTTTTGACAGAACTGTTCTGAAACATTCTTTTTATAGAATCTGGAAGTGGATATTTGGAAAGCTTTGAGGATTTCGTTGGAAACGGGAATATCTTCAAATAAAATCTAGCCAGAAGCATTCTAAGAAACATCTTAGGGATGTTTACATTCAAGTCACAGAGTTGAACATTCCCTTTCACAGAGCAGGTTTGAAACAATCTTCTCGTACTATCTGGCAGTGGACATTTTGAGCTCCTTGGGGCCTATGCTGAAAAAGGAAATATCTTCCGACAAAAACTAGACAGAAGCATTCGCAGAATCACGTTTGTGATGTGTGCACTCAACTGTCAGAATTGAACCTTGGTTTGGAGAGAGCACTTTTGAAACACTCTTTTTGTAGAATCTGCAGGTGGATATTTGGCTAGCTTTGAGGATTTCGTTGGAAACGGTAATGTCTTCAAAGAAAATCTAGACAGAAGCATTCTCAGAAACAGCGTCGTGATGTTTGCAATCAAGTCACAGAGTTGAACCTTCCGTTTCATAGAGCAGGTTGGAAACACTCTTTTTGTAGTATCTGGAAGTGGACATTTGGAGGGCTTTGTAGCCTATCCGGAAAAAGGAAATATCTTCCCATGAATGCGAGATAGAAGTAATCTCAGAAACATGTTTATGCTGTATCTACTCAACTAACTGTGCTGAACATTTCTATTGATAGAGCAGTTTTGAGACACTCTTCTTTTGGAATCTGCAAGTGGATATTTGGATAGATTTGAGGATTTCGTTGGAAACGGGATTATATATAAAAAGTAGACAGCAGCATTCTCAGAAACTTCTTTGTGATGTTTGCATCCAGCTCTCAGAGTTGAACATTCCCTTTCATAGAGTAGGTTTGAAACCCTCTTTTTATAGTGTCTGGAAGCGGGCATTTGGAGCGCTTTCAGGCCTATGCTGAAAAAGGAAATATCTACCTATAGAAACTAGACAGAAGCATTCTGAGAATCACGTTTGTGATGTGGGTACTCAACTAACAGTGTTGATCCATTCTTTTGATACAGCAGTTTTGAACCACACTTTTTGTAGAATCTGCAAGTGGATATTTGGATAGCTGTGAGGATTTCGTTGGAAACGGGAATGTCTTCATAGAAAATTTAGACAGAAGCATTCTCAGAACCTTGATTGTGATGTGTGTTCTCCACTAACAGAGTTGAACCTTTCTTTTGACAGAACTGTTCTGAAACATTCTTTTTATAGAATCTGGAAGTGGATATTTGGAAAGCTTTGAGGATTTCGTTGGAAACGGGAATATCTTCAAATAAAATCTAGCCAGAAGCATTCTAAGAAACATCTTAGGGATGTTTACATTCAAGTCACAGAGTTGAACATTCCCTTTCACAGAGCAGGTTTGAAACAATCTTCTCGTACTATCTGGCAGTGGACATTTTGAGCTCCTTGGGGCCTATGCTGAAAAAGGAAATATCTTCCGACAAAAACTAGACAGAAGCATTCGCAGAATCACGTTTGTGATGTGTGCACTCAACTGTCAGAATTGAACCTTGGTTTGGACAGAGCACTTTTGAAACACTCTTTTTGTAGAATCTGCAGGTGGATATTTGGCTAGCTTTGAGGATTTCGTTGGAAACGGTAATGTCTTCAAAGAAAATCTAGACAGAAGCATTCTCAGAAACACCTTCGTGATGTTTGCAATCAAGTCACAGACTTGAACCTTCCGTTTCATAGAGCAGGTTGGAAACACTCTTTTTGTAGTATCTGGAAGTGGACATTTGGAGGGCTTTGTAGCCTATCTGGAAAAAGGAAATATCTTCCCATGAATGCGAGATAGAAGTAATCTCAGAAACATGTTTATGCTGTATCTACTCAACTAACTGTGCTGAACATTTCTATTGATAGAGCAGTTTTGAGACACTCTTCTTTTGGAATCTGCAAGTGGATATTTGGATAGATTTGAGGATTTCGTTGGAAACGGGATTATATATCAAAAGTAGACAGCAGCATTCTCAGAAACTTCTTTGTGATGTTTGCATCCAGCTCTCAGAGTTGAACATTCCCTTTCGTAGAGTAGGTTTGAAACCCTCTTTTTATAGTGTCTGGAAGCGGGCATTTGGAGCGCTTTCAGGCCTATGCTGAAAAAGGAAATATCTACCTATAGAAACTAGACAGAAGCATTCTGAGAATCACGTTGGTGATGTGGGTACTCAACTAACAGTGTTGATCCATTCTTTTGATACAGCAGTTTTGAACCACACTTTTTGTAGAATCTGCAAGTGGATATTTGGATAGCTGTGAGGATTTCCTTGGAAACGGGAATGTCTTCATAGAAAATTTAGACAGAAGCATTCTCAGAACCTTGATTGTGATGTGTGTTCTCCACTAACAGAGTTGAACCTTTCTTTTGACAGAACTGTTCTGAAACATTCTTTTTATAGAATCTGGAAGTGGATATTTGGAAAGCTTTGAGGATTTCGTTGGAAACGGGAATATCTTCAAATAAAATCTAGCCAGAAGCATTCTAAGAAACATCTTAGGGATGTGTACATTCAAGTCACAGAGTTGAACATTCCCCTTTCTCAGAGCAGGTTTGAAACAATCTTCTCGTACTATCTGGCAGTGGACATTTTGAGCTCCTTGGGGCCTATGCTGAAAAAGGAAATATCTTCCGACAAAAACTAGACAGAAGCATTCGCAGAATCACGTTTGTGATGTGTGCACTCAACTGTCAGAATTGAACCTTTGTTTGGACAGAGCACTTTTGAAACACTCTTTTTGTAGAATCTGCAGGTGGATATTTGGCTAGCTTTGAGGATTTCGTTGGAAACGGTAATGTCTTCAAAGAAAATCTAGACAGAAACATCCTCAGAAACATCTTCGTGATGTTTGCAATCAAGTCACAGAGTTGAACCTTCCGTTTCATAGAGCAGGTTGGAAACACTCTTTTTGTAGTATCTGGAAGTGGACATTTGGAGCGCTTTCAGGCCTATGGTGAAAAAGGAAATATCTTCCCATAAAAACGACATAGAAGCTATCTCAGGAACTTGTTTATGATGCATCTAATCAACTAACAGTGTTGAACCTTTGTACTGACAGAGCAGTTTGAAACACTCTTTTTTTGGAATCTGCAAGTGGATATTTGGATCGCTTTGAGGATTTCGTTGGAAACGGGATGCAATATAAATCGTACACAGCAGCATACTCAGAAAATACTTTGCCATATTTCCATTCAAGTCACAGAGTGGAACATTCCCATTCATAGAGCAGGTTGGAAACACTCTTTTTGTAGTATCTGGAAGTGGACATTTGGAGCGCTTTCTTACCTGTGGTGAAAAAGGAAATATCTTCCCATAAAAACAAGACAGAAGCATTCTCAGAAACTTTTTTGTGATGTGTGTCCTCAACTAACGGACTTGAACCTTTCTTTTCATGCAGTACTTCTGGAACACTCTTTTTGAAGATTCTGCATGTGGATATTTGGATGGCTTTGAGGATTTCGTTGTAAACGGGATTACATATAAAAAGTAGACAGCAGCATTCAGAAACTTCTTTGTGGTGTCTGCATTCAAGTCACAGAATTGAACATCCCCTCACATAGAGCAGTTGTGAAGCACTCCATTTGTAGTATCTCGAAGTGGATATTTGGAGGGCTTTGTAGCCTATCTGGAAAAAGAAAATATCTTCCCATGAATGCGAGATAGAAGCAATCTCAGAAACTTGTTTATGCTGTATCTACTCAACTAACTGTGCTGAACCTTTCTATTGATAGAGCAGTTTTGAGACACTCTTCTTTTGGAATCTGCAAGTGGATATATGGATAGATTTGAGGATTTCGTTGGAAACGGGATTACATATAAAAAGTAGACAGCAGTATTCTCAGAAACTTCTTTGTGATGTTTGCATCCAGCTCTCAGAGTTGAACATTCCCTTTCATAGAGTAGGTTTGAAACCCTCTTTTTATAGTGTCTGGAAGCGGGCAATTGGAGCGCTTTCAGGCCTATGCTGAAAAAGGAAATTACCCATAGAAACTAGACAGAAGCATTCTGAGAATCACGTTTGTGATGTGTGTACTCAACTAAGAGAGTTGAACCATTCTTTTGATACAGTAGTTTTGAAAAACTGTTTTTGTAGAATCTGCAAGTGGATATTTGGACGTCTTTGATGCCTTCATTGGAAACGGTATTCCTTCATATGAAAGATAAACAGAAGAATTCTCCGAAACTTCTTTGTGATGTGTGCATTCTACTCAAAGAGTTGAACATTCCTTTCTATATAGAAGTTTTTAAACACTCTTTTTCTAGAATTTCCAAGTGGATATTTAGTGCGCTTTGAGGCCTATGTTAGAAAATGAAATGTCTTCATATAAAAAATAGAGATAAGCATTCTCAGAAACTTCTTTGTGATGTTTGCATCCAGCTCTCAGAGTTGAACATTCCCTTTCATAGAGTAGGTTTGAAACCCTCTTTTTATAGTGTCTGGAAGCGGGCATTTGTAGCGCTTTCAGGCCTATGCTTAAAATAGGAAATATCTACCTACAGAAACTAGACAGGAAGCATTCTGAGAATCACGTTTGTGATGTGGGTACTCAACTAACAGTGTTGATCCATTCTTTTGATACAGCAGTTTTGAACCACACTTTTTGTAGAATCTGCAAGTGGATATTTGGATAGCTGTGAGGATTTCGTTGGAAACGGGAATGTCTTCATAGAAAATTTAGACAGAAGCATTCTCAGAACCTTGATTGTGATGTGTGTTCTCCACTAACAGAGTTGAACCTTTCTTTTGACAGAACTGTTCTGAAACATTCTTTTTATAGAATCTGGAAGTGGATATTTGGAAAGCTTTGAGGATTTCGTTGGAAACGGGAATATCTTCAAATCAAATCTAGCCAGAAGCATACTCAGAAAATACTTTGCCATATTTCCATTCAAGTCACAGAGTGGAACATTCCCATTCATAGAGCAGGTTTGACACACTCTTTTTGTAGTATCTGGAAGTGGACATTTGGAGCGGTTTCTGAACTATGGTGAAAAAGGAAATATCTTCCAATGAAAACAAGACAGAAGCATTCTGAGAAACTTATTTGTGATGTGTGTCCTGAACTAACGGACTTGAACCTTTCGTTTCATGCAGTACTTCTGGAACACTCTTTTTGAAGATTCTGCATGCGGATATTTGGATAGCTTTGAGGATTTCGTTCGAAACGGCCTTAAATATAAAAATTAGACAGCAGCATTCTCAGAAACTTCTTTGTGGTGTCTGCATCCAAGTCACAGAATTGAACATCCCCTCACATAGAGCAGTTGTGCAGCATGCTATTTGTAGTATCTCGAAGTGGACATTTGGAGGGCTTTGTAGCCTATCTGGAAAAAGGAAATATCTTCCCATGAATGCGAGATAGAAGTAGTCTCAGAAACATGTTTATGCTGTATCTACTCAACTAACTGTGCTGAACATTTCTATTGATAGAGCAGTTTTGAGACACTCTTCTTTTGGAATCTGCAAGTGGATATTTGGATAGATTTGAGGATTTCGTTGGAAACGGGATTATATATACAAAGTAGACAGCAGCATTCTCAGAAACTTCTTTGTGATGTTTGCATCCAGCTCTCAGAGTTGAACATTCCCTTTCGTAGAGTAGGTTTGAAACCCTCTTTTTATAGTGTCTGGAAGCGGGCATTTGGAGCGCTTTCAGGCCTATGCTGAAAAAGGAAATATCTACCTATAGAAACTAGACTGAAGCATTCTGAGAATCACGTTTGTGATGTGGGTACTCAACTAACAGTGTTGATCCATTCTTTTGATACAGCAGTTTTGAACCACACTTTTTGTAGAATCTGCAAGTGGATATTTGGATAGCTGTGAGGATTTCGTTGGAAACGGGAATGTCTTCATAGAAAATTTAGACAGAAGCATTCTCAGAACCTTGATTGTGATGTGTGTTCTCCACTAACAGAGTTGAACCTTTCTTTTGACAGAACTGTTCTGAAACATTCTTGTTATAGAATCTGGAAGTGGATATTTGGAAAGCTTTGAGGATTTCGTTGGAAACGGGAATATCTTCAAATCAAATCTAGCCAGAAGCATTCTAAGAAACATCTTAGGGATGTTTACATTCAAGTCACAGAGTTGAACATTCCCTTTCACAGAGCAGGTTTGAAACAATCTTCTCGTACTATCTGGCAGTGGACATTTTGAGCTCCTTGGGGCCTATGCTGAAAAAGGAAATATCTTCCGACAAAAACTAGACAGAAGCATTCGCAGAATCACGTTTGTGATGTGTGCACTCAACTGTCAGAATTGAACCTTGGTTTGGACAGAGCACTTTTGAAACACTCTTTTTGTAGAATCTGCAGGTGGATATTTGGCTAGCTTTGAGGATTTCGTTGGAAACGGTAATGTCTTCAAAGAAAATCTAGACAGAAGCATTCTCAGAAACACCTTCGTGATGTTTGCAATCAAGTCACAGAGTTGAACCTTCCGTTTCATAGAGCAGGTTGGAAACACTCTTTTTGTAGTATCTGGAAGTGGACATTTGGAGGGCTTTGTAGCCTATCTGGAAAAAGGAAATATCTTCCCATGAATGCGAGATAGAAGTAATCTCAGAAACATGTTTATGCTGTATCTACTCAACTAACTGTGCTGAACATTTCTATTGATAGAGCAGTTTTGAGACACTCTTCTTTTGGAATCTGCAAGTGGATATTTGGATAGATTTGAGGATTTCGTTGGAAACGGGATTATATATCAAAAGTAGACAGCAGCATTCTCAGAAACTTCTTTGTGATGTTTGCATCCAGCTCTCAGAGTTGAACATTCCCTTTCATAGAGTAGGTTTGAAACCCTCTTTTTATAGTGTCTGGAAGCGGGCATTTGGAGCGCTTTCGGGCCTATGCTGAAAAAGGAAATATCTACCTATAGAAACTAGACAGAAGCATTCTGAGAATCACGTTTGTGATGTGGGTACTCAACTAACAGTGTTGATCCATTCTTTTGATACAGCAGTTTTGAACCACACTTTTTGTAGAATCTGCAAGTGGATATTTGGATAGCTGTGAGGATTTCGTTGGAAACGGGAATGTCTTCATAGAAAATTTAGACAGAAGCATTCTCAGAACCTTGATTGTGATGTGTGTTCTCCACTAACAGCAGTTGAACCTTTCTTTTGACAGAACTGTTCTGAAACATTCTTTTTATAGAATCTGGAAGTGGATATTTGGAAAGCTTTGAGGATTTCGTTGGAAACGGGAATATCTTCAAATGAAATCTAGCCAGAAGCATTCTAAGAAACATCTTAGGGATGTTTACATTCAAGTCACAGAGTTGAACATTCCCTTTCACAGAGCAGGTTTGAAACAATCTTCTCGTACTATCTGGCAGTGGACATTTTGAGCTCCTTGGGGCCTATGCTGAAAAAGGAAATATCTTCCGACAAAAACTAGACAGAAGCATTCGCAGAATCACGTTTGTGATGTGTGCACTCAACTGTCAGAATTGAACCTTGGTTTGGACAGAGCACTTTTGAAACACTCTTTTTGTAGAATCTGCAGGTGGATATTTGGCTAGCTTTGAGGATTTCGTTGGAAACGGTAATGTCTTCAAAGAAAATCTAGACAGAAGCATTCTCAGAAACACCTTCGTGATGTTTGCAATCAAGTCACAGAGTTGAACCTTCCGTTTCATAGAGCAGGTTGGAAACACTCTTTTTGTAGTATCTGGAAGTGGACATTTGGAGGGCTTTGTAGCCTATCTGGAAAAAGGAAATATCTTCCCATGAATGCGAGATAGAAGTAATCTCAGAAACATGTTTATGCTGTATCTACTCAACTAACTGTGCTGAACATTTCTATTGATAGAGCAGTTTTGAGACACTCTTCTTTTGGAATCTGCAAGTGGATATTTGGATAGATTTGAGGATTTCGTTGGAAACGGGATTATATATAAAAAGTAGACAGCAGCATTCTCAGAAACTTCTTTGTGATGTTTGCATCCAGCTCTCAGAGTTGAACATTCCCTTTCATAGAGTAGGTTTGAAACCCTCTTTTTATAGTGTCTGGAAGCGGGCATTTGGAGCGCTTTCAGGCCTATGCTGAAAAAGGAAATATCTACCTATAGAAACTAGACAGAAGCATTCTGAGAATCACGTTTGTGATGTGGGTACTCAACTAACAGTGTTGATCCATTCTTTTGATACAGCAGTTTTGAACCACACTTTTTGTAGAATCTGCAAGTGGATATTTGGATAGCTGTGAGGATTTCGGTGGAAACGGGAATGTCTTCATAGAAAATTTAGACAGAAGCATTCTCAGAACCTTGATTGTGATGTGTGTTCTCCACTAACAGAGTTGAACCTTTCTTTTGACAGAACTGTTCTGAAACATTCTTTTTATAGAATCTGGAAGTGGATATTTGGAAAGCTTTGAGGATTTCGTTGGAAACGGGAATATCTTCAAATAAAATCTAGCCAGAAGCATTCTAAGAAACATCTTAGGGATGTTTACATTCAAGTCACAGAGTTGAACATTCCCTTTCACAGAGCAGGTTTGAAACAATCTTCTCGTACTATCTGGCAGTGGACATTTTGAGCTCCTTGGGGCCTATGCTGAAAAAGGAAATATCTTCCGACAAAAACTAGACAGAAGCATTCGCAGAATCACGTTTGTGATGTGTGCACTCAACTGTCAGAATTGAACCTTGGTTTGGACAGAGCACTTTTGAAACACTCTTTTTGTAGAATCTGCAGGTGGATATTTGGCTAGCTTTGAGGATTTCGTTGGAAACGGTAATGTCTTCAAAGAAAATCTAGACAGAAGCATTCTCAGAAACACCTTCGTGATGTTTGCAATCAAGTCACAGAGTTGAACCTTCCGTTTCATAGAGCAGGTTGGAAACACTCTTTTTGTAGTATCTGGAAGTGGACATTTGGAGGGCTTTGTAGCCTATCTGGAAAAAGGAAATATCTTCCCATGAATGCGAGATAGAAGTAATCTCAGAAACATGTTTATGCTGTATCTACTCAACTAACTGTGCTGAACATTTCTATTGATAGAGCAGTTTTGAGACACTCTTCTTTTGGAATCTGCAAGTGGATATTTGGATAGATTTGAGGATTTCGTTGGAAACGGGATTATATATAAAAAGTAGACAGCAGCATTCTCAGAAACTTCTTTGTGATGTTTGCATCCAGCTCTCAGAGTTGAACATTCCCTTTCATAGAGTAGGTTTGAAACCCTCTTTTTATAGTGTCTGGAAGCGGGCATTTGGAGCGCTTTCGGGCCTATGCTGAAAAAGGAAATATCTACCTATAGAAACTAGACAGAAGCATTCTGAGAATCACGTTTGTGATGTGGGTACTCAACTAACAGTGTTGATCCATTCTTTTGATACAGCAGTTTTGAACCACACTTTTTGTAGAATCTGCAAGTGGATATTTGGATAGCTGTGAGGATTTCGTTGGAAACGGGAATGTCTTCATAGAAAATTTAGACAGAAGCATTCTCAGAACCTTGATTGTGATGTGTGTTCTCCACTAACAGAGTTGAACCTTTCTTTTGACAGAACTGTTCTGAAACATTCTTTTTATAGAATCTGGAAGTGGATATTTGGAAAGCTTTGAGGATTTCGTTGGAAACGGGAATATCTTCAAATCAAATCTAGCCAGAAGCATTCTAAGAAACATCTTAGGGATGTTTACATTCAAGTCACAGGGTTGAACATTCCCTTTCACAGAGCAGGTTTGAAACAATCTTCTCGTACTATCTGGAAGTGGACATTTTGAGCTCCTTGGGGCCTATGCTGAAAAAGGAAATATCTTCCGACAAAAACTAGACAGAAGCATTCGCAGAATCACGTTTGTGATGTGTGCACTCAACTGTCAGAATTGAACCTTGGTTTGGACAGAGCACTTTTGAAACACTCTTTTTGTAGAATCTGCAGGTGGATATTTGGCTAGCTTTGAGGATTTCGTTGGAAACGGTAATGTCTTCAAAGAAAATCTAGACAGAAACATTCTCAGAAACACCTTCGTGATGTTTGCAATCAAGTCACAGAGTTGAACCTTCCGTTTCATAGAGCAGGTTGGAAACACTCTTTTTGTAGTATCTGGAAGTGGACATTTGGAGCGCTTTCAGGCCTATGGTGAAAAAGGAAATATCTTCCCATAAAAACGACATAGAAGCTATCTCAGGAACTTGTTTATGATGCATCCAATCAACTAACAGTGTTGAACCTTTGTACTGACAGAGCAGTGTGAAACACTCTTTTTTTTGGAATCTGCAAGTGGATATTTGGATCGCTTTGAGGATTTCGTTGGAAACGGGATGCAATATAAAACGTACACAGCAGCATACTCAGAAAATACTTTGCCATATTTCCATTCAAGTCACAGAGAGGAACATTCCCATTCATAGAGCAGGTTGGAAGCACTCCTTTTGTAGTATCTCGAAGTGGACATTTGGAGCGCTTTCTGAACTATGGTGAAAAAGGAAATATCTTCCAATGAAAACAAGACAGAAGCATTCTGAGAAACTTATTTGTGATGTGTGTCCTCAACTAACGGACTTGAACCTTTCGTTTCATGCAGTACTTCTGGAACACTCTTTTTGAAGATTCTGCATGCGGATATTTGGATAGCTTTGAGGATTTCGTTGGAAACGGGCTTACATATAAAAATTAGACAGCAGCATTCTCAGAAACTTCTTTGTGGTGTCTGCATTCAAGTCACAGAATTGAACATCCCCTCACATAGAGCAGCTGTGCAGCACTCTATTTGTAGTATCTCGAAGTGGACATTTGGAGGGCTTTGTAGCCTATCTGGAAAAAGGAAATATCTTCCCATGAATGCGAGATAGAAGTAATCTCAGAAACAGGTTTATGCTGTATCTACTCAACTAACTGTGCTGAACATTTCTATTGATAGAGCAGTTTTGAGACACTCTTCTTTTGGAATCTGCAAGTGGATATTTGGATAGATTTGAGGATTTCGTTGGAAACGGGATTATATATCAAAAGTAGACAGCAGCATTCTCAGAAACTTCTTTGTGATGTTTGCATCCAGCTCTCAGAGTTGAACATTCCCTTTCATAGAGTAGGTTTGAAACCCTCTTTTTATAGTGTCTGGAAGCGGGCATTTGGAGCGCTTTCAGGCCTATGCTGAAAAAGGAAATATCTACCTATAGAAACTAGACAGAAGCATTCTGAGAATCACGTTTGTGATGTGGGTACTCAACTAACAGTGTTGATCCATTCTTTTGATACAGCAGTTTTGAACCACACTTTTTGTAGAATCTGCAAGTGGATATTTGGATAGCTGTGAGGATTTCGTTGGAAACGGGAATGTCTTCATAGAAAATTTAGACAGAAGCATTCTCAGAACCTTGATTGTGATGTGTGTTCTCCACTAACAGAGTTGAACCTTTCTTTTGACAGAACTGTTCTGAAACATTCTTTTTATAGAATCTGGAAGTGGATATTTGGAAAGCTTTGAGGATTTCGTTGGAAACGGGAATATCTTCAAATCAAATCTAGCCAGAAGCATTCTAAGAAACATCTTAGGGATGTTTACATTCAAGTCACAGAGTTGAACATTCCCTTTCACAGAGCAGGTTTGAAACAATCTTCTCGTACTATCTGGCAGTGGACATTTTGAGCTCCTTGGGGCCTATGCTGAAAAAGGAAATATCTTCCGACAAAAACTAGACAGAAGCATTCGCAGAATCACGTTTGTGATGTGTGCACTCAACTGTCAGAATTGAACCTTGGTTTGGACAGAGCACTTTTGAAACACTCTTTTTGTAGAATCTGCAGGTGGATATTTGGCTAGCTTTGAGGATTTCGTTGGAAACGGTAATGTCTTCAAAGAAAATCTAGACAGAAGCATTCTCAGAAACACCTTCGTGATGTTTGCAATCAAGTCACAGAGTTGAACCTTCCGTTTCATAGAGCAGGTTGGAAACACTCTTTTTGTAGTATCTGGAAGTGGACATTTGGAGGGCTTTGTAGCCTATCTGGAAAAAGGAAATATCTTCCCATGAATGCGAGATAGAAGTAATCTCAGAAACACGTTTATGCTGTATCTACTCAACTAACTGTGCTGAACATTTCTATTGATAGAGCAGTTTTGAGACACTCTTCTTTTGGAATCTGCAAGTGGATATTTGGATAGATTTGAGGATTTCGTTGGAAACGGGATTATATATAAAAAGTAGACAGCAGCATTCTCAGAAACTTCTTTGTGATGTTTGCATCCAGCTCTCAGAGTTGAACATTCCCTTTCATAGAGTAGGTTTGAAACCCTCTTTTTATAGTGTCTGGAAGCGGGCATTTGGAGCGCTTTCAGGCCTATGCTTAAAATAGGAAATATCTACCTACAGAAACTAGACAGAAGCATTCTGAGAATCACGTTTGTGATGTGGGTACTCAACTAACAGTGTTGATCCATTCTTTTGATACAGCAGTTTTGAACCACACTTTTTGTAGAATCTGCAAGAGGATATTTGGATAGCTGTGAGGATTTCGTTGGAAACGGGAATGTCTTCAAAGAAAATCTAGACAGAAGCATTCTCAGAAACACCTTCGTGATGTTTGCAATCAAGTCACAGAGTTGAACCTTCCGTTTCATAGAGCAGGTTGGAAACACTCTTTTTGTAGTATCTGGAAGTGGACATTTGGAGCGCTTTCAGGCCTATGGTGAAAAAGGAAATATCTTCCCATAAAAACGACATAGAAGCTATCTCAGGAACTTGTTTATGATGCATCTAATCAACTAACAGTGTTGAACCTTTGTACTGACAGAGCAGTTTGAAACACTCTTTTTTTGGAATCTGCAAGTGGATATTTGGATCACTTTGAGGATTTCGTTGGAAACGGGAGGCAATATAAAACGTACACAGCAGCATACTCAGAAAATTCTTTGCCATATTTCCATTCAAGTCACAGAGTGGAACATTCCCATTCATAGAGCAGGTTGGAAACACTCTTTTTGGAGTATCTGGAAGTGGACATTTGGAGCGCTTTCTGAACTATGGTGAAAAAGGAAATATCTTCCAATAAAAACAAGACAGAAGCATTCTGAGAAACTTATTTGTGATGTGTGTCCTCAACAAACGGACTTGAACCTTTCGTTTCATGCAGTACTTCTGGAACACTCTTTTTGAAGATTCTGCATGCGGATATTTGGATAGCTTTGAGGATTTCGTTGGAAACGGGCTTACATGTAAAAATTAGACAGCAGCATTCTCAGAAACTTCTTTGTGGTGTCTGCATTCAAGTCACAGAATTGAACATCCCCTCACATAGAGCAGTTGTGCAGCACTCTATTTGTAGTATCTGGAAGTGGACATTTGGAGGGCTTTGTAGCCTATCTGGAAAAAGGAAATATCTTCCCATGAATGCGAGATAGATGTAATCTCAGAAACATGTTTATGCTGTATCTACTCAACTAACTGTGCTGAACATTTCTATTGATAGAGCAGTTTTGAGACACTCTTCTTTTGGAATCTGCAAGTGGATATTTGGATAGATTTGAGGATTTCGTTGGAAACGGGATTATATATAAAAAGTAGACAGCAAGCATTCTCAGAAACTTCTTTGTGATGTTTGCATCCAGCTCTCAGAGTTGAACATTCCCTTTCATAGAGTAGGTTTGAAACCCTCTTCTTATAGTGTCTGGAAGCGGGCATTTGGAGCGCTTTCAGGCCTATGCTTAAAATAGGAAATATCTACCTACAGAAACTAGACAGAAGCATTCTGAGAATCACGTTTGTGATGTGGGTACTCAACTAACAGTGTTGATCCATTCTTTTCATACAGCAGTTTTGAACCACACTTTTTGTAGAATCTGCAAGAGGATATTTGGATAGCTGTGAGGATTTCGTTGGAAACGGGAATGTCTTCAAAGAAAATCTAGACAGAAGCATTCTCAGAAACACCTTCGTGATGTTTGCAATCAAGTCACAGAGTTGAACCTTCCGTTTCATAGAGCAGGTTGGAAACACTCTTATTGTAGTATCTGGAAGTGGACATTTGGAGCGCTTTCAGGCCTATGGTGAAAAAGGAAATATCTTCCCATAAAAACGACATAGAAGCTATCTCAGGAACTTGTTTATGATGCATCTAATCAACTAACAGTGTTGAACCTTTGTACTGACAGAGCAGTTTGAAACACTCTTTTTTTGGAATCTGCAAGTGGATATTTGGATCGCTTTGAGGATTTCGTTGGAAACGGGATGCAATATAAAACGTACACAGCAGCATACTCAGAAAATACTTTGCCATATTTCCATTCAAGTCAGAGAGTGGAACATTCCCATTCATAGAGCAGGTTTGAAACACTCTTTTTGGAGTATCTGGAAGTGGACATTTGGAGCGCTTTCTGAACTATGGTGAAAAAGGAAATATCTTCCAATGAAAACAAGACAGAAGCATTCTGAGAAACTTATTTGTGATGTGTGTCCTCAACTAACGGACTTGAACCTTTCGTTTCATGCAGTATTTCTGGAACACTCTTTTTGAAGATTCTGCATGCGGATATTTGGATAGCTTTGAGGATTTCTTTGGAAACGGGCTTACATATAAAAATTAGACAGCAGCATTCTCAGAAACTTCTTTGTGGTGTCTGCATTCAAGTCACAGAATTGAACATCCCCTCACATAGAGCAGTTGTGCAGCACTCTATTTGTAGTATCTCGAAGTGGACATTTGGAGGGCTTTGTAGCCTATCTGGAAAAAGGAAATATCTTCCCATGAATGCGAGATAGAAGTAATCTCAGAAACATGTTTATGCTGTATCTACTCAACTAACTGTGCTGAACATTTCTATTGATAGAGCAGTTTTGAGACACTCTTCTTTTGGAATCTGCAAGTGGATATTTGGATAGATTTGAGGATTTCGTTGGCAACGGGATTATATATAAAAAGTAGACAGCCGCATTCTCAGAAACTTCTTTGTGATGTTTGCATCCAGCTCTCAGAGTTGAACATTCCCTTTCATAGAGTAGGTTTGAAACCCTCTTTTTATAGTGTCTGGAAGCGGGCATTTGGAGCGCTTTCAGGCCTATGCTGAAAAAGGAAATATCTACCTATAGAAAGTAGACAGAAGCATTCTGAGAATCACGTTTGTGATGTGGGTACTCAACTAACAGTGTTGATCCATTCTTTTGATACAGCAGTTTTGAACCACACTTTTTGTAGAATCTGCAAGTGGATATTTGGATAGCTGTGAGGATTTCGTTGGAAACGGGAATGTCTTCATAGAAAATTTAGACAGAAGCATTCTCAGAACCTTGATTGTGATGTGTGTTCTCCACTAACAGAGTTGAACCTTTCTTTTGACAGAACTGTTCTGAAACATTCTTGTTATAGAATCTGGAAGTGGATATTTGGAAAGCTTTGAGGATTTCGTTGGAAACGGGAATATCTTCAAATCAAATCTAGCCAGAAGCATTCTAAGAAACATCTTAGGGATGTTTACATTCAAGTCACAGAGTTGAACATTCCCTTTCACAGAGCAGGTTTGAAACAATCTTCTCGTACTATCTGGCAGTGGACATTTTGAGCTGCCTTGGGGCCTATGCTGAAAAAGGAAATATCTTCTGACAAAAACTAGACAGAAGCATTCGCAGAATCACGTTTGTGATGTGTGCACTCAACTGTCAGAATTGAACCTTGGTTTGGACAGAGCACTTTTGAAACACTCTTTTTGTAGAATCTGCAGGTGGATATTTGGCTAGCTTTGAGGATTTCGTTGGAAACGGTAATGTCTTCAAAGAAAATCTAGACAGAAGCATTCTCAGAAACACCTTCGTGATGTTTGCAATCAAGTCACAGAGTTGAACCTTCCGTTTCATAGAGCAGGTTGGAAACACTCTTTTTGTAGTATCTGGAAGTGGACATTTGGAGGGCTTTGTAGCCTATGTGGAAAAAGGAAATATCTTCCCATGAATGCGAGATAGAAGTAATCTCAGAAACATGTTTATGCTGTATCTACTCAACTAACTGTGCTGAACATTTCTATTGATAGAGCAGTTTTGAGACACTCTTCTTTTGGAATCTGCAAGTGGATATTTGGAGAGATTTGAGGATTTCGTTGGAAACGGGATTATATATAAAAAGTAGACAGCAGCATTCTCAGAAACTTCTTTGTGATGTTTGCATCCAGCTCTCAGAGTTGAACATTCCCTTTCATAGAGTAGGTTTGAAACCCTCTTTTTATAGTGTCTGGAAGCGGGCATTTGGAGCGCTTTCAGGCCTATGCTTAAAATAGGAAATATCTACCTACAGAAACTAGACAGAAGCATTCTGAGAATCACGTTTGTGATGTGGGTACTCAACTAACAGTGTTGATCCATTCTTTTGATACAGCAGTTTTGAACCACACTTTTTGTAGAATCTGCAAGAGGATATTTGGATAGCTGTGAGGATTTCGTTGGAAACGGGAATGTCTTCAAAGAAAATCTAGACAGAAGCATTCTCAGAAACACCTTCGTGATGTTTGCAATCAAGTCACAGAGTTGAACCTTCCGTTTCATAGAGCAGGTTGGAAACACTCTTATTGTAGTATCTGGAAGTGGACATTTGGAGCGCTTTCAGGCCTATGGTGAAAAAGGAAATATCTTCCCATAAAAACGACATAGAAGCTATCTCAGGAACTTGTTTATGATGCATCTAATCAACTAACAGTGTTGAACCTTTGTACTGACAGAGCAGTTTGAAACACTCTTTTTTGGAATCTGCAAGTGGATATTTGGATCGCTTTGAGGATTTCGTTGGAAACGGGATGCAATATAAAACGTACACAGCAGCATACTCAGAAAATACTTTGCCATATTTCCATTCAAGTCACAGAGTGGAACATTCCCATTCATAGAGCAGGTTGGAAACACTCTTTTTGGAGTATCTGGAAGTGGACATTTGGAGCGCTTTCTGAACTATGGTGGAAAAGGAAATATCTTCCAATGAAAACAAGACAGAAGCATTCTGAGAAACTTATTTGTGATGTGTGTCCTCAACAAACGGACTTGAACCTTTCGTTTCATGCAGTACTTCTGGAACACTCTTTTTGAAGATTCTGCATGCGGATATTTGGATAGCTTTGAGGATTTCGTTGGAAACGGGCTTACATGTAAAAATTAGACAGCAGCATTCTCAGAAACTTCTTTGTGGTGTCTGCATTCAAGTCACAGAATTGAACTTCCCCTCACATAGAGCAGTTGTGCAGCACTCTATTTGTAGTATCTGGAAGTGGACATTTGGAGGGCTTTGTAGCCTATCTGGAAAAAGGAAATATCTTCCCATGAATGCGAGATAGAAGTAATCTCAGAAACATGTTTATGCTGTATCTACTCAACTAACTGTGCTGAACATTTCTATTGATAGAGCAGTTTTGAGACCCTCTTCTTTTGGAATCTGCAAGTGGATATTTGGATAGATTTGAGGATTTCGTTGGAAACGGGATTATATATAAAAAGTAGACAGCAGCATTCTCAGAAACTTCTTTGTGATGTTTGCATCCAGCTCTCAGAGTTGAACATTCCCTTTCATAGAGTAGGTTTGAAACCCTCTTTTTATAGTGTCTGGAAGCGGGCATTTGGAGCGCTTTCAGGCCTATGCTGAAAAAGGAGACATCTACCTATAGAAACTAGACAGAAGCATTCTGAGAATCACGTTTGTGATGTGGGTACTCAACTAACAGTGTTGATCCATTCTTTTGATACAGCAGTTTTGAACCACACTTTTTGTAGAATCTGCAAGAGGATATTTGGATAGCTGTGAGGATTTCGTTGGAAACGGGAATGTCTTCAAAGAAAATCTAGACAGAAGCATTCTCAGAAACACCTTCGTGATGTTTGCAATCAAGTCACAGAGTTGAACCTTCCGTTTCATAGAGCAGGTTGGAAACACTCTTTTTGTAGTATCTGGAAGTGGACATTTGGAGCGCTTTCAGGCCTATGGTGAAAAAGGAAATATCTTCCCATAAAAACGACATAGAAGCTATCTCAGGAACTTGTTTATGATGCATCTAATCAACTAACAGTGTTGAACCTTTGTACTGACAGAGCAGTTTGAAACACTCTTTTTTTGGAATCTGCAAGTGGATATTTGGATCGCTTTGAGGATTTCGTTGGAAACGGGATGCAATATAAAACGTACACAGCAGCATACTCAGAAAATACTTTGCCATATTTCCATTCAAGTCACAGAGTGGAACATTCCCATTCATAGAGCAGGTTGGAAACACTCTTTTTGGAGTATCTGGAAGTGGACATTTGGAGCGCTTTCTGAACTATGGTGAAAAAGGAAATATCTTCCAATGAAAACAAGACAGAAGCATTCTGAGAAACTTCTTTGTGATGTGTGTCCTCAACAAACGGACTTGAACCTTTCGTTTCATGCAGTACTTCTGGAACACTCTTTTTGAAGATTCTGCATGCGGATATTTGGATAGCTTTGAGGATTTCGTTGGAAACGGGCTTACATGTAAAAATTAGACAGCAGCATTCTCAGAAACTTCTTTGTGGTGTCTGCATTCAAGTCACAGAATTGAACATCCCCTCACATAGAGCAGTTGTGCAGCACTCTATTTGTAGTATCTGGAAGTGGACATTTGGAGGGCTTTGTAGCCTATCTGGAAAAAGGAAATATCTTCCCATGAATGCGAGATAGAAGTAATCTCAGAAACATGTTTATGCTGTATCTACTCAACTAACTGTGCTGAACATTTCTATTGATAGAGCAGTTTTGAGACACTCTTCTTTTGGAATCTGCAAGTGGATATTTGGATAGATTTGAGGATTTCGTTGGAAACGGGATTATATATAAAAAGTAGACAGCAGCATTCTCAGAAACTTCTTTGTGATGTTTGCATCCAGCTCTCAGAGTTGAACATTCCCTTTCATAGAGTAGGTTTGAAACCCTCTTTTTATAGTGTCTGGAAGCGGGCATTTGGAGCGCTTTCAGGCCTATGCTGAAAAAGGAAATATCTACCTATAGAAACTAGACAGAAGCATTCTGAGAATCACGTTTGTGATGTGGGTACTCAACTAACAGTGTTGATCCATTCTTTTGATACAGCAGTTTTGAACCACACTTTTTGTAGAATCTGCAAGTGGATATTTGGATAGCTGTGAGGATTTCGTTGGAAACGGGAATGTCTTCATAGAAAATTTAGACAGAAGCATTCTCAGAACCTTGATTGTGATGTGTGTTCTCCACTAACAGAGTTGAACCTTTCTTTTGACAGAACTGTTCTGAAACATTCTTTTTATAGAATCTGGAAGTGGATATTTGGAAAGCTTTGAGGATTTCGTTGGAAACGGGAATATCTTCAAATAAAATCTAGCCAGAAGCATTCCAAGAAACATCTTAGGGATGTTTACATTCAAGTCACAGAGTTGAACATTCCCTTTCACAGAGCAGGTTTGAAACAATCTTCTCGTACTATCTGGCAGTGGACATTTTGAGCTCCTTGGGGCCTATGCTGAAAAAGGAAATATCTTCCGACAAAAACTAGACAGAAGCATTCGCAGAATCACGTTTGTGATGTGTGCACTCAACTGTCAGAATTGAACCTTGGTTTGGACAGAGCACTTTTGAAACACTCTTTTTGTAGAATCTGCAGGTGGATATTTGGCTAGCTTTGAGGATTTCGTTGGAAACGGTAATGTCTTCAAAGAAAATCTAGACAGAAGCATTCTCAGAAACACCTTCGTGATGTTTGCAATCAAGTCACAGAGTTGAACCTTCCGTTTCATAGAGCAGGTTGGAAACACTCTTTTTGTAGTATCTGGAAGTGGACATTTGGAGGGCTTTGTAGCCTATCTGGAAAAAGGAAATATCTTCCCATGAATGCGAGATAGAAGTAATCTCAGAAACATGTTTATGCTGTATCTACTCAACTAACTGTGCTGAACATTTCTATTGATAGAGCAGTTTTGAGACACTCTTCTTTTGGAATCTGCAAGTGGATATTTGGATAGATTTGAGGATTTCGTTGGAAACGGGATTATATATAAAAAGTAGACAGCAGCATTCTCAGAAACTTCTTTGTGATGTTTGCATCCAGCTCTCAGAGTTGAACATTCCCTTTCATAGAGTAGGTTTGAAACCCTCTTTTTATAGTGTCTGGAAGCGGGCATTTGGAGCGCTTTCAGGCCTATGCTTAAAATAGGAAATATCTACCTACAGAAACTAGACAGAAGCATTCTGAGAATCACGTTTGTGATGTGGGTACTCAACTAACAGTGTTGATCCATTCTTTTGATACAGCAGTTTTGAACCACACTTTTTGTAGAATCTGCAAGAGGATATTTGGATAGCTGTGAGGATTTCGTTGGAAACGGGAAAGTCTTCAAAGAAAATCTAGACAGAAGCATTCTCAGAAACACCTTCGTGATGTTTGCAATCAAGTCACAGAGTTGAACCTTCCGTTTCATAGAGCAGGTTGGAAACACTCTTATTGTAGTATCTGGAAGTGGACATTTGGAGCGCTTTCAGGCCTATGGTGAAAAAGGAAATATCTTCCCATAAAAACGACATAGAAGCTATCTCAGGAACTTGTTTATGATGCATCTAATCAACTAACAGTGTTGAACCTTTGTACTGACAGAGCAGTTTGAAACACTCTTTTTTTGGAATCTGCAAGTGGATATTTGGATCGCTTTGAGGATTTCGTTGGAAACGGGATGCAATATAAAACGTACACAGCAGCATACTCAGAAAATACTTTGCCATATTTCCATTCAAGTCACAGAGTGGAACATTCCCATTCATAGAGCAGGTTGGAAACACTCTTTTTGGAGTATCTGGAAGTGGACATTTGGAGCGCTTTCTGAACTATGGTGAAAAAGGAAATATCTTCCAATGAAAACAAGACAGAAGCATTCTGAGAAACTTATTTGTGATGTGTGTCCTCAACAAACGGACTTGAACCTTTCGTTTCATGCAGTACTTCTGGAACACTCTTTTTGAAGATTCTGCATGCGGATATTTGGATAGCTTTGAGGATTTCGTTGGAAACGGGCTTACATGTAAAAATTAGACAGCAGCATTCTCAGAAACTTCTTTGTGGTGTCTGCATTCAAGTCACAGAATTGAACTTCCCCTCACATAGAGCAGTTGTGCAGCACTCTATTTGTAGTATCTGGAAGTGGACATTTGGAGGGCTTTGTAGCCTATCTGGAAAAAGGAAATATCTTCCCATGAATGCGAGATAGAAGTAATCTCAGAAACATGTTTATGCTGTATCTACTCAACTAACTGTGCTGAACATTTCTATTGATAGAGCAGTTTTCAGACACTCTTCTTTTGGAATCTGCAAGTGGATATTTGGATAGATTTGAGGATTTCGTTGGAAACGGGATTATATATAAAAAGTAGACAGCAGCATTCTCAGAAACTTCTTTGTGATGTTTGCATCCAGCTCTCAGAGTTGAACATTCCCTTTCATAGAGTAGGTTTGAAACCCTCTTTTTATAGTGTCTGCAAGTGGGCATTTGGAGCGCTTTCAGGCCTATGCTTAAAATAGGAAATATCTACCTACAGAAACTAGACAGAAGCATTCTGAGAATCACGTTGGTGATGTGGGTACTCAACTAACAGTGTTGATCCATTCTTTTGATACAGCAGTTTTGAACCACACTTTTTGTAGAATCTGCAAGTGGATATTTGGATAGCTGTGAGGATTTTCCTTGGAAACGGGAATGTCTTCATAGAAAATTTAGACAGAAGCATTCTCAGAACCTTGATTGTGATGTGTGTTCTCCACTAACAGAGTTGAACCTTTCTTTTGACAGAACTGTTCTGAAACATTCTTTTTATAGAATCTGGAAGTGGATATTTGGAAAGCTTTGAGGATTTCGTTGGAAACGGGAATATCTTCAAATAAAATCTAGCCAGAAGCATTCTAAGAAACATCTTAGGGATGTTTACATTCAAGTCACAGAGTTGAACATTCCCTTTCGCAGAGCAGGTTTGAAACAATCTTCTCGTACTATCTGGCAGTGGACATTTTGAGCTCCTTGGGGCCTATGCTGAAAAAGGAAATATCTTCCGACAAAAACTAGACAGAAGCATTCGCAGAATCACGTTTGTGATGTGTGCACTCAACTGTCAGAATTGAACCTTGGTTTGGACAGAGCACTTTTGAAACACTCTTTTTGTAGAATCTGCAGGTGGATATTTGGCTAGCTTTGAGGATTTCGTTGGAAACGGTAATGTCTTCAAAGAAAATCTAGACAGAAGCATTCTCAGAAACACCTTCGTGATGTTTGCAATCAAGTCACAGAGTTGAACCTTCCGTTTCATAGAGCAGGTTGGAAACACTCTTTTTGTAGTATCTGGAAGTGGACCTTTTGAGCGCTTTCAGGCCTATGGTGAAAAAGGAAATATCTTCCCATAAAAACGACATAGAAGCTATCTCAGGAACTTGTTTATGATGCATCTAATCAACTAACTGTGCTGAACATTTCTATTGATAGAGCAGTTTTGAGACACTCTTCTTTTGGAATCTGCAAGTGGATATTTGGATAGATTTGAGGATTTCGTTGGAAACGGGATTATGTATAAAAAGTAGACAGCAGCATTCTCAGAAACTTCTTTGTGATGTTTGCATCCAGCTCTCAGAGTTGAACATTCCCTTTCATAGAGTAGGTTTGAAACCCCCTTTTTATAGTGTCTGGAAGCGGGCATTTGGAGCGCTTTCAGGTCTGTGCTGAAAAAGGAAATATCTACCTACAGAAACTAGCAGAAGCATTCTGAGAATCACGTTTTTGATGTGGGTACTCAACTAACAGTGTTGATCCATTCTATTGATACAGCAGTTTTGAACCACCCTTTTTGTAGAATCTGCAAGTGGATATTTGGATAGCTGTGAGGATTTCGTTGGAAACGGGAATGTCTTCATAGAAAATTTAGACAGAAGCATTCTCAGAACCTGGATTGTGATGTGTGTTCTCCACTAACAGAGTTGAACCTTTCTTTTGACAGAACTGTTTTGAAACATTCTTTTTAGAGAATCTGGAAGTGGATATTTGGAAAGCTTTGAGGATTTCGTTGGAAACGGGAATATCTTCAAATCAAATCTAGCCAGAAGCATTCTAAGAAACATCTTAGGGATGTTTACATTCAAGTCACAGAGTTGAACATTCCCTTTCACAGAGCAGGTTTGAAACAATCTTCTCGTACTATCTGGCAGTGGACATTTTGAGCTCCTTGGGGCCTATGCTGAAAAAGGAAATATCTTCCGACAAAAACTAGACAGAAGCATTCGCAGAATCACGTTTGTGATGTGTGCACTCAACTGTCAGAATTGAACCTTGGTTTGGACAGAGCACTTTTGAAACACTCTTTTTGTAGAATCTGCAGGTGGATATTTGGCTAGCTTTGAGGATTTCGTTGGAAATGGTAATGTCTTCAAAGAAAATCTAGACAGAAGCATTCTCAGAAACACCTTCGTGATGTTTGCAATCAAGTCACAGAGTTGAACCTTCCGTTTCATAGAGCAGGTTGGAAACACTCTTTTTGTAGTATCTGGAAGTGGACATTTGGAGGGCTTTGTAGCCTATCTGGAAAAAGGAAATATCTTCCCATGAATGCGAGATAGAAGTAATCTCAGAAACATGTTTATGCTGTATCTACTCAACTAACTGTGCTGAACATTTCTATTGATAGAGCAGTTTTGAGACACTCTTCTTTTGGAATCTGCAAGTGGATATTTGGAGAGATTTGAGGATTTCGTTGGAAACGGGATTATATATAAAAAGTAGACAGCAGCATTCTCAGAAACTTCTTTGTGATGTTTGCATCCAGCTCTCAGAGTTGAACATTCCCTTTCATAGAGTAGGTTTGAAACCCTCTTTTTATAGTGTCTGGAAGCGGGCATTTGGAGCGCTTTCAGGCCTATGCTTAAAATAGGAAATATCTACCTACAGAAACTAGACAGAAGCATTCTGAGAATCTCGTTTGTGATGTGGGTACTCAACTAACAGTGTTGATCCATTCTTTTGATACAGCAGTTTTGAACCACACTTTTTGTAGAATCTGCAAGAGGATATTTGGATAGCTGTGAGGATTTCGTTGGAAACGGGAATGTCTTCAAAGAAAATCTAGACAGAAACATTCTCAGAAACACCTTCGTGATGTTTGCAATCAAGTCACAGAGTTGAACCTTCCGTTTCATAGAGCAGGTTGGAAACACTCTTATTGTAGTATCTGGAAGTGGACATTTGGAGCGCTTTCAGGCCTATGGTGAAAAAGGAAATATCTTCCCATAAAAACAACATAGAAGCTATCTCAGGAACTTGTTTATGAGGCATCTAATCAACTAACAGTGTTGAACCTTTGTACTGACAGAGCAGTTTGAAACACTCTTTTTTTGGAATCTGCAAGTGGATATTTGGATCGCTTTGAGGATTTCGTTGGAAACGGGATGCAATATAAAACGTACACAGCAGCATACTCAGAAAATTCTTTGCCATATTTCCATTCAAGTCACAGAGTGGAACATTCCCATTCATAGAGCAGGTTGGAAACACTCTTTTTGGAGTATCTGGAAGTGGACATTTGGAGCGCTTTCTGAACTATGGTGAAAAAGGAAATATCTTCCAATGAAAACAAGACAGAAGCATTCTGAGAAACTTATTTGTGATGTGTGTCCTCAACAAACGGACTTGAACCTTTCGTTTCATGCAGTACTTCTGGAACACTCTTTTTGAAGATTCTGCATGCGGATATTTGGATAGCTTTGAGGATTTCGTTGGAAACGGGCTTACATGTAAAAATTAGACAGCAGCATTCTCAGAAACTTCTTTGTGGTGTCTGCATTCAAGTCACAGAATTGAACATCCCCTCACATAGAGCAGTTGTGCAGCACTCTATTTGTAGTATCTGGAAGTGGACATTTGGAGGGCTTTGTAGCCTATCTGGAAAAAGGAAATATCTTCCCATGAATGCGAGATAGAAGTAATCTCAGAAACATGTTTATGCTGTATCTACTCAACTAACTGTGCTGAACATTTCTATTGATAGAGCAGTTTTGAGACACTCTTCTTTTGGAATCTGCAAGTGGATATTTGGATAGATTTGAGGATTTCGTTGGAAACGGGATTATATATAAAAAGTAGACAGCAGCATTCTCAGAAACTTCTTTGTGATGTTTGCATCCAGCTCTCAGAGTTGAACATTCCCTTTCATAGAGTAGGTTTGAAACCCTCTTTTTATAGTGTCTGGAAGCGGGCATTTGGAGCGCTTTCAGGCCTATGCTGAAAAAGGAAATATCTACATATAGAAACTAGACAGAAAGCATTCTGAGAATCACGTTTGTGATGTGGGTACTCAACTAACAGTGTTGATCCATTCTTTTGATACAGCAGTTTTGAACCACACTTTTTGTAGAATCTGCAAGTGGATATTTGGATAGCTGTGAGGATTTCGTTGGAAACGGGAATGTCTTCATAGAAAATTTAGACGGAAGCATTCTCAGAACCTTGATTGTGATGTGTGTTCTCCACTAACAGAGTTGAACCTTTCTTTTGACAGAACTGTTCTGAAACATTCTTTTTATAGAATCTGGAAGTGGATATTTGGAAAGCTTTGAGGATTTCGTTGGAAACGGGAATATCTTCAAATAAAATCTAGCCAGAAGCATTCTAAGAAACATCTTAGGGATGTTTACATTCAAGTCACAGAGTTGAACATTCCCTTTCACAGAGCAGGTTTGAAACAATCTTCTCGTACTATCTGGCAGTGGACATTTTGAGCTCTTTGGGGCCTATGCTGAAAAAGGAAATATCTTCCGACAAAAACTAGTCAGAAGCATTCGCAGAATCACGTTTGTGATGTGTGCACTCAACTGTCAGAATTGAACCTTGGTTTGGAGAGAGCACTTTTGAAACACACTTTTTGTAGAATCTGCAGGTGGATATTTGGCAAGCTTTGAGGATTTCGTTGGAAACGGTAATGTCTTCAAAGAAAATCTAGACAGAAGCATTCTCAGAAACACCTTCGTGATGTTTGCAATCAAGTCACAGAGTTGAACCTTCCGTTTCATAGAGCAGGTTGGAAACACACTTTTTGTAGTATCTGGAAGTGGACATTTGGAGGGCTTTGTAGCCTATCTGGAAAAAGGAAATATCTTCCCATGAATGCGAGATAGAAGCTATCTCAGGAACTTGTTTATGATGCATCTAATCAACTAACAGTGTTGAACCTTTGTACTGACAGAGCAGTTTGAAACACTCTTTTTTTGGAATCTGCAAGTGGATATTTGGATCGCTTTGAGGATTTCGTTGGAAACGGGATGCAATATAAAACGTACACAGCAGCATACTCAGAAAATACTTTGCCATATTTCCATTCAAGTCACAGAGTGGAACATTCCCATTCATAGAGCAGGTTTGAAACACTCTTTTTGGAGTATCTGGAAGTGGACATTTGGAGCGCTTTCTGAACTATGGTGAAAAAGGAAATATCTTCCAATGAAAACAAGACAGAAGCATTCTGAGAAACTTATTTGTGATGTGTGTCCTCAACAAACGGACTTGAACCTTTCGTTTCATGCAGTACTTCTGGAACACTCTTTTTGAAGATTCTGCATGCGGATATTTGGATAGCTTTGAGGATTTCGTTGGAAACGGGCTTACATGTAAAAATTAGACAGCAGCATTCTCAGAAACTTCTTTGTGGTGTCTGCATTCAAGTCACAGAGTTGAACTTCCCCTCACATAGAGCAGTTGTGCAGCACTCTATTTGTAGTATCTGGAAGGGGACATTTGGAGGGCTTTGTAGCCTATCTGGAAAAAGGAAATATCTTCCCATGAATGCGAGATAGAAGTAATCTCAGAAACATGTTTATGCTGTATCTACTCAACTAACTGTGCTGAACATTTCTATTGATAGAGCAGTTTTGAGACACTCTTCTTTTGGAATCTGCAAGTGGATATTTGGATAGATTTGAGGATTTCGTTGGAAACGGGATTATATATAAAAAGTAGACAGCAGCATTCTCAGAAACTTCTTTGTGATGTTTGCATCCAGCTCTCAGAGTTGAACATTCCCTTTCATAGAGTAGGTTTGAAACCCTCTTTTTATAGTGTCTGGAAGCGGGCATTTGTAGCGCTTTCAGGCCTATGCTTAAAATAGGAAATATCTACCTACAGAAACTAGACAGGAAGCATTCTGAGAATCAAGTTTGTGATGTGGGTACTCAACTAACAGTGTTGATCCATTCTTTTGATACAGCAGTTTTGAACCACACTTTTTGTAGAATCTGCAAGTGGATATTTGGATAGCTGTGAGGATTTCGTTGGAAACGGGAATGTCTTCATAGAAAATTTAGACAGAAGCATTCTCAGAACCTTGATTGTGATGTGTGTTCTCCACTAACAGAGTTGAACCTTTCTTTTGACAGAACTGTTCTGAAACATTCTTTTTATAGAATCTGGAAGTGGATATTTGGAAAGCTTTGAGGATTTCGTTGGAAACGGGAATATCTTCAAATAAAATCTAGCCAGAAGCATTCTAAGAAACATCTTAGGGATATTTACATTCAAGTCACAGAGTTGAACATTCCCTTTCACAGAGCAGGTTTGAAACAATCTTCTCGTACTATCTGGCAGTGGACATTTTGAGCTCCTTGGGGCCTATGCTGAAAAAGGAAATATCTTCCGACAAAAACTAGACAGAAGCATTCGCAGAATCACGTTTGTGATGTGTGCACTCAACTGTCAGAATTGAACCTTGGTTTGGACAGAGCACTTTTGAAACACTCTTTTTGTAGAATCTGCAGGTGGATATTTGGCTAGCTTTGAGGATTTTGTTGGAAACGGTAATGTCTTCAAAGAAAATCTAGACAGAAGCATTCTCAGAAACACCTTCGTGATGTTTGCAATCAAGTCACAGAGTTGAACCTTCCGTTTCATAGAGCAGGTTGGAAACACTCTTTTTGTAGTATCTGGAAGTGGACATTTGGAGGGCTTTGTAGCCTATCTGGAAAAAGGAAATATCTTCCCATGAATGCGAAATAGAAGCTATCTCAGGAACTTGTTTATGATGCATCCAATCAACTAACAGTGTTGAACCTTTGTACTGACAGAGCAGTGTGAAACACTCTTTTTTTTGGAATCTGCAAGTGGATATTTGGATCGCTTTGAGGATTTCGTTGGAAACGGGATGCAATATAGAAGTACACAGCAGCATACTCAGAAAATACTTTGCCATATTTCCATTCAAGTCACAGAGTGGAACATTCCCATTCATAGAGCAGGTTTGACACACTCTTTTTGTAGTATCTGGAAGTGGACATTTGGAGCGCTTTCTGAACTATGGTGAAAAAGGAAATATCTTCCAATGAAAACAAGACAGAAGCATTCTGAGAAACTTATTTGTGATGTGTGTCCTGAACTAACGGACTTGAACCTTTCGTTTCATGCAGTACTTCTGGAACACTCTTTTTGAAGATTCTGCATGCGGATATTTGGATAGCTTTGAGGATTTCGTTGGAAACGGGCTTACATATAAAAATTAGACAGCAGCATTCTCAGAAACTTCTCTGTGGTGTCTGCATCCAAGTCACAGAATTGAACATCCCCTCACATAGAGCAGTTGTGCAGCACTCTATTTGTAGTATCTCGAAGTGGACATTTGGAGGGCTTTGTAGCCTATCTGGAAAAAGGAAATATCTTCCCAAGAATGCGAGATAGAAGTAATCTCAGAAACATGTTTATGCTGTATCTACTCAACTAACTGTGCTGAACATTTCTATTGATAGAGCAGTTTTGAGACACTCTTCTTTTGGAATCTGCAAGTGGATATTTGGATAGATTTGAGGATTTTCGTTGGAAACGGGATTATATATCAAAAGTAGACAGCAGCATTCTCAGAAACTTCTTTGTGATGTTTGCATCCAGCTCTCAGAGTTGAACATTCCCTTTCATAGAGTAGGTTTGAAACCCTCTTTTTATAGTGTCTGGAAGCGGGCATTTGGAGCGCTTTCAGGCCTATGCTGAAAAAGGAAATATCTACCTATAGAAACTAGACAGAAGCATTCTGAGAATCACGTTTGTGATGTGGGTACTCAACTAACAGTGTTGATCCATTCTTTTGATACAGCAGTTTTGAACCACACTTTTTGTAGAATCTGCAAGTGGATATTTGGATAGCTGTGAGGATTTCGTTGGAAACGGGAATGTCTTCATAGAAAATTTAGACAGAAGCATTCTCAGAACCTTGATTGTGATGTGTGTTCTCCACTAACAGAGTTGAACCTTTCTTTTGACAGAACTGTTCTGAAACATTCTTTTTATAGAATCTGGAAGTGGATATTTGGAAAGCTTTGCGGATTTCATTGGAAACGGGAATATCTTCAAATCAAATCTAGCCAGAAGCATTCTAAGAAACATCTTAGGGATGTTTACATTCAAGTCACAGAGTTGAACATTCCCTTTCACAGAGCAGGTTTGAAACAATCTTCTCGTACTATCTGGCAGTGGACATTTTGAGCTCCTTGGGGCCTATGCTGAAAAAGGAAATATCTTCCGACAAAAACTAGACAGAAGCATTCGCAGAATCACGTTTGTGATGTGTGCACTCAACTGTCAGAATTGAACCTTGGTTTGGACAGAGCACTTTTGAAACACTCTTTTTGTAGAATCTGCAGGTGGATATTTGGCTAGCTTTGAGGATTTCGTTGGAAACGGTAATGTCTTCAAAGAAAATCTAGACAGAAGCATTCTCAGAAACACCTTCGTGATGTTTGCAATCAAGTCACAGAGTTGAACCTTCCGTTTCATAGAGCAGGTTGGAAACACTCTTTTTGTAGTATCTGGAAGTGGACATTTGGAGGGCTTTGTAGCCTATCTGGAAAAAGGAAATATCTTCCCATGAATGCGAGATAGAAGTAATCTCAGAAACATGTTTATGCTGTATCTACTCAACTAACTGTGCTGAACATTTCTATTGATAGAGCAGTTTTGAGACACTCTTCTTTTGGAATCTGCAAGTGGATATTTGGATAGATTTGAGGATTTCGTTGGAAACGGGATTATATATAAAAAGTAGACAGCAGCATTCTCAGAAACTTCTTTGTGATGTTTGCATCCAGCTCTCAGAGTTGAACATTCCCTTTCATAGAGTAGGTTTGAAACCCTCTTTTTATAGTGTCTGGAAGCGGGCATTTGGAGCGCTTTCAGGCCTATGCTGAAAAAGGAAATATCTACCTATAGAAACTAGACAGAAGCATTCTGAGAATCACGTTTGTGATGTGGGTACTCAACTAACAGTGTTGATCCATTCTTTTGATACAGCAGTTTTGAACCACACTTTTTGTAGAATCTGCAAGTGGATATTTGGATAGCTGTGAGGATTTCGGTGGAAACGGGAATGTCTTCATAGAAAATTTAGACAGAAGCATTCTCAGAACCTTGATTGTGATGTGTGTTCTCCACTAACAGAGTTGAACCTTTCTTTTGACAGAACTGTTCTGAAACATTCTTTTTATAGAATCTGGAAGTGGATATTTGGAAAGCTTTGAGGATTTCGTTGGAAACGGGAATATCTTCAAATCAAATCTAGCCAGAAGCATTCTAAGAAACATCTTAGGGATGTTTACATTCAAGTCACAGAGTTGAACATTCCCTTTCACAGAGCAGGTATGAAACAATCTTCTCGTACTATCTGGCAGTGGACATTTTGAGCTCCTTGGGGCCTATGCTGAAAAACGAAATATCTTCCGACAAAAACTAGACAGAAGCATTCGCAGAATCACGTTTGTGATGTGTGCACTCAACTGTCAGAATTGAACCTTGGTTTGGACAGAGCACTTTTGAAACACTCTTTTTGTAGAATCTGCAGGTGGATATTTGGCTAGCTTTGAGGATTTCGTTGGAAACGGTAATGTCTTCAAAGAAAATCTAGACAGAAACATCCTCAGAAACACCTTCGTGATGTTTGCAATCAATTCACAGAGTTGAACCTTCCGTTTCATAGTGCAGGTTGGAAACACTCATTTTGTAGTATCTGGAAGTGGACATTTGGAGCGCTTTCAGGCCTATGGTGTAAAAGGAAATATCTTCCCATAAAAGCGACATAGAAGCTATCTCAGGAACTTGTTTATGATGCATCCAATCAACTAAAAGTGTTGAACCTTTGTACTGACAGAGCAGTGTGAAACACTGTTTTTTTTGGAATCTGCAAGTGGATATTTGGATCGCTTTGAGGATTTCGTTGGAAACGGGATGCAATATAAAACGTACACAGCAGCATACTCAGAAAATACTTTGCCATATTTCCATTCAAGTCACAGAGTGGAACATTCCCATTCATAGAGCAGGTTGGAAACACTCTTTTTGGAGTATCTGGAAGTGGACATTTGGAGCGCTTTCTGAACTATGGTGAAAAAGGAAATATCTTCCAATGAAAACAAGACAGAAGCATTCTGAGAAACTTATTTGTGATGTGTGTCCTCAACAAACGGACTTGAACCTTTCGTTTCATGCAGTACTTCTGGAACACTCTTTTTGAAGATTCTGCATGCGGATATTTGGATAGCTTTGAGGATTTCGTTGGAAACGGGCTTACATGTAAAAATTAGACAGCAGCATTCTCAGAAACTTCTTTGTGGTGTCTGCATTCAAGTCACAGAATTGAACTTCCCCTCACATAGAGCAGTTGTGCAGCACTCTATTTGTAGTATCTGGAAGTGGACATTTGGAGGGCTTTGTAGCCTATCTGGAAAAAGGAAATATCTTCCCATGAATGCGAGATAGAAGTAATCTGAGAAACATGTTTATGCTGTATCTACTCAACTAACTGTGCTGAACATTTCTATTGATAGAGCAGTTTTGAGACCCTCTTCTTTTGGAATCTGCAAGTGGATATTTGGATAGATTTGAGGATTTCGTTGGAAACGGGATTATATATAAAAAGTAGACAGCAGCATTCTCAGAAACTTCTTTGTGATGTTTGCATCCAGCTCTCAGAGTTGAACATTCCCTTTCATAGAGTAGGTTTGAAACCCTCTTTTTATAGTGTCTGGAAGCGGGCATTTGGAGCGCTTTCAGGCCTATGCTTAAAATAGGAAATATCTACCTACAGAAACTAGACAGAAGCATTCTGAGAATCACGTTTGTGATGTGGGTACTCAACTAACAGTGTTGATCCATTCTTTTGATACAGCAGTTTTGAACCACACTTTTTGTAGAATCTGCAAGTGGATATTTGGATAGCTGTGAGGATTTCGTTGGAAACGGGAATGTCTTCATAGAAAATTTAGACAGAAGCATTCTCAGAACCTTGATTGTGATGTGTGTTCTCCACTAACAGAGTTGAACCTTTCTTTTGACAGAACTGTTCTGAAACATTCTTTTTATAGAATCTGGAAGTGGATATTTGGAAAGCTTTGAGGATTTCGTTGGAAACGGGAATATCTTCAAATAAAATCTAGCCAGAAGCATTCTAAGAAACATCTTAGGGATGTTTACATTCAAGTCACAGAGTTGAACATTCCCTTTCACAGAGCAGGTTTGAAACAATCTTCTCGTACTATCTGGCAGTGGACATTTTGAGCTCCTTGGGGCCTATGCTGAAAAAGGAAATATCTTCCGACAAAAACTAGACAGAAAGCATTCGCAGAATCACGTTTGTGATGTGTGCACTCAACTGTCAGAATGGAACCTTGGTTTGGACAGAGCACTTTTGAAACACTCTTTTTGTAGAATCTGCAGGTGGATATTTAGCTAGCTTTGAGGATTTCGTTGGAAACGGTAATGTCTTCAAAGAAAATCTAGACAGAAGCATTCTCAGAAACACCTTCGTGATGTTTGCAATCAAGTCACAGAGTTGAACCTTCCGTTTCATAGAGCAGGTTGGAAACACTCTTTTTGTAGTATCTGGAAGTGGACATTTGGAGGGCTTTGTAGCCTATCTGGAAAAAGGAAATATCTTCCCATGAATGCGAGATAGAAGTAATCTCAGAAACATGTTTATGCTGTATCTACTCAACTAACTGTGCTGAACATTTCTATTGATAGAGCAGTTTTGAGACACTCTTCTTTTGGAATCTGCAAGTGGATATTTGGATAGATTTGAGGATTTTGTTGGAAATGGGATTATATATAAAAAGTAGACAGCAGCATTCTCAGAAACTTCTTTGTGATGTTTGCATCCAGCTCTCAGAGTTGAACATTCCCTTTCATAGAGTAGGTTTGAAACCCTCTTTTTATAGTGTCTGGAAGCGGGCATTTGGAGCGCTTTCAGGCCTATGCTGAAAAAGGAAATATCTACCTATAGAAACTAGACAGAAGCATTCTGAGAATCACGTTTGTGATGTGGGTACTCAACTAACAGTGTTGATCCATTCTTTTGATACAGCAGTTTTGAACCACACTTTTTGTAGAATCTGCAAGTGGATATTTGGATAGCTGTGAGGATTTCGTTGGAAACGGGAATGTCTTCATAGAAAATTTAGACAGAAGCATTCTCAGAACCTTGATTGTGGTGTGTGTTCTCCACTAACAGAGTTGAACCTTTCTTTTGACAGAACTGTTCTGAAACATTCTTTTTATAGAATCTGGAAGTGGATATTTGGAAAGCTTTGAGGATTTCATTGGAAACGGGAATATCTTCAAATAAAATCTAGCCAGAAGCATTCTAAGAAACATCTTAGGGATGTTTACATTCAAGTCACAGAGTTGAACATTCCCTTTCACAGAGCAGGTTTGAAACAATCTTCTCGTACTATCTGGCAGTGGACATTTTGAGCTCCTTGGGGCCTATGCTGAAAAAGGAAATATCTTCCGACAAAAACTAGACAGAAGCATTCGCAGAATCACGTTTGTGATGTGTGCACTCAACTGTCAGAATTGAACCTTGGTTTGGACAGAGCACTTTTGAAACACTCTTTTTGTAGAATCTGCAGGTGGATATTTAGCTAGCTTTGAGGATTTCGTTGGAAACGGTAATGTCTTCAAAGAAAATCTAGACAGAAGCATTCTCAGAAACACCTTCGTGATGTTTGCAATCAAGTCACAGAGTTGAACCTTCCATTTCATAGAGCAGGTTGGAAACACTCTTTTTGTAGTATCTGGAAGTGGACATTTGGAGGTCTTTGTAGCCTATCTGGAAAAAGGAAATATCTTCCCATGAATGCGAGATAGAAGTAATCTCAGAAACATGTTTATGCTGTATCTACTCAACTAACTGTGCTGAACATTTCTATTGATAGAGCAGTTTTGAGACACTCTTCTTTTGGAATCTGCAAGTGGATATTTGGATAGATTTGAGGATTTCGTTGGAAACGGGATTATATATCAAAAGTAGACAGCAGCATTCTCAGAAACTTCTTTGTGATGTTTGCATCCAGCTCTCAGAGTTGAACATTCCCTTTCATAGAGTAGGTTTGAAACCCTCTTTTTATAGTGTCTGGAAGCGGGCATTTGGAGCGCTTTCAGGCCTATGCTGAAAAAGGAAATATCTACCTATAGAAACTAGACAGAAGCATTCTGAGAATCACGTTTGTGATGTGGGTACTCAACTAACAGTGTTGATCCATTCTTTTGATACAGCAGTTTTGAACCACACTTTTTGTAGAATCTGCAAGTGGATATTTGGATAGCTGTGAGGATTTCGTTGGAAACGGGAATGTCTTCATAGAAAATTTAGACAGAAGCATTCTCAGAACCTTGATTGTGATGTGTGTTCTCCACTAACAGAGTTGAACCTTTCTTTTGACAGAACTGTTCTGAAACATTCTTTTTATAGAATCTGGAAGTGGATATTTGGAAAGCTTTGAGGATTTCGTTGGAAACGGGAATATCTTCAAATCAAATCTAGCCAGAAGCATTCTAAGAAACATCTTAGGGATGTTTACATTCAAGTCACAGAGTTGAACATTCCCTTTCACAGAGCAGGTTTGAAACAATCTTCTCGTACTATCTGGCAGTGGACATTTTGAGCTCTTTGGGGCCTATGCTGAAAAAGGAAATATCTTCCGACAAAAACTAGACAGAAGCATTCGCAGAATCACGTTTGTGATGTGTGCACTCAACTGTCAGAATTGAACCTTGGTTTGGAGAGAGCACTTTTGAAACACTCTTTTTGTAGAATCTGCAGGTGGATATTTGGCTAGCTTTGAGGATTTCGTTGGAAACGGTAATGTCTTCAAAGAAAATCTAGACAGAAGCATTCTCAGAAACACCTTCGTGATGTTTGCAATCAAGTCACAGAGTTGAACCTTCCGTTTCATAGAGCAGGTTGGAAACACACTTTTTGTAGTATCTGGAAGTGGACATTTGGAGGGCTTTGTAGCCTATCTGGAAAAAGGAAATATCTTCCCATGAATGCGAGATAGAAGTAATCTCAGAAACATGTTTATGCTGTATCTACTCAACTAACTGTGCTGAACATTTCTATTGATAGAGCAGTTTTGAGACACTCTTCTTTTGGAATCTGCAAGTGGATATTTGGATAGATTTGAGGATTTCGTTGGAAACGGGATTATATATCAAAAGTAGACAGCAGCATTCTCAGAAACTTCTTTGTGATGTTTGCATCCAGCTCTCAGAGTTGAACATTCCCTTTCATAGAGTAGGTTTGAAACCCTCTTTTTATAGTGTCTGGAAGCGGGCATTTGGAGCGCTTTCAGGCCTATGCTGAAAAAGGAAATATCTACCTATAGAAACTAGACAGAAGCATTCTGAGAATCACGTTTGTGATGTGGGTACTCAACTAACAGTGTTGATCCATTCTTTTGATACAGCAGTTTTGAACCACACTTTTTGTAGAATCTGCAAGTGGATATTTGGATAGCTGTGAGGATTTCCTTCGAAACGGGAATGTCTTCATAGAAAATTTAGACAGAAGCATTCTCAGAACCTTGATTGTGATGTGTGTTCTCCACTAACAGAGTTGAACCTTTCTTTTGACAGAACTGTTCTGAAACATTCTTTTTATAGAATCTGGAAGTGGATATTTGGAAAGCTTTGCGGATTTCGTTGGAAACGGGAATATCTTCAAATAAAATCTAGCCAGAAGCATTCTAAGAAACATCTTAGGGATGTTTACATTCAAGTCACAGAGTTGAACATTCCCTTTCACAGAGCAGGTTTGAAACAATCTTCTCGTACTATCTGGCAGTGGACATTTTGAGCTCCTTGGGGCCTATGCTGAAAAAGGAAATATCTTCCGACAAAAACTAGACAGAAGCATTCGCAGAATCACGTTTGTGATGTGTGCACTCAACTGTCAGAATTGAACCTTGGTTTGGACAGAGCACTTTTGAAACACTCTTTTTGTAGAATCTGCAGGTGGATATTTGGCTAGCTTTGAGGATTTCGTTGGAAACGGTAATGTCTTCAAAGAAAATCTAGACAGAAGCATTCTCAGAAACACCTTCGTGATGTTTGCAATCAAGTCACAGAGTTGAACCTTCCGTTTCATAGAGCAGGTTGGAAACACTCTTTTTGTAGTATCTGGAAGTGGACATTTGGAGGGCTTTGTAGCCTATCTGGAAAAAGGAAATATCTTCCCATGAATGCGAGATAGAAGTAATCTCAGAAACATGTTTATGCTGTATCTACTCAACTAACTGTGCTGAACATTTCTATTGATAGAGCAGTTTTGAGACACTCTTCTTTTGGAATCTGCAAATGGATATTTGGATAGATTTGAGGATTTCGTTGGAAACGGGATTATATATAAAAAGTAGACAGCAGCATTCTCAGAAACTTCTTTGTGATGTTTGCATCCAGCTCTCAGAGTTGAACATTCCCTTTCATATAGTAGGTTTGAAACCCTCTTTTTATAGTGTCTGGAAGCGGGCATTTGGAGCGCTTTCAGGCCTATGCTTAAAATAGGAAATATCTACCTACAGAAACTAGACAGAAGCATTCTGAGAATCACGTTTGTGATGTGGGTACTCAACTAACAGTGTTGATCCATTCTTTTGATACAGCAGTTTTGAACCACACTTTTTGTAGAATCTGCAAGAGGATATTTGGATAGCTGTGAGGATTTCGTTGGAAACGGGAATGTCTTCAAAGAAAATCTAGACAGAAGCATTCTCAGAAACACCTTCGTGATGTTTGCAATCAAGTCACAGAGTTGAACCTTCCGTTTCATAGAGCAGGTTGGAAACACTCTTATTGTAGTATCTGGAAGTGGACATTTGGAGCGCTTTCAGGCCTATGGTGAAAAAGGAAATATCTTCCCATAAAAACGACATAGAAGCTATCTCAGGAACTTGTTTATGATGCATCTAATCAACTAACAGTGTTGAACCTTTTTACTGACAGAGCACTTTGAAACACTCTTTTTTTGGAATCTGCAAGTGGATATTTGGATCGCTTTGAGGATTTCGTTGGAAACGGGATGCAATATAAAACGTACACAGCAGCATACTCAGAAAATACTTTGCCATATTTCCATTCAAGTCACAGAGTGGAACATTCCCATTCATAGAGCAGGTTGGAAACACTCTTTTTGGAGTATCTGGAAGTGGACATTTGGAGCGCTTTCTGAACTATGGTGAAAAAGGAAATATCTTCCAATGAAAACAAGACAGAAGCATTCTGAGAAACTTATTTGTGATGTGTGTCCTCAACAAACGGACTTGAACCTTTCGTTTCATGCAGTACTTCTGGAACACTCTTTTTGAAGATTCTGCATGCGGATATTTGGATAGCTTTGAGGATTTCGTTGGAAACGGGCTTACATGTAAAAATTAGACAGCAGCATTCTCAGAAACTTCTTTGTGGTGTCTGCATTCAAGTCACAGAATTGAACATCCCCTCACATAGAGCAGTTGTGCAGCACTCTATTTGTAGTATCTGGAAGTGGACATTTGGAGGGCTTTGTAGCCTATCTGGAAAAAGGAAATATCTTCCCATGAATGCGAGATAGAAGTAATCTCAGAAACATGTTTATGCTGTATCTACTCAACTAACTGTGCTGAACATTTCTATTGATAGAGCAGTTTTGAGACACTCTTCTTTTGGAATCTGCAAGTGGATATTTGGATAGATTTGAGGATTTCGTTGGAAACGGGATTATATATAAAAAGTAGACAGCAGCATTCTCAGAAACTTCTTTGTGATGTTTGCATCCAGCTCTCAGAGTTGAACATTCCCTTTCATAGAGTAGGTTTGAAACCCTCTTTTTATAGTGTCTGGAAGCGGGCATTTGGAGCGCTTTCAGGCCTATGCTTAAAATAGGAAATATCTACCTACAGAAACTAGACAGAAGCATTCTGAGAATCACGTTTGTGATGTGGGTACTCAACTAACAGTGTTGATCCATTCTTTTGATACAGCAGTTTTGAACCACACTTTTTGTAGAATCTGCCAGAGGATATTTGGATAGCTGTGAGGATTTCGTTGGAAACGGGAATGTCTTCAAAGAAAATCTAGACAGAAGCATTCTCAGAACCTTGATTGTGATGTGTGTTCTCCACTAACAGAGTTGAACCTTTCTTTTGACAGAACTGTTCTGAAACATTCTTTTTATAGAATCTGGAAGTGGATATTTGGAAAGCTTTGAGGATTTCGTTGGAAACGGGAATATCTTCAAATCAAATCTAGCCAGAAGCATTCTAAGAAACAGCTTAGGGATGTTTACATTCAAGTCACAGAGTTGAACATTCCCTTTCACAGAGCAGGTTTGAAACAATCTTCTCGTACTATCTGGCAGTGGACATTTTGAGCTCCTTGGGGCCTATGCTGAAAAAGGAAATATCTTCCGACAAAAACTAGACAGAAGCATTCGCAGAATCACGTTTGTGATGTGTGCACTCAACTGTCAGAATTGAACCTTGGTTTGGAGAGAGCACTCTTGAAACACTCTTTTTGTAGAATCTGCAGGTGGATATTTGGCTAGCTTTGAGGATTTCGTTGGAAACGGTAATGTCTTCAAAGAAAATCTAGACAGAAGCATTCTCAGAAACACCTTCGTGATGTTTGCAATCAAGTCACAGAGTTGAACCTTCCGTTTCATAGAGCAGGTTGGAAACACTCTTTTTGTAGTATCTGGAAGTGGACATTTGGAGTGCTTTCAGGCCTATGGTGAAAAAGGAAATATCTTCCCATAAAAACGACATAGAAGCTATCTCAGGAACTTGTTTATGATGCATCTAATCAACTAAAAGTGTTGAACCTTTGTACTGACAGAGCAGTTTGAAACACTCTTTTTTTGGAATCTGCAAGTGGATATTTGGATCGCTTTGAGGATTTCGTTGGAAACCGGATGCAATATAAAACGTACACAGCAGCATACTCAGAAAATACTTTGCCATATTTCCATTCAAGTCAGAGAGTGGAACATTCCCATTCATAGAGCAGGTTGGAAACACTCTTTTTGGAGTATCTGGAAGTGGACATTTGGAGCGCTTTCTGAACTATGGTGAAAAAGGAAATATCTTCCAATGAAAACAAGACAGAAGCATTCTGAGAAACTTATTTGTGATGTGTGTCCTCAACAAACGGACTTGAACCTTTCGTTTCATGCAGTACTTCTGGAACACTCTTTTTGAAGATTCTGCATGCGGATATTTGGATAGCTTTGAGGATTTCGTTGGAAACGGGCTTACATGTAAAAATTAGACAGCAGCATTCTCAGAAACTTCTTTGTGGTGTCTGCATTCAAGTCACAGAATTGAACTTCCCCTCACATAGAGCAGTTGTGCAGCACTCTATTTGTAGTATCTGGAAGTGGACATTTGGAGGGCTATGTAGCCTATCTGGAAAAAGGAAATATCTTCCCATGAATGCGAGATAGAAGTAATCTCAGAAACATGTTTATGCTGTATCTACTCAACTAACTGTGCTGAACATTTCTATTGATAGAGCAGTTTTGAGACACTCTTCTTTTGGAATCTGCAAGTGGATATTTGGATAGATTTGAGGATTTCGTTGGAAACGGGATTATATATCAAAAGTAGACAGCAGCATTCTCAGAAACTTCTTTGTGATGTTTGCATCCAGCTCTCAGAGTTGAACATTCCCTTTCATAGAGTAGGTTTGAAACCCTCTTTTTATAGTGTCTGGAAGCGGGCATTTGGAGCGCTTCAGGCCTATGCTTAAAATAGGAAATATCTACCTACAGAAACTAGACAGAAGCATTCTGAGAATCACGTTTGTGATGTGGGTACTCAACTAACAGTGTTGATCCATTCTTTTGATACAGCAGTTTTGAACCACACTTTTTGTAGAATCTGCAAGAGGATATTTGGATAGCTGTGAGGATTTCGTTGGAAACGGGAATGTCTTCAAAGAAAATCTAGACAGAAGCATTCTCAGAAACACCTTCGTGATGTTTGCAATCAAGTCACAGAGTTGAACCTTCCGTTTCATAGAGCAGGTTGGAAACACTCTTATTGTAGTATCTGGAAGTGGACATTTGGAGCGCTTTCAGGCCTATGGTGAAAAAGGAAATATCTTCCCATAAAAACGACATAGAAGCTATCTCAGGAACTTGTTTATGATGCATCTAATCAACTAACAGTGTTGAACCTTTGTACTGACAGAGCAGTTTGAAACACTCTTTTTTTGGAATCTGCAAGTGGATATTTGGATCGCTTTGAGGATTTCGTTGGAAACGGGATGCAATATAAAACGTACACAGCAGCATACTCAGCAAAATACTTTGCCATATTTCCATTCAAGTCACAGAGTGGAACATTCCCATTCATAGAGCAGGTTGGAAACACTCTTTTTGGAATATCTGGAAGTGGACATTTGGAGCGCTTTCTGAACTATGGTGAAAAAGGAAATATCTTCCAATGAAAACAAGACAGAAGCATTCTGAGAAACTTATTTGTGATGTGTGTCCTCAACTAACGGACTTGAACCTTTCGTTTCATGCAGTACTTCTGGAACACTCTTTTTGAAGATTCTGCATGCGGATATTTGGATAGCTTTGAGGATTTCGTTGGAAACGGGCTTACATATAAAAATTAGACAGCAGCATTCTCAGAAACTTCTCTGTGGTGTCTGCATCCAAGTCACAGAATTGAACATCCCCTCACATACAGCAGTTGTGCAGCACTCTATTTGTAGTATCTCGAAGTGGACATTTGGAGGGCTTTGTAGCCTATCTGGAAAAAGGAAATATCTTCCCATGAATGCGAGATAGAAGTAATCTCAGAAACATGTTTATGCTGTATCTACTCAACTAACTGTGCTGAACATTTCTATTGATAGAGCAGTTTTGAGACACTCTTCTTTTGGAATCTGCAAGTGGATATTTGGATAGATTTGAGGATTTCGTTGGCAACGGGATTATATATACAAAGTAGACAGCCGCATTCTCAGAAACTTCTTTGTGATGTTTGCATCCAGCTCTCAGAGTTGAACATTCCCTTTCGTAGAGTAGGTTTGAAACCCTCTTTTTATAGTGTCTGGAAGCGGGCATTTGGAGCGCTTTCAGGCCTATGCTGAAAAAGGAAATATCTACCTATAGAAACTAGACAGAAGCATTCTGAGAATCACGTTTGTGATGTGGGTACTCAACTAACAGTGTTGATCCATTCTTTTGATACAGCAGTTTTGAACCACACTTTTTGTAGAATCTGCAAGTGGATATTTGGATAGCTGTGAGGATTTCCTTGGAAACGGGAATGTCTTCATAGAAAATTTAGACAGAAGCATTCTCAGAACCTTGATTGTGATGTGTGTTCTCCACTAACAGAGTTGAACCTTTCTTTTGACAGAACTGTTCTGAAACATTCTTTTTATAGAATCTGGAAGTGGATATTTGGAAAGCTTTGAGGATTTCGTTGGAAACGGGAATATCTTCAAATCAAATCTAGCCAGAAGCATTCTAAGAAACATCTTAGGGATGTTTACATTCAAGTCACAGAGTTGAACATTCCCTTTCACAGAGCAGGTTTGAAACAATCTTCTCGTAGTATCTGGAAGTGGACATTTTGAGCTCCTTGGGGCCTATGCTGAAAAAGGAAATATCTTCCGACAAAAACTAGACAGAAGCATTCGCAGAATCACGTTTGTGATGTGTGCACTCAACTGTCAGAATTGAACCTTTGTTTGGACAGAGCACTTTTGAAACACTCTTTTTGTAGAATCTGCAGGTGGATATTTGGCTAGCTTTGAGGATTTCGTTGGAAACGGTAATGTCTTCAAAGAAAATCTAGACAGAAGCATTCTCAGAAACAGCGTCGTGATGTTTGCAATCAAGTCACAGAGTTGAACCTTCCGTTTCATAGAGCAGGTTGGAAACACTCTTTTTGTAGTATCTGGAAGTGGACATTTGGAGGGCTTTGTAGCCTATCTGGAAAAAGGAAATATCTTCCCATGAATGCGAGATAGAAGTAATCTCAGAAACATGTTTATGCTGTATCTACTCAACTAACTGTGCTGAACATTTCTATTGATAGAGCAGTTTTGAGACACTCTTCTTTTGGAATCTGCAAGTGGATATTTGGATAGATTTGAGGATTTCGTTGGAAACGGGATTATGTATAAAAAGTAGACAGCAGCATTCTCAGAAACTTCTTTGTGATGTTTGCATCCAGCTCTCAGAGTTGAGCATTCCCTTTCATAGAGTAGGTTTGAAACCCTCTTTTTATAGTGTCTGGAAGCGGGCATTTGGAGCGCTTTCAGGCCTATGCTTAAAATAGGAAATATCTACCTACAGAAACTAGACAGAAGCATTCTGAGAATCACGTTTGTGATGTGGGTACTCAACTAACAGTGTTGATCCATTCTTTTGATACAGCAGTTTTGAACCACACTTTTTGTAGAATCTGCAAGTGGATATTTGGATAGCTGTGAGGATTTCGTTGGAAACGGTAATGTCTTCAAAGAAAATCTAGACAGAAGCATTCTCAGAAACACCTTCGTGATGTTTGCAATCAAGTCACAGAGTTGAACCTTCCGTTTCATAGAGCAGGTTGGAAACACTCTTATTGTAGTATCTGGAAGTGGACATTTGGAGCGCTTTCAGGCCTATGGTGAAAAAGGAAATATCTTCCCATAAAAACGACATAGAAGCTATCTCAGGAACTTGTTTATGATGCATCTAATCAACTAACAGTGTTGAACCTTTGTACTGACAGAGCACTTTGAAACACTCTTTTTTTGGAATCTGCAAGTGGATATTTGGATCACTTTGAGGATTTCGTTGGAAACGGGATGCAATATAAAACGTACACAGCAGCATACTCAGAAAATACTTTGCCATGTTTCCATTCAAGTCACAGAGTGGAACATTCCCATTCATAGAGCAGGTTGGAAACACTCTTTTTGGAGTATCTGGAAGTGGACATTTGGAGCGCTTTCTGAACTATGGTGAAAAAGGAAATATCTTCCAATGAAAACAAGACAGAAGCATTCTGAGAAACTTATTTGTGATGTGTGTCCTCAACAAACGGACTTGAACCTTTCGTTTCATGCAGTACTTCTGGAACACTCTTTTTGAAGATTCTGCATGCGGATATTTGGATAGCTTTGAGGATTTCGTTGGAAACGGCCTTACATGTAAAAATTAGACAGCAGCATTCTCAGAAACTTCTTTGTGGTGTCTGCATTCAAGTCACAGAATTGAACTTCCCCTCACATAGAGCAGTTGTGCAGCACTCTATTTGTAGTATCTGGAAGTGGACATTTGGAGGGCTTTGTAGCCTATCTGGAAAAAGGAAATATCTTCCCATGAATGCGAGATAGAAGTAATCTCAGAAACATGTTTATGCTGTATCTACTCAACTAACTGTGCTGAACATTTCTATTGATAGAGCAGTTTTGAGACACTCTTCTTTTGGAATCTGCAAGTGGATATTTGGATAGATTTGAGGATTTCGTTGGAAACGGGATGATATATAAAAAGTAGACAGCAGCATTCTCAGAAACTTCTTTGTGATGTTTGCATCCAGCTCTCAGAGTTGAACATTCCCTTTCATAGAGTAGGTTTGAAACCCTCTTTTTATAGTGTCTGGAAGCGGGCATTTGGAGCGCTTTCAGGCCTATGCTGAAAAAGGAAATATCTACCTATAGAAACTAGACAGAAGCATTCTGAGAATCACGTTTGTGATGTGGGTACTCAACTAACAGTGTTGATCCATTCTTTTGATACAGCAGTTTTGAACCACACTTTTTGTAGAATCTGCAAGTGGATATTTGGATAGCTGTGAGGATTTCGTTGGAAACGGGAATGTCTTCAAAGAAAATTTAGACAGAAGAATTCTCAGAACCTGGATTGTGATGTGTGTTCTCCACTAATAGAGTTGAACCTTTCTTTTGACAGAACTGTTTTGAAACATTCTTTTTATAGAATCTGGAAGTGGATATTTGGAAAGCTTTGAGGATTTCGTTGGAAACGGGAATATCTTCAAATAAAATCTAGCCAGAAGCATTCTAAGAAACATCTTAGGGATGTTTACATTCAAGTCACAGAGTTGAACATTCCCTTTCACAGAGCAGGTTTGAAACAATCTTCTCGTACTATCTGGCAGTGGACATTTTGAGCTCCTTGGGGCCTATGCTGAAAAAGGAAATATCTTCCGACAAAAACTAGACAGAAGCATTCGCAGAATCACGTTTGTGATGTGTGCACTCAACTGTCAGAATTGAACCTTGGTTTGGACAGAGCACTTTTGAAACACTCTTTTTGCAGAATCTGCAGGTGGATATTTGGCTAGCTTTGAGGATTTCGTTGGAAACGGTAATGTCTTCAAAGAAAATCTAGACAGAAGCATTCTCAGAAACACCTTCGTGATGTTTGCAATCAAGTCACAGAGTTGAACCTTCCGTTTCATAGAGCAGGTTGGAAACACTCTTTTTGTAGTATCTGGAAGTGGACATTTGGAGGGCTTTGTAGCCTATCTGGAAAAAGGAAATATCTTCCCATGAATGCGAGATAGAAGTAATCTCAGAAACATGTTTATGCTGTATCTACTCAACTAACTGTGCTGAACATTTCTATTGATAGAGCAGTTTTGAGACACTCTTCTTTTGGAATCTGCAAGTGGATATTTGGATAGATTTGAGGATTTCGTTGGAAACGCGATTATATATAAAAAGTAGACAGCAGCATTCTCAGAAACTTCTTTGTGATGTTTGCATCCAGCTCTCAGAGTTGAACATTCCCTTTCATAGAGTAGGTTTGAAACCCTCTTTTTATAGTGTCTGGAAGCGGGCATTTGGAGCGCTTTCAGGCCTATGCTTAAAATAGGAAATATCTACCTACAGAAACTAGACAGAAGCATTCTGAGAATCACGTTTGTGATGTGGGTACTCAACTAACAGTGTTGATCCATTCTTTTGATACAGCAGTTTTGAACCACACTTTTTGTAGAATCTGCAAGAGGATATTTGGATAGCTGTGAGGATTTCGTTGGAAACGGGAATGTCTTCAAAGAAAATCTAGACAGAAACATTCTCAGAAACACCTTCGTGATGTTTGCAATCAAGTCACAGAGTTGAACCTTCCGTTTCATAGAGCAGGTTGGAAACACTCTTTTTGTAGTATCTGGAAGTGGACATTTGGAGCGCTTTCAGGCCTATGGTGAAAAAGGAAATATCTTCCCATAAAAACGACATAGAAGCTATCTCAGGAACTTGTTTATGAGGCATCTAATCAACTAACAGTGTTGAACCTTTGTACTGACAGAGCAGTTTGAAACACTCTTTTTTTGGAATCTGCAAGTGGATATTTGGATCGCTTTGAGGATTTCGTTGGAAACGGGATGCAATATAAAACGTACACAGCAGCATACTCAGAAAATACTTTGCCATATTTCCATTCAAGTCACAGAGTGGAACATTCCCATTCATAGAGCAGGTTGGAAACACTCTTTTTGGAGTATCTGGAAGTGGACATTTGGAGCGCTTTCTGAACTATGGTGAAAAAGGAAATATCTTCCAATGAAAACAAGACAGAAGCATTCTGAGAAACTTATTTGTGATGTGTGTCCTCAACAAACGGACTTGAACCTTTCGTTTCATGCAGTACTTCTGGAACACTCTTTTTGAAGATTCTGCATGCGGATATTTGGATAGCTTTGAGGATTTCGTTGGAAACGGGCTTACATGTAAAAATTAGACAGCAGCATTCTCAGAAACTTCTTTGTGGTGTCTGCATTCAAGTCACAGAATTGAACATCCCCTCACATAGAGCAGTTGTGCAGCACTCTATTTGTAGTATCTGGAAGTGGACATTTGGAGGGCTTTGTAGCCTATCTGGAAAAAGGAAATATCTTCCCATGAATGCGAGATAGAAGTAATCTCAGAAACATGTTTATGCTGTATCTACTCAACTAACTGTGCTGAACATTTCTATTGATAGAGCAGTTTTGAGACACTCTTCTTTTGGAATCTGCAAGTGGATATTTGGATAGATTTGAGGATTTCGTTGGAAACGGGATTATATATAAAAAGTAGACAGCAGCATTCTCAGAAACTTCTTTGTGATGTTTGCATCCAGCTCTCAGAGTTGAACATTCCCTTTCATAGAGTAGGTTTGAAACCCTCTTTTTATAGTGTCTGGAAGCGGGCATTTGGAGCGCTTTCAGGCCTATGCTTAAAATAGGAAATATCTACCTACAGAAACTAGACAGAAGCATTCTGAGAATCACGTTTGTGATGTGGGTACTCAACTAACAGTGTTGATCCATTCTTTTGATACAGCAGTTTTGAACCACACTTTCTGTAGAATCTGCAAGAGGATATTTGGATAGCTGTGAGGATTTCGTTGGAAACGGGAATGTCTTCAAAGAAAATCTAGACAGAAGCATTCTCAGAACCTTGATTGTGATGTGTGTTCTCCACTAACAGTGTTGAACCTTTCTTTTGACAGAACTGTTCTGAAACATTCTTTTTATAGAATCTGCAAGTGGATATTTGGATCGCTTTGAGTATTTCGTTGGAAACGGGATGCAATATAAAACGTACACAGCAGCATTCTAAGAAACATCTTAGGGATGTTTACATTCAAGTCACAGAGTTGAACATTCCCTTTCACAGAGCAGGTTTGAAACAATCTTCTCGTACTATCTGGCAGTGGACATTTTGAGCTCTTTGGGGCCTATGCTGAAAAAGGAAATATCTTCCGACAAAAACTAGTCAGAAGCATTCGCAGAATCACGTTTGTGATGTGTGCACTCAACTGTCAGAATTGAACCTTGGTTTGGAGAGAGCACTTTTGAAACACACTTTTTGTAGAATCTGCAGGTGGATATTTGGCTAGCTTTGAGGATTTCGTTGGAAACGGTAATGTCTTCAAAGAAAATCTAGACAGAAGCATTCTCAGAAACACCTTCGTGATGTTTGAAATCAAGTCACAGAGTTGAACCTTCCGTTTCATAGAGCAGGTTGGAAACACACTTTTTGTAGTATCTGGAAGTGGACATTTGGAGGGCTTTGTAGCCTATCTGGAAAAAGGAAATATCTTCCCATGAATGCGAGATAGATGTAATCTCAGAAACATGTTTATGCTGTATCTACTCAACTAACTGTGCTGAACATTTCTATTGATAGAGCAGTTTTGAGACCCTCTTCTTTTGGAATCTGCAAGTGGATATTTGGATAGATTTGAGGATTTCGTTGGAAACGGGATTATATATAAAAAGTAGACAGCAGCATTCTCAGAAACTTCTTTGTGATGTTTGCATCCAGCTCTCAGAGTTGAACATTCCCTTTCATAGAGTAGGTTTGAAACCCTCTTTTTATAGTGTCTGGAAGCGGGCATTTGGAGCGCTTTCAGGCCTATGCTGAAAAAGGAAATATCTACCTATAGAAACTAGACAGAAGCATTCTGAGAATCACGTTTGTGATGTGGGTACTCAACTAACAGTGTTGATCCATTCTTTTGATACAGCAGTTTTGAACCACACTTTTTGTAGAATCTGCAAGTGGATATTTGGATAGCTGTGAGGATTTCGTTGGAAACGGGAATGTCTTCATAGAAAATTTAGACAGAAGCATTCTCAGAACCTTGATTGTGATGTGTGTTCTCCACTAACAGAGTTGAACCTTTCTTTTGACAGAACTGTTCTGAAACATTCTTTTTATAGAATCTGGAAGTGGATATTTGGAAAGCTTTGAGGATTTCGTTGGAAACGGGAATATCTTCAAATAAAATCTAGCCAGAAGCATTCTAAGAAACATCTTAGGGATGTTTACATTCAAGTCACAGAGTTGAACATTCCCTTTCACAGAGCAGGTTTGAAACAATCTTCTCGTACTATCTGGCAGTGGACATTTTGAGCTCCTTGGGGCCTATGCTGAAAAAGGAAATATCTTCCGACAAAAACTAGACAGAAGCATTCGCAGAATCACGTTTGTGATGTGTGCACTCAACTGTCAGAATTGAACCTTGGTTTGGACAGAGCACTTTTGAAACACTCTTTTTGTAGAATCTGCAGGTGGATATTTGGCTAGCTTTGAGGATTTCGTTGGAAACGGTGATGTCTTCAAAGAAAATCTAGACAGAAGCATTCTCAGAAACACCTTCGTGATGTTTGCAATCAAGTCACAGAGTTGAACCTTCCGTTTCATAGAGCAGGTTGGAAACACTCTTTGTAGTATCTGGAAGTGGACATTTGGAGGGCTTTGTAGCCTATCTGGAAAAAGGAAATATCTTCCCATGAATGCGAGATAGAAGTAATCTCAGAAACATGTTTATGCTGTATCTACTCAACTAACTGTGCTGAACATTTCTATTGATAGAGCAGTTTTGAGACACTCTTCTTTTGGAATCTGCAAGTGGATATTTGGATAGATTTGAGGATTTCGTTGGAAACGGGATTATATATCAAAAGTAGACAGCAGCATTCTCAGAAACTTCTTTGTGATGTTTGCATCCAGCTCTCAGAGTTGAACATTCCCTTTCATAGAGTAGGTTTGAAACCCTCTTTTTATAGTGTCTGGAAGCGGGCATTTGGAGCGCTTTCAGGCCTATGCTGAAAAAGGAAATATCTACCTATAGAAACTAGACAGAAGCATTCTGAGAATCACGTTTGTGATGTGGGTACTCAACTAACAGTGTTGATCCATTCTTTTGATACAGCAGTTTTGAACCACACTTTTTGTAGAATCTGCAAGTGGATATTTGGATAGCTGTGAGGATTTCGTTGGAAACGGGAATGTCTTCATAGAAAATTTAGACAGAAGCATTCTCAGAACCTTGATTGTGAAGTGTGTTCTCCACTAACAGAGTTGAACCTTTCTTTTGACAGAACTGTTCTGAAACATTCTTTTTATAGAATCTGGAAGTGGATATTTGGAAAGCTTTGAGGATTTCGTTGGAAACGGGAATATCTTCAAATCAAATCTAGCCAGAAGCATTCTAAGAAACATCTTAGGGATGTTTACATTCAAGTCACAGAGTTGAACATTCCCTTTCACAGAGCAGGTTTGAAACAATCTTCTCGTACTATCTGGAAGTGGACATTTTGAGCTCCTTGGGGCCTATGCTGAGAAAGGAAATATCTTCCGACAAAAACTAGACAGAAGCATTCGCAGAATCACGTTTGTGATGTGTGCACTCAACTGTCAGAATTGAACCTTGGTTTGGAGAGAGCACTTTTGAAACACTCTTTTTGTAGAATCTGCAGGTGGATATTTGGCTAGCTTTGAGGATTTCGTTGGAAACGGTAATGTCTTCAAAGAAAATCTAGACAGAAGCATTCTCAGAAACACCTTCGTGATGTTTGCAATCAAGTCACAGAGTTGAACCTTCCGTTTCATAGAGCAGGTTGGAAACACTCTTTTTGTAGTATCTGGAAGTGGACATTTGGAGCGCTTTCAGGCCTATGGTGAAAAAGGAAATATCTTCCCATAAAAACGACATAGAAGCTATCTCAGGAACTTGTTTATGATGCATCTAATCAACTAACAGTGTTGAACCTTTGTACTGACAGAGCAGTTTGAAACACTCTTTTTTTGGAATCTGCAAGTGGATATTTGGATCGCTTTGAGGATTTCGTTGGAAACGGGATGCAATATAAAACGTACACAGCAGCATACTCAGAAAATACTTTGCCATATTTCCATTCAAGTCACAGAGTGGAACATTCCCATTCATAGAGCAGGTTTGAAACACTCTTTTTGGAGTATCTGGAAGTGGACATTTGGAGCGCTTTCTGAACTATGGTGAAAAAGGAAATATCTTCCAATGAAAACAAGACAGAAGCATTCTGAGAAACTTATTTGTGATGTGTGTCCTCAACAAACGGACTTGAACCTTTCGTTTCATGCAGTACTTCTGGAACACTCTTTTTGAAGATTCTGCATGCGGATATTTGGATAGCTTTGAGGATTTCGTTGGAAACGGGCTTACATGTAAAAATTAGACAGCAGCATTCTCAGAAACTTCTTTGTGGTGTCTGCATTCAAGTCACAGAATTGAACATCCCCTCACATAGAGCAGTTGTGCAGCACTCTATTTGTAGTATCTGGAAGTGGACATTTGGAGGGCTTTGTAGCCTATCTGGAAAAAGGAAATATCTTCCCATGAATGCGAGATAGAAGTAATCTCAGAAACATGTTTATGCTGTATCTACTCAACTAACTGTGCTGAACATTTCTATTGATAGAGCAGTTTTGAGACACTCTTCTTTTGGAATCTGCAAGTGGATATTTGGATAGATTTGAGGATTTCGTTGGAAACGGGATTATATATAAAAAGTAGACAGCAGCATTCTCAGAAACTTCTTTGTGATGTTTGCATCCAGCTCTCAGAGTTGAACATTCCCTTTCATAGAGTAGGTTTGAAACCCTCTTTTTATAGTGTCTGGAAGCGGGCATTTGGAGCGCTTTCAGGCCTATGCTGAAAAAGGAAATATCTACCTATAGAAACTAGACAGAAGCATTCTGAGAATCACGTTTGTGATGTGGGTACTCAACTAACAGTGTTGATCCATTCTTTTGATACAGCAGTTTTGAACCACACTTTTTGTAGAATCTGCAAGTGGATATTTGGATAGCTGTGAGGATTTCGTTGGAAACGGGAATGTCTTCATAGAAAATTAGACAGAAGCATTCTCAGAACCTTGATTGTGATGTGTGTTCTCCACTAACAGAGTTGAACCTTTCTTTTGACAGAACTGTTCTGAAACATTCTTTTTATAGAATCTGGAAGTGGATATTTGGAAAGCTTTGAGGATTTCGTTGGAAACGGGAATATCTTCAAATCAAATCTAGCCAGAAGCATTCTAAGAAACATCTTAGGGATGTTTACATTCAAGTCACAGAGTTGAACATTCCCTTTCACAGAGCAGGTTTGAAACAATCTTCTCGTACTATCTGGCAGTGGACATTTTGAGCTCCTTGGGGCCTATGCTGAAAAAGGAAATATCTTCCGACAAAAACTAGACAGAAGCATTCGCAGAATCACGTTTGTGATGTGTGCACTCAACTGTCAGAATTGAACCTTGGTTTGGACAGAGCACTTTTGAAACACTCTTTTTGTAGAATCTGCAGGTGGATATTTGGCTAGCTTTGAGGATTTCGTTGGAAACGGTAATGTCTTCAAAGAAAATCTAGACAGAAGCATTCTCAGAAACACCTTCGTGATGTTTGCAATCAAGTCACAGAGTTGAACCTTCCGTTTCATAGAGCAGGTTGGAAACACTCTTTTTGTAGTATCTGGAAGTGGACATTTGGAGGGCTTTGTAGCCTATGTGGAAAAAGGAAATATCTTCCCATGAATGCGAGATAGAAGTAATCTCAGAAACATGTTTATGCTGTATCTACTCAACTAACTGTGCTGAACATTTCTATTGATAGAGCAGTTTTGAGACACTCTTCTTTTGGAATCTGCAAGTGGATATTTGGAGAGATTTGAGGATTTCGTTGGAAACGGGATTATATATAAAAAGTAGACAGCAGCATTCTCAGAAACTTCTTTGTGATGTTTGCATCCAGCTCTCAGCAGTTGAACATTCCCTTTCATAGAGTAGGTTTGAAACCCTCTTTTTATAGTGTCTGGAAGCGGGCATTTGGAGCGCTTTCAGGCCTATGCTTAAAATAGGAAATATCTACCTACAGAAACTAGACAGAAGCATTCTGAGAATCACGTTTGTGATGTGGGTACTCAACTAACAGTGTTGATCCATTCTTTTGATACAGCAGTTTTGAACCACACTTTTTGTAGAATCTGCAAGAGGATATTTGGATAGCTGTGAGGATTTCGTTGGAAACGGGAATGTCTTCAAAGAAAATCTAGACAGAAGCATTCTCAGAAACACCTTCGTGATGTTTGCAATCAAGTCACAGAGTTGAACCTTCCGTTTCATAGAGCAGGTTGGAAACACTCTTTTTGTAGTATCTGGAAGTGGACATTTGGAGCGCTTTCAGGCCTATGGTGAAAAAGGAAATATCTTCCCATAAAAACGACATAGAAGCTATCTCAGGAACTTGTTTATGATGCATCTAATCAACTAACAGTGTTGAACCTTTGTACTGACAGAGCAGTTTGAAACACTCTTTTTTTGGAATCTGCAAGTGGATATTTGGATCGCTTTGAGGATTTCGTTGGAAACGGGATGCAATATAAAACGTACACAGCAGCATACTCAGAAAATACTTTGCCATATTTCCATTCAAGTCACAGAGTGGAACATTCCCATTCATAGAGCAGGTTGGAAACACTCTTTTTGGAGTATCTGGAAGTGGACATTTGGAGCGCTTTCTGAACTATGGTGAAAAAGGAAATATCTTCCAATGAAAACAAGACAGAAGCATTCTGAGAAACTTATTTGTGATGTGTGTCCTCAACAAACGGACTTGAACCTTTTGTTTCATGCAGTATTTCTGGAACACTCTTTTTGAAGATTCTGCATGCGGATATTTGGATAGCTTTGAGGATTTCGTTGGAAACGGGCTTACATGTAAAAATTAGACAGCAGCATTCTCAGAAACTTCTTTGTGGTGTCTGCATTCAAGTCACAGAATTGAACTTCCCCTCACATAGAGCAGTTGTGCAGCACTCTATTTGTAGTATCTGGAAGTGGACATTTGGAGGGCTTTGTAGCCTATCTGGAAAAAGGAAATATCTTCCCATGAATGCGAGATAGAAGTAATCTCAGAAACATGTTTATGCTGTATCTACTCAACTAACTGTGCTGAACATTTCTATTGATAGAGCAGTTTTGAGACACTCTTCTTTTGGAATCTGCAAGTGGATATTTGGATAGATTTGAGGATTTCGTTGGAAACGGGATTATATATAAAAAGTAGACAGCAGCATTCTCAGAAACTTCTTTGTGATGTTTGCATCCAGCTCTCAGAGTTGAACATTCCCTTTCATAGAGTAGGTTTGAAACCCTCTTTTTATAGTGTCTGGAAGCGGGCATTTGGAGCGCTTTCAGGCCTATGCTGAAAAAGGAAATATCTACCTATAGAAACTAGACAGAAGCATTCTGAGAATCACGTTTGTGATGTGGGTACTCAACTAACAGTGTTGATCCATTCTTTTGATACAGCAGTTTTGAACCACACTTTTTGTAGAATCTGCAAGTGGATATTTGGATAGCTGTGAGGATTTCGTTGGAAACGGGAATGTCTTCATAGAAAATTTAGACAGAAGCATTCTCAGAACCTTGATTGTGATGTGTGTTCTCCACTAACAGAGTTGAACCTTTCTTTTGACAGAAATGTTCTGAAACATTCTTTTTATAGAATCTGGAAGTGGATATTTGGAAAGCTTTGAGGATTTCGTTGGAAACGGGAATATCTTCAAATAAAATCTAGCCAGAAGCATTCTAAGAAACATATTAGGGATGTTTACATTCAAGTCACAGAGTGGAACATTCCCTTTCGCAGAACAGGTTTGAAACAATCTTCTCGTACTATCTGGAAGTGGACATTTTGAGCTCCTTGGGGCCTATGCTGAAAAAGGAAATATCTTCCGACAAAAACTAGATAGAAGCATTCGCAGAATCACGTTTGTGATGTGTGCACTCAACTGTCAGAATTGAACCTTGGTTTGGACAGAGCACTTTTGAAACACTCTTTTTGTAGAATCTGCAGGTGGATATTTGGCTAGCTTTGAGGATTTCGTTGGAAACGGTAATGTCTTCAAAGAAAATCTAGACAGAAGCATTCTCAGAAACACCTTCGTGATGTTTGCAATCAAGTCACAGAGTTGAACCTTCCGTTTCATAGAGCAGGTTGGAAACACTCTTTTTGTAGTATGTGGAAGTGGACATTTGGAGCACTTTCAGGCCTATGGTGAAAAAGGAAATATCTTCCCATAAAAACGACATAGAAGCTATCTCAGGAACTTGTTTATGATGCATCTAATCAACTAACAGTGTTGAACATTTGTACTGACAGAGCAGTTTGAAACACTCTTTTTTTGGAATCTGCAAGTGGATATTTGGATCGCTTTGAGGATTTCGTTGGAAACGGGATGCAATATAAAACGTACACAGCAGCATACTCAGAAAATACTTTGCCATATTTCCATTCAAGTCACAGAGTGGAACATTCCCATTCATAGAGCAGGTTTGAAACACTCTTTTTGGAGTATCTGGAAGTGGACATTTGGAGCGCTTTCTGAACTGTGGTGAAAAAGGAAATAACTTCCAATGAAAACAAGACAGAAGCATTCTGAGAAACTTATTTGTGATGTGTGTCCTCAACAAACGGACTTGAACCTTTCGTTTCATGCAGTACTTCTGGAACACTCTTTTTGAAGATTCTGCATGCGGATATTTGGATAGCTTTGAGGATTTCGTTGGAAACGGGCTTACATGTAAAAATTAGACAGCAGCATTCTCAGAAACTTCTTTGTGGTGTCTGCATTCAAGTCACAGAATTGAACTTCCCCTCACATAGAGCAGTTGTGCAGCACTCTATTTGTAGTATCTGGAAGTGGACATTTGGAGGGCTTTGTAGCCTATCTGGAAAAAGGAAATATCTTCCCATGAATGCGAGATAGAAGTAATCTCAGAAACATGTTTATGCTGTATCTACTCAACTAACTGTGCTGAACATTTCTATTGATAGAGCAGTTTTGAGACCCTCTTCTTTTGGAATCTGCAAGTGGATATTTGGATAGATTTGAGGATTTCGTTGGAAACGGGATTATATATCAAAAGTAGACAGCAGCATTCTCAGAAACTTCTTTGTGATGTTTGCATCCAGCTCTCAGAGTTGAACATTCCCTTTCATAGAGTAGGTTTGAAACCCTCTTTTTATAGTGTCTGGAAGCGGGCATTTGGAGCGCTTTCAGGCCTATGCTGAAAAAGGAGATATCTACCTATAGAAACTAGACAGAAGCATTCTGAGAATCACGTTTGTGATGTGGGTACTCAACTAACAGTGTTGATCCATTCTTTTGATACAGCAGTTTTGAACCACACTTTTTGTAGAATCTGCAAGTGGATATTTGGATAGCTGTGAGGATTTCGTTGGAAACGGGAATGTCTTCATAGAAAATTTAGAGAGAAGCATTCTCAGAACCTTGATTGTGATGTGTGTTCTCCACTAACAGAGTTGAACCTTTCTTTTGACAGAACTGTTCTGAAACATTCTTTTTATAGAATCTGGAAGTGGATATTTGGAAAGCTTTGAGGATTTCGTTGGAAACGGGAATATCTTCAAATAAAATCTAGCCAGAAGCATTCTAAGAAACATCTTAGGGATGTTTACATTCAAGTCACAGAGTTGAACATTCCCTTTCACAGAGCAGGTTTGAAACAATCTTCTCGTACTATCTGGCAGTGGACATTTTGAGCTCTTTGGGGCCTATGCTGAAAAAGGAAATATCTTCCGACAAAAACTAGACAGAAGCATTCGCAGAATCACGTTTGTGATGTGTGCACTCAACTGTCAGAATTGAACCTTGGTTTGGAGAGAGCACTTTTGAAACACTCTTTTTGTAGAATCTGCAGGTGGATATTTGGCTAGCTTTGAGGATTTCGTTGGAAACGGTAATGTCTTCAAAGAAAATCTAGACAGAAGCATTCTCAGAAACACCTTCGTGATGTTTGCAATCAAGTCACAGAGTTGAACCTTCCGTTTCATAGAGCAGGTTGGAAACACACTTTTTGTAGTATCTGGAAGTGGACATTTGGAGGGCTTTGTAGCCTATCTGGAAAAAGGAAATATCTTCCCATGAATGCGAGATAGAAGCTATCTCAGGAACTTGTTTATGATGCATCTAATCAACTAACAGTGTTGAACCTTTGTACTGACAGAGCAGTTTGAAACACTCTTTTTTTGGAATCTGCAAGTGGATATTTGGATCGCTTTGAGGATTTCGTTGGAAACGGGATGCAATATAAAACGTACACAGCAGCATACTCAGAAAATACTTTGCCATATTTCCATTCAAGTCACAGAGTGGAACATTCCCATTCATAGAGCAGGTTTGAAACACTCTTTTTGGAGTATCTGGAAGTGGACATTTGGAGCGCTTTCTGAACTATGGTGAAAAAGGAAATATCTTCCAATGAAAACAAGACAGAAGCATTCTGAGAAACTTCTTTGTGATGTGTGTCCTCAACAAACGGACTTGAACCTTTCGTTTCATGCAGTACTTCTGGAACACTCTTTTTGAAGATTCTGCATGCGGATATTTGGAGAGCTTTGAGGATTTCGTTGGAAACGGGCTTACATGTAAAAATTAGACAGCAGCATTCTCAGAAACTTTTTTGTGGTGTCTGCATTCAAGTCACAGAATTGAACTTCCCCTCACATAGAGCAGTTGTGCAGCACTCTATTTGTAGTATCTGGAAGTGGACATTTGGAGGGCTTTGTAGCCTATCTGGAAAAGGAAATATCTTCCCATGAATGCGAGATAGAAGTAATCTCAGAAACATGTTCCTGCTGTATCTACTCAACTAACTGTGCTGAACATTTCTATTGATAGAGCAGTTTTGAGACACTCTTCTTTTGGAATCTGCAAGTGGATATTTGGATAGATTTGAGGATTTCGTTGGAAACGGGATTATATATAAAAAGTAGACAGCAGCATTCTCAGAAACTTCTTTGTGATGTTTGCATCCAGCTCTCAGAGTTGAACATTCCCTTTCATAGAGTAGGTTTGAAACCCTCTTTTTATAGTGTCTGGAAGCGGGCATTTGGAGCGCTTTCAGGCCTATGCTTAAAATAGGAAATATCTACCTACAGAAACTAGACAGAAGCATTCTGAGAATCACGTTTGTGATGTGGGTACTCAACTAACAGTGTTGATCCATTCTTTTGATACAGCAGTTTTGAACCACACTTTTTGTAGAATCTGCAAGAGGATATTTGGATAGCTGTGAGGATTTCGTTGGAAACGGGAATGTCTTCAAAGAAAATCTAGACAGAAGCATTCTCAGAAACACCTTCGTGATGTTTGCAATCAAGTCACAGAGTTGAACCTTCCGTTTCATAGAGCAGGTTGGAAACACTCTTATTGTAGTATCTGGAAGTGGACATTTGGAGCGCTTTCAGGCCTATGGTGAAAAAGGAAATATCTTCCCATAAAAACGACATAGAAGCTATCTCAGGAACTTGTTTATGATGCATCTAATCAACTAACAGTGTTGAACCTTTGTACTGACAGAGCACTTTGAAACACTCTTTTTTTGGAATCTGCAAGTGGATATTTGGATCGCTTTGAGGATTTCGTTGGAAACGGGATGCAATATAAAACGTACACAGCAGCATACTCAGAAAATACTTTGCCATATTTCCATTCAAGTCACAGAGTGGAACATTCCCATTCATAGAGCAGGTTGGAAACACTCTTTTTGGAGTATCTGGAAGTGGACATTTGGAGCGCTTTCTGAACTATGGTGAAAAAGGAAATATCTTCCAATGAAAACAAGACAGAAGCATTCTGAGAAACTTATTTGTGATGTGTGTCCTCAACAAACGGACTTGAACCTTTCGTTTCATGCAGTACTTCTGGAACACTCTTTTTGAAGATTCTGCATGCGGATATTTGGATAGCTTTGAGGATTTCGTTGGAAACGGGCTTACATGTAAAAATTAGACAGCAGCATTCTCAGAAACTTCTTTGTGGTGTCTGCATTCAAGTCACAGAATTGAACTTCCCCTCACATAGAGCAGTTGTGCAGCACTCTATTTGTAGTATCTGGAAGTGGACATTTGGAGGGCTTTGTAGCCTATCTGGAAAAAGGAAATATCTTCCCATGAATGCGAGATAGAAGTAATCTCAGAAACATGTTTATGCTGTATCTACTCAACTAACTGTGCTGAACATTTCTATTGATAGAGCAGTTTTGAGACACTCTTCTTTTGGAATCTGCAAGTGGATATTTGGATAGATTTGAGGATTTCGTTGGAAACGGGATTATATATAAAAAGTAGACAGCAGCATTCTCAGAAACTTCTTTGTGATGTTTGCATCCAGCTCTCAGAGTTGAACATTCCCTTTCATAGAGTAGGTTTGAAACCCTCTTTTTATAGTGTCTGGAAGCGGGCATTTGGAGCGCTTTCAGGCCTATGCTGAAAAAGGAAATATCTACCTATAGAAACTAGACAGAAGCATTCTGAGAATCACGTTTGTGATGTGGGTACTCAACTAACAGTGTTGATCCATTCTTTTGATACAGCAGTTTTGAACCACACTTTTTGTAGAATCTGCAAGTGGATATTTGGATAGCTGTGAGGATTTCGTTGGAAACGGGAATGTCTTCATAGAAAATTTAGACAGAAGCATTCTCAGAACCTTGATTGTGATGTGTGTTCTCCACTAACAGAGTTGAACCTTTCTTTTGACAGAACTGTTCTGAAACATTCTTTTTATAGAATCTGGAAGTGGATATTTGGAAAGCTTTGAGGATTTCGTTGGAAACGGGAATATCTTCAAATAAAATCTAGCCAGAAGCATTCTAAGAAACATCTTAGGGATGTTTACATTCAAGTCACAGAGTTGAACATTCCCTTTCACAGAGCAGGTTTGAAACAATCTTCTCGTACTATCTGGCAGTGGACATTTTGAGCTCCTTGGGGCCTATGCTGAAAAAGGAAATATCTTCCGACAAAAACTAGACAGAAGCATTCGCAGAATCACGTTTGTGATGTGTGCACTCAACTGTCAGAATTGAACCTTGGTTTGGACAGAGCACTTTTGAAACACTCTTTTTGTAGAATCTGCAGGTGGATATTTGGCTAGCTTTGAGGATTTCGTTGGAAACGGTAATGTCTTCAAAGAAAATCTAGACAGAAGCATTCTCAGAAACACCTTCGTGATGTTTGCAATCAAGTCACAGAGTTGAACCTTCCGTTTCATAGAGCAGGTTGGAAACACTCTTATTGTAGTATCTGGAAGTGGACATTTGGAGCGCTTTCAGGCCTATGGTGAAAAAGGAAATATCTTCCCATAAAAACGACATAGAAGCTATCTCAGGAACTTGTTTATGATGCATCTAATCAACTAACAGTGTTGAACCTTTGTACTGACAGAGCAGTTTGAAACACTCTTTTTTTGGAATCTGCAAGTGGATATTTGGATCGCTTTGAGGATTTCGTTGGAAACGGGATGCAATATAAAACGTACACAGCAGCATACTCAGAAAATACTTTGCCATATTTCCATTCAAGTCACAGAGTGGAACATTCCCATTCATAGAGCAGGTTGGAAACACTCTTTTTGGAGTATCTGGAAGTGGACATTTGGAGCGCTTTCTGAACTATGGTGAAAAAGGAAATATCTTCCAATGAAAACAAGACAGAAGCATTCTGAGAAACTTATTTGTGATGTGTGTCCTCAACAAACGGACTTGAACCTTTCGTTTCATGCAGTACTTCTGGAACACTCTTTTTGAAGATTCTGCATGCGGATATTTGGATAGCTTTGAGGATTTCGTTGGAAACGGGCTTACATGTAAAAATTAGACAGCAGCATTCTCAGAAACTTCTTTGTGGTGTCTGCATTCAAGTCACAGAATTGAACTTCCCCTCACATAGAGCAGTTGTGCAGCACTCTATTTGTAGTATCTGGAAGTGGACATTTGGAGGGCTTTGTAGCCTATCTGGAAAAAGGAAATATCTTCCCATGAATGCGAGATAGAAGTAATCTCAGAAACATGTTTATGCTGTATCTACTCAACTAACTGTGCTGAACATTTCTATTGATAGAGCAGTTTTCAGACACTCTTCTTTTGGAATCTGCAAGTGGATATTTGGATAGATTTGAGGATTTCGTTGGAAACGGGATTATATATAAAAAGTAGACAGCAGCATTCTCAGAAACTTCTTTGTGATGTTTGCATCCAGCTCTCAGAGTTGAACATTCCCTTTCATAGAGTAGGTTTGAAACCCTCTTTTTATAGTGTCTGGAAGCGGGCATTTGGAGCGCTTTCAGGCCTATGCTTAAAATAGGAAATATCTACCTACAGAAACTAGACAGAAGCATTCTGAGAATCACGTTTGTGATGTGGGTACTCAACTAACAGTGTTGATCCATTCTTTTGATACAGCAGTTTTGAACCACACTTTTTGTAGAATCTGCAAGAGGATATTTGGATAGCTGTGAGGATTTCGTTGGAAACGGGGATGTCTTCAAAGAAAATCTAGACAGAAGCATTCTCAGAAACACCTTCGTGATGTTTGCAATCAAGTCACAGAGTTGAACCTTCCGTTTCATAGAGCAGGTTGGAAACACTCTTATTGTAGTATCTGGAAGTGGACATTTGGAGCGCTTTCAGGCCTATGGTGAAAAAGGAAATATCTTCCCATAAAAACGACATAGAAGCTATCTCAGGAACTTGTTTATGATGCATCTAATCAACTAACAGTGTTGAACCTTTGTACTGACAGAGCAGTTTGAAACACTCTTTTTTTGGAATCTGCAAGTGGATATTTGGATCGCTTTGAGGATTTCGTTGGAAACGGGATGCAATATAAAACGTACACAGCAGCATACTCAGAAAATACTTTGCCATATTTCCATTCAAGTCACAGAGTGGAACATTCCCATTCATAGAGCAGGTTGGAAACACTCTTTTTGGAGTATCTGGAAGTGGACATTTGGAGCGCTTTCTGAACTATGGTGAAAAAGGAAATATCTTCCAATGAAAACAAGACAGAAGCATTCTGAGAAACTTATTTGTGATGTGTGTCCTCAACAAACGGACTTGAACCTTTCGTTTCATGCAGTACTTCTGGAACACTCTTTTTGAAGATTCTGCATGCGGATATTTGGATAGCTTTGAGGATTTCGTTGGAAACGGGCTTACATGTAAAAATTAGACAGCAAGCATTCTCAGAAACTTCTTTGTGGTGTCTGCATTCAAGTCACAGAATTGAACATCTCCTCCCATAGAGCAGTTGTGCAGCACTCTATTTGTAGTATCTCGAAGTGGACATTTGGAGGGCTTTGTAGCCTATCTGGAAAAAGGAAATATCTTCCCATGAATGCGAGATAGAAGTAATCTCAGAAACATGTTTATGCTGTATCTACTCAACTAACTGTGCTGAACATTTCTATTGATAGAGCAGTTTTGAGACACTCTTCTTTTGGAATCTGCAAGTGGATATTTGGATAGATTTGAGGATTTCGTTGGAAACGGGATTATATATAAAAAGTAGACAGCAGCATTCTCAGAAACTTCTTTGTGATGTTTGCATCCAGCTCTCAGAGTTGAACATTCCCTTTCATAGAGTAGGTTTGAAACCCTCTTTTTATAGTGTCTGGAAGCGGGCATTTGGAGCGCTTTCAGGCCTATGCTGAAAAAGGAAATATCTACGTATAGAAACTAGACAGAAGCATTCTGAGAATCACCGTTTGTGATGTGGGTACTCAACTAACAGTGTTGATCCATTCTTTTGATACAGCAGTTTTGAACCACACTTTTTGTAGAATCTGCAAGTGGATATTTGGATAGCTGTGAGGATTTCGTTGGAAACGGGAATGTCTTCATAGAAAATTTAGACAGAAGCATTCTCAGAACCTTGATTGTGATGTGTGTTCTCCACTAACAGAGTTGAACCTTTCTTTTGACAGAACTGTTCTGAAACATTCTTTTTATAGAATCTGGAAGTGGATATTTGGAAAGCTTTGAGGATTTCGTTGGAAACGGGAATATCTTCAAATCAAATCTAGCCAGAAGCATTCTAAGAAACATCTTAGGGATGTTTACATTCAAGTCACAGAGTTGAACATTCCCTTTCACAGAGCAGGTTTGAAACAATCTTCTCGTACTATCTGGAAGTGGACATTTTGAGCTCCTTGGGGCCTATGCTGAAAAAGGAAATATCTTCCGACAAAAACTAGACAGAAGCATTCGCAGAATCACGTTTGTGATGTGTGCACTCAACTGTCAGAATTGAACCTTGGTTTGGACAGAGCACTTTTGAAACACTCTTTGTAGAATCTGCAGGTGGATATTTGGCTAGCTTTGAGGATTTCGTTGGAAACGGTAATGTCTTCAAAGAAAATCTAGACAGAAACATTCTCAGAAACACCTTCGTGATGTTTGCAATCAAGTCACAGAGTTGAACCTTCCGTTTCATAGAGCAGGTTGGAAACACTCTTTTTGTAGTATCTGGAAGTGGACATTTGGAGCCCTTTCAGGCCTATGGTGAAAAAGGAAATATCTTCCCATAAAAACGACATAGAAGCTATCTCAGGAACTTGTTTATGATGCATCCAATCAACTAACAGTGTTGAACCTTTGTACTGACAGAGCAGTGTGAAACACTCTTTTTTTTGGAATCTGCAAGTGGATATTTGGAGCGCTTTGAGGATTTCGTTGGAAACGGGATGCAATATAAAACGTACACAGCAGCATACTCAGAAAATACGTTGCCATATTTCCATTCAAGTCACAGAGTGGAACATTCCCATTCATAGAGCAGGTTGGAAACACTCTTTTTGTAGTATGTGGAAGTGGACATTTGGAGGGCTTTCTGAACTATGGTGAAAAAGGAAATATCTTCCAATGAAAACAAGACAGAAGCATTCTGAGAAACTTATTTGTGATGTGTGTCCTCAACTAACGGACTTGAACCTTTCGTTTCATGCAGTACTTCTGGAACACTCTTTTTGAAGATTCTGCATGCGGATATTTGGATAGCTTTGAGGATTTCGTTGGAAACGGGCTTACATATAAAAACTAGACAGCAGCATTCTCAGAAACTTCTTTGTGGTGTCTGCATTCAAGTCACAGAATTGAACTTCCCCTCACATAGAGCAGTTGTGCAGCACTCTATTTGTAGTATCTGGAAGTGGACATTTGGAGGGCTTTGTAGCCTATCTGGAAAAAGGAAATATCTTCCCATGAATGCGAGATAGAAGTAATCTCAGAAACATGTTTATGCTGTATCTACTCAACTAACTGTGCTGAACATTTCTATTGATAGAGCAGTTTTCAGACACTCTTCTTTTGGAATCTGCAAGTGGATATTTGGATAGATTTGAGGATTTCGTTGGAAACGGGATTATATATAAAAAGTAGACAGCAGCATTCTCAGAAACTTCTTTGTGATGTTTGCATCCAGCTCTCAGAGTTGAACATTCCCTTTCATAGAGTAGGTTTGAAACCCTCTTTTTATAGTGTCTGGAAGCGGGCATTTGGAGCGCTTTCAGGCCTATGCTTAAAATAGGAAATATCTACCTACAGAAACTAGACAGAAGCATTCTGAGAATCACGTTTGTGATGTGGGTACTCAACTAACAGTGTTGATCCATTCTTTTGATACAGCAGTTTTGAACCACACTTTTTGTAGAATCTGCAAGTGGATATTTGGATAGCTGTGAGGATTTCGTTGGAAACGGGAATGTCTTCTTAGAAAACTTAGACAGAAGCATTCTCAGAACCTTGATTGTGATGTGTGTTCTCCACTAACAGAGTTGAACCTTTCTTTTGACAGAACTGTTCTGAAACATTCTTTTTATAGAATCTGGAAGTGGATATTTGGAAAGCTTTGAGGATTTCGTTGGAAACGGGAATATCTTCAAATCAAATCTAGCCAGAAGCATTCTAAGAAACATCTTAGGGATGTTTACATTCAAGTCACAGAGTTGAACATTCCCTTTCACAGAGCAGATTTGAAACAATCTTCTCGTACTATCTGGCAGTGGACATTGTGAGCTCCTTGGGGCCTATGCTGAAAAAGGAAATATCTTCCGACAAAAACTAGACAGAAGCATTCGCAGAATCACGTTTGTGATGTGTGCACTCAACTGTCAGAATTGAACCTTGGTTTGGACAGAGCACTTTTGAAACACTCTTTTTGTAGAATCTGCAGGTGGATATTTGGCTAGCTTTGAGGATTTCGTTGGAAACGGTAATGTCTTCAAAGAAAATCTAGACAGAAGCATTCTCAGAAACACCTTCGTGATGTTTGCAATCAAGTCACAGATTTGAACCTTCCGTTTCATACAGCAGGTTGGAAACACTCTTTTTGTAGTATCTGGAAGTGGACATTTGGAGCGCTTTAAGGCCTATGGTGAAAAAGGAAATATCTTCCCATAAAAACGACATAGAAGCTATCTCAGGAACTTGTTTATGATGCATCTAATCAACTAACAGTGTTGAACCTTTGTACTGACAGAGCAGTTTGAAACACTCTTTTTTTGGAATCTGCAAGTGGATATTTGGATCGCTTTGAGGATTTCGTTGGAAACGGGATGCAATATAAAACGTACACAGCAGCATACTCAGAAAATACTTTGCCATATTTCCATTCAAGTCACAGAGTGGAACATTCCCATTCATAGAGCAGGTTTGAAACACTCTTTTTGGAGTATCTGGAAGTGGACATTTGGAGCGCTTTCTGAACTATGGTGAAAAAGGAAATATCTTCCAATGAAAACAAGACAGAAGCATTCTGAGAAACTTATTTGTGATGTGTGTCCTCAACAAACGGACTTGAACCTTTCGTTTCATGCAGTACTTCTGGAACACTCTTTTTGAAGATTCTGCATGCGGATATTTGGATAGCTTTGAGGATTTCGTTGGAAACGGGCTTACATGTAAAAATTAGACAGCAGCATTCTCAGAAACTTCTTTGTGGTGTCTGCATTCAAGTCACAGAATTGAACTTCCCCTCACATAGAGCAGTTGTGCAGCACTCTATTTGTAGTATCTCGAAGTGGACATTTGGAGGGCTTTGTAGCCTATCTGGAAAAAGGAAATATCTTCCCATGAATGCGAGATAGAAGTAATCTCAGAAACATGTTTATGCTGTATCTACTCAACTAACTGTGCTGAACATTTCTATTGATAGAGCAGTTTTGAGACACTCTTCTTTTGGAATCTGCAAGTGGATATTTGGATAGATTTGAGGATTTCGTTGGAAACGGGATTATATATAAAAAGTAGACAGCAGCATTCTCAGAAACTTCTTTGTGATGTTTGCATCCAGCTCTCAGAGTTGAACATTCCCTTTCATAGAGTAGGTTTGAAACCCTCTTTTTATAGTGTCTGGAAGCGGGCATTTGGAGCGCTTTCAGGCCTATGCTTAAAATAGGAAATATCTACCTACAGAAACTAGACAGAAGCATTCTGAGAATCACGTTTGTGATGTGGGTACTCAACTAACAGTGTTGATCCATTCTTTTGATACAGCAGTTTTGAACCACACTTTTTGTAGAATCTGCAAGAGGATATTTGGATAGCTGTGAGGATTTCGTTGGAAACGGGAATGTCTTCAAAGAAAATCTAGACAGAAGCATTCTCAGAAACACCTTCGTGATGTTTGCAATCAAGTCACAGAGTTGAACCTTCCGTTTCATAGAGCAGGTTGGAAACACTCTTATTGTAGTATCTGGAAGTGGACATTTGGAGCGCTTTCAGGCCTATGGTGAAAAAGGAAATATCTTCCCATAAAAACGACATAGAAGCTATCTCAGGAACTTGTTTATGATGCATCTAATCAACTAACAGTGTTGAACCTTTGTACTGACAGAGCAGTTTGAAACACTCTTTTTTTGGAATCTGCAAGTGGATATTTGGATCGCTTTGAGGATTTCGTTGGAAACGGGATGCAATATAAAACGTACACAGCAGCATACTCAGAAAATACTTTGCCATATTTCCATTCAAGTCACAGAGTGGAACATTCCCATTCATAGAGCAGGTTGGAAACACTCTTTTTGGAGTATCTGGAAGTGGACATTTGGAGCGCTTTCTGAACTATGGTGAAAAAGGAAATATCTTCCAATGAAAACAAGACAGAAGCATTCTGAGAAACTTATTTGTGATGTGTGTCCTCAACAAACGGACTTGAACCTTTCGTTTCATGCAGTACTTCTGGAACACTCTTTTTGAAGATTCTGCATGCGGATATTTGGATAGCTTTGAGGATTTCGTTGGAAACGGGCTTACATGTAAAAATTAGACAGCAGCATTCTCAGAAACTTCTTTGTGGTGTCTGCATTCAAGTCACAGAATTGAACTTCCCCTCACATAGAGCAGTTGTGCAGCACTCTATTTGTAGTATCTGGAAGTGGACATTTGGAGGGCTTTGTAGCCTATCTGGAAAAAGGAAATATCTTCCCATGAATGCGAGATAGAAGTAATCTCAGAAACATGTTTATGCTGTATCTACTCAACTAACTGTGCTGAACATTTCTATTGATAGAGCAGTTTTGAGACACTCTTCTTTTGGAATCTGCAAGTGGATATTTGGATAGATTTGAGGATTTCGTTGGAAACGGGATTATATATAAAAAGTAGACAGCAGCATTCTCAGAAACTTCTTTGTGATGTTTGCATCCAGCTCTCAGAGTTGAACATTCCCTTTCATAGAGTAGGTTTGAAACCCTCTTTTTATAGTGTCTGGAAGCGGGCATTTGGAGCGCTTTCAGGCCTATGCTTAAAATAGGAAATATCTACCTACAGAAACTAGACAGAAGCATTCTGAGAATCACGTTTGTGATGTGGGTACTCAACTAACAGTGTTGATCCATTCTTTTGATACAGCAGTTTTGAACCACACTTTTTGTAGAATCTGCAAGAGGATATTTGGATAGCTGTGAGGATTTCGTTGGAAACGGGAATGTCTTCAAAGAAAATCTAGACAGAAGCATTCTCAGAAACACCTTCGTGATGTTTGCAATCAAGTCACAGAGTTGAACCTTCCGTTTCATAGAGCAGGTTGGAAACACTCTTATTGTAGTATCTGGAAGTGGACATTTGGAGCGCTTTCAGGCCTATGGTGAAAAAGGAAATATCTTCCCATAAAAACGACATAGAAGCTATCTCAGGAACTTGTTTATGATGCATCTAATCAACTAACAGTGTTGAACCTTTGTACTGACAGAGCAGTTTGAAACACTCCTTTTTTGGAATCTGCAAGTGGATATTTGGATCGCTTTGAGGATTTCGTTGGAAACGGGATGCAATATAAAACGTACACAGCAGCATACTCAGAAAATACTTTGCCATATTTCCATTCAAGTCACAGAGTGGAACATTCCCATTCATAGAGCAGGTTGGAAACACTCTTTTTGGAGTATCTGGAAGTGGACATTTGGAGCGCTTTCTGAACTATGGTGAAAAAGGAAATATCTTCCAATGAAAACAAGACAGAAGCATTCTGAGAAACTTATTTGTGATGTGTGTCCTCAACAAACGGACTTGAACCTTTCGTTTCATGCAGTACTTCTGGAACACTCTTTTTGAAGATTCTGCATGCGGATATTTGGATTGCTTGAGGATTTCGTTGGAAACGGGCTTACATGTAAAAATTAGACAGCAGCATTCTCAGGAAACTTCTTTGTGGTGTCTGCATTCAAGTCACAGAGTTGAACTTCCCCTCACATAGAGCAGTTGTGCAGCACTCTATTTGTAGTATCTGGAAGGGGACATTTGGAGGGCTTTGTAGCCTATCTGGAAAAAGGAAATATCTTCCCATGAATGCGAGATAGAAGTAATCTCAGAAACATGTTTATGCTGTATCTACTCAACTAACTGTGCTGAACATTTCTATTGATAGAGCAGTTTTGAGACACTCTTCTTTTGGAATCTGCAAGTGGATATTTGGAGAGATTTGAGGATTTCGTTGGAAACGGGATTATATATAAAAAGTAGACAGCAGCATTCTCAGAAACTTCTTTGTGATGTTTGCATCCAGCTCTCAGAGTTGAACATTCCCTTTCATAGAGTAGGTTTGAAACCCTCTTTTTATAGTGTCTGGAAGCGGGCATTTGGAGCGCTTTCAGGCCTATGCTTAAAATAGGAAATATCTACCTACAGAAACTAGACAGAAGCATTCTGAGAATCTCGTTTGTGATGTGGGTACTCAACTAACAGTGTTGATCCATTCTTTTGATACAGCAGTTTTGAACCACACTTTTTGTAGAATCTGCAAGAGGATATTTGGATAGCTGTGAGGATTTCGTTGGAAACGGGAATGTCTTCAAAGAAAATCTAGACAGAAACATTCTCAGAAACACCTTCGTGATGTTTGCAATCAAGTCACAGAGTTGAACCTTCCGTTTCATAGAGCAGGTTGGAAACACTCTTATTGTAGTATCTGGAAGTGGACATTTGGAGCGCTTTCAGGCCTATGGTGAAAAAGGAAATATCTTCCCATAAAAACGACATAGAAGCTATCTCAGGAACTTGTTTATGAGGCATCTAATCAACTAACAGTGTTGAACCTTTGTACTGACAGAGCAGTTTGAAACACTCTTTTTTTGGAATCTGCAAGTGGATATTTGGATCGCTTTGAGGATTTCGTTGGAAACGGGATGCAATATAAAACGTACACAGCAGCATACTCAGAAAATACTTTGCCATATTTCCATTCAAGTCACAGAGTGGAACATTCCCATTCATAGAGCAGGTTGGAAACACTCTTTTTGGAGTATCTGGAAGTGGACATTTGGAGCGCTTTCTGAACTATGGTGAAAAAGGAAATATCTTCCAATGAAAACAAGACAGAAGCATTCTGAGAAACTTATTTGTGATGTGTGTCCTCAACAAACGGACTTGAACCTTTCGTTTCATGCAGTACTTCTGGAACACTCTTTTTGAAGATTCTGCATGCGGATATTTGGATAGCTTTGAGGATTTCGTTGGAAACGGGCTTACATGTAAAAATTAGACAGCAGCATTCTCAGAAACTTCTTTGTGGTGTCTGCATTCAAGTCACAGAATTGAACTTCCCCTCACATAGAGCAGTTGTGCAGCACTCTATTTGTAGTATCTGGAAGTGGACATTTGGAGGGCTTTGTAGCCTATCTGGAAAAAGGAAATATCTTCCCATGAATGCGAGATAGAAGTAATCTCAGAAACATGTTTATGCTGTATCTACTCAACTAACTGTGCTGAACATTTCTATTGATAGAGCAGTTTTGAGACACTCTTCTTTTGGAATCTGCAAGTGGATATTTGGATAGATTTGAGGATTTCGTTGGAAACGGGATTATATATAAAAAGTAGACAGCAGCATTCTCAGAAACTTCTTTGTGATGTTTGCATCCAGCTCTCAGAGTTGAACATTCCCTTTCATAGAGTAGGTTTGAAACCCTCTTTTTATAGTGTCTGGAAGCGGGCATTTGGAGCGCTTTCAGGCCTATGCTGAAAAAGGAAATATCTACCTATAGAAACTAGACAGAAGCATTCTGAGAATCACGTTTGTGATGTGGGTACTCAACTAACAGTGTTGATCCATTCTTTTGATACAGCAGTTTTGAACCACACTTTTTGTAGAATCTGCAAGTGGATATTTGGATAGCTGTGAGGATTTCGTTGGAAACGGGAATGTCTTCATAGAAAATTTAGACAGAAGCATTCTCAGAACCTTGATTGTGATGTGTGTTCTCCACTAACAGAGTTGAACCTTTCTTTTGACAGAACTGTTCTGAAACATTCTTTTTATAGAATCTGGAAGTGGATATTTGGAAAGCTTTGAGGATTTCGTTGGAAACGGGAATATCTTCAAATAAAATCTAGCCAGAAGCATTCCAAGAAACATCTTAGGGATGTTTACATTCAAGTCACAGAGTTGAACATTCCCTTTCACAGAGCAGGTTTGAAACAATCTTCTCGTACTATCTGGCAGTGGACATTTTGAGCTCCTTGGGGCCTATGCTGAAAAAGGAAATATCTTCCGACAAAAACTAGACAGAAGCATTCGCAGAATCACGTTTGTGATGTGTGCACTCAACTGTCAGAATTGAACCTTGGTTTGGACAGAGCACTTTTGAAACACTCTTTTTGTAGAATCTGCAGGTGGATATTTAGCTAGCTTTGAGGATTTCGTTGGAAACGGTAATGTCTTCAAAGAAAATCTAGACAGAAGCATTCTCAGAAACACCTTCGTGATGTTTGCAATCAAGTCACAGAGTTGAACCTTCCGTTTCATAGAGCAGGTTGGAAACACTCTTTTTGTAGTATCTGGAAGTGGACATTTGGAGGGCTTTGTAGCCTATCTGGAAAAAGGAAATATCTTCCCATGAATGCGAGATAGAAGTAATCTCAGAAACATGTTTATGCTGTATCTACTCAACTAACTGTGCTGAACATTTCTATTGATAGAGCAGTTTTGAGACACTCTTCTTTTGGAATCTGCAAGTGGATATTTGGATAGATTTGAGGATTTCGTTGGAAACGGGATTATATATAAAAAGTAGACAGCAGCATTCTCAGAAACTTCTTTGTGATGTTTGCATCCAGCTCTCAGAGTTGAACATTCCCTTTCATAGAGTAGGTTTGAAACCCTCTTTTTATAGTGTCTGGAAGCGGGCATTTGGAGCGCTTTCAGGCCTATGCTGAAAAAGGAAATATCTACCTATAGAAACTAGACAGAAGCATTCTGAGAATCACGTTTGTGATGTGGGTACTCAACTAACAGTGTTGATCCATTCTTTTGATACAGCAGTTTTGAACCACACTTTTTGTAGAATCTGCAAGTGGATATTTGGATAGCTGTGAGGATTTCCTTGGAAACGGGAATGTCTTCATAGAAAATTTAGACAGAAGCATTCTCAGAACCTTGATTGTGATGTGTGTTCTCCACTAACAGGGTTGAACCTTTCTTTTGACAGAACTGTTCTGAAACATTCTTTGTATAGAATCTGGAAGTGGATATTTGGAAAGCTTTGAGGATTTCGTTGGAAACGGGAATATCTTCAAATCAAATCTAGCCAGAAGCATTCTAAGAAACATCTTAGGGATGTTTACATTCAAGTCACAGAGTTGAACATTCCCTTTCACAGAGCAGGTTTGAAACAATCTTCTCGTAGTATCTGGAAGTGGACATTTTGAGCTCCTTGGGGCCTATGCTGAAAAAGGAAATATCTTCCGACAAAAACTAGACAGAAGCATTCGCAGAATCACGTTTGTGATGTGTGCACTCAACTGTCAGAATTGAACCTTTGTTTGGACAGAGCACTTTTGAAACACTCTTTTTGTAGAATCTGCAGGTGGATATTTGACTAGCTTTGAGGATTTCGTTGGAAACGGTAATGTCTTCAAAGAAAATCTAGACAGAAGCATTCTCAGAAACACCTTCGTGATGTTTGCAATCAAGTCACAGAGTTGAACCTTCCGTTTCATAGAGCAGGTTGGAAACACTCTTTTTGTAGTATCTGGAAGTGGACATTTGGAGGGCTTTGTAGCCTATCTGGAAAAAGGAAATATCTTCCCATGAATGCGAGATAGAAGTAATCTCAGAAACATGTTTATGCTGTATCTACTCAACTAACTGTGCTGAACATTTCTATTGATAGAGCAGTTTTGAGACACTCTTCTTTTGGAATCTGCAAGTGGATATTTGGATAGATTTGAGGATTTCGTTGGAAACGGGATTATATATAAAAAGTAGACAGCAGCATTCTCAGAAACTTCTTTGTGATGTTTGCATCCAGCTCTCAGAGTTGAACATTCCCTTTCATAGAGTAGGTTTGAAACCCTCTTTTTATAGTGTCTGGAAGCGGGCATTTGGAGCGCTTTCAGGCCTATGCTGAAAAAGGAAATATCTACCTATAGAAACTAGACAGAAGCATTCTGAGAATCACGTTTGTGATGTGGGTACTCAACTAACAGTGTTGATCCATTCTTTTGATACAGCAGTTTTGAACCACACTTTTTGTAGAATCTGCAAGTGGATATTTGGATAGCTGTGAGGATTTCGTTGGAAACGGGAATGTCTTCATAGAAAATTTAGACAGAAGCATTCTCAGAACCTTGATTGTGATGTGTGTTCTCCACTAACAGAGTTGAACCTTTCTTTTGACAGAACTGTTCTGAAACATTCTTTTTATAGAATCTGGAAGTGGATATTTGGAAAGCTTTGAGGATTTCGTTGGAAACGGGAATATCTTCAAATCAAATCTAGCCAGAAGCATTCTAAGAAACATCTTAGGGATGTTTACATTCAAGTCACAGAGTTGAACATTCCCTTTCACAGAGCAGGTTTGAAACAATCTTCTCGTACTATCTGGCAGTGGACATTTTGAGCTCCTTGGGGCCTATGCTGAAAAAGGAAATATCTTCCGACAAAAACTAGACAGAAGCATTCGCAGAATCACGTTTGTGATGTGTGCACTCAACTGTCAGAATTGAACCTTGGTTTGGACAGAGCACTTTTGAAACACTCTTTTTGTAGAATCTGCAGGTGGATATTTGGCTAGCTTTGAGGATTTCGTTGGAAACGGTAATGTCTTCAAAGAAAATCTAGACAGAAGCATTCTCAGAAACACCTTCGTGATGTTTGCAATCAAGTCACAGAGTTGAACCTTCCGTTTCATAGAGCAGGTTGGAAACACTCTTTTTGTAGTATCTGGAAGTGGACATTTGGAGGGCTTTGTAGCCTATCTGGAAAAAGGAAATATCTTCCCATGAATGCGAGATAGAAGTAATCTCAGAAACATGTTTATGCTGTATCTACTCAACTAACTGTGCTGAACATTTCTATTGATAGAGCAGTTTTGAGACACTCTTCTTTTGGAATCTGCAAGTGGATATTTGGATAGATTTGAGGATTTCGTTGGAAACGGGATTATATATAAAAAGTAGACAGCAGCATTCTCAGAAACTTCTTTGTGATGTTTGCATCTAGCTCCCAGAGTTGAACATTCCCTTTCATAGAGTAGTTTTGAAACCCTCTTTTTATAGTGTCTGGAAGCGGGCATTTGGAGCGCTTTCAGGCCTATGCTGAAAAAGGAAATATCTACCTATAGAAACTAGACAGAAGCATTCTGAGAATCACGTTTGTGATGTGGGTACTCAACTAACAGTGTTGATCCATTCTTTTGATACAGCAGTTTTGAACCACACTTTTTGTAGAATCTGCAAGTGGATATTTGGATAGCTGTGAGGATTTCGTTGGAAACGGGAATGTCTTCATAGAAAATTTAGACAGAAGCATTCTCAGAACCTTGATTGTGATGTGTGTTCTCCACTAACAGAGTTGAACCTTTCTTTTGACAGAACTGTTCTGAAACATTCTTTTTATAGAATCTGGAAGTGGATATTTGGAAAGCTTTGAGGATTTCGTTGGAAACGGGAATATCTTCAAATCAAATCTAGCCAGAAGCATTCTAAGAAACATCTTAGGGATGTTTACATTCAAGTCACAGAGTTGAACATTCCCTTTCACAGAGCAGGTTTGAAACAATCTTCTCGTACTATCTGGCAGTGGACATTTTGAGCTCCTTGGGGCCTATGCTGAAAAAGGAAATATCTTCCGACAAAAACTAGACAGAAGCATTCGCAGAATCACGTTTGTGATGTGTGCACTCAACTGTCAGAATTGAACCTTGGTTTGGACAGAGCACTTTTGAAACACTCTTTTTGTAGAATCTGCAGGTGGATATTTGGCTAGCTTTGAGGATTTCGTTGGAAACGGTAATGTCTTCAAAGAAAATCTAGACAGAAGCATTCTCAGAAACACCTTCGTGATGTTTGCAATCAAGTCACAGAGTTGAACCTTCCGTTTCATAGAGCAGGTTGGAAACACTCTTTCTGTAGTATCTGGAAGTGGACATTTGGAGGGCTTTGTAGCCTATCTGGAAAAAGGAAATATCTTCCCATGAATGCGAGATAGAAGCTATCTCAGGAACTTGTTTATGATGCATCCAATCAACTAACAGTGTTGAACCTTTGTACTGACAGAGCAATGTGAAACACTCTTTTTTTTGGAATCTGCAAGTGGATATTTGGATCGCTTTGAGGATTTCGTTGGAAACGGGATGCAATATAAAACGTACACAGCAGCATACTCAGAAAATACTTTGCCATATTTCCATTCAAGTCACAGAGTGGAACATTCCCATTCATAGAGCAGGTTTGACACACTCTTTTTGTAGTATCTGGAAGTGGACATTTGGAGCGCTTTCTGAACTATGGTGAAAAAGGAAATATCTTCCAATGAAAACAAGACAGAAGCATTCTGAGAAACTTATTTGTGATGTGTGTCCTCAACTAACGGACTTGAACCTTTCGTTTCATGCAGTACTTCTGGAACACTCTTTTTGAAGATTCTGCATGCGGATATTTGGATAGCTTTGAGGATTTCGTTGGAAACAGGCTTACATATAAATATTAGACAGCAGCATTCTCAGAAACTTCTCTGTGGTGTCTGCATCCAAGTCACAGAATTGAACATCCCCTCACATAGAGCAGTTGTGCAGCACTCTATTTGTAGTATCTCGAAGTGGACATTTGGAGGGCTTTGTAGCCTATCTGGAAAAAGGAAATATCTTCCCATGAATGCGAGATAGAAGTAATCTCAGAAAGATGTTTATGCTGTATCTACTCAACTAACTGTGCTGAACATTTCTATTGATAGAGCAGTTTTGAGACACTCTTCTTTTGGAATCTGCAAGTGGATATTTGGATAGATTTGAGGATTTCGTTGGAAACGGGATTATATATAAAAAGTAGACAGCAGCATTCTCAGAAACTTCTTTGTGATGTTTGCATCCAGCTCTCAGAGTTGAACATTCCCTTTCATAGAGTAGGTTTGAAACCCTCTTTTTATAGTGTCTGGAAGCGGGCATTTGGAGCGCTTTGAGGCCTATGCTGAAAAAGGAAATATCTACCTATAGAAACTAGACAGAAGCATTCTGAGAATCACCTTTGTGATGTGGGTACTCAACTAACAGTGTTGATCCATTCTTTTGATACAGCAGTTTTGAACCACACTTTTTGTAGAATCTGCAAGTGGATATTTGGATAGCTGTGAGGATTTCGTTGGAAACGGGAATGTCTTCATAGAAAATTTAGACGGAAGCATTCTCAGAAACACCTTCGTGATGTTTGCAATCAAGTCACAGAGTTGAACCTTCCGTTTCATAGAGCAGGTTGGAAACACTCTTATTGTAGTATCTGGAAGTGGACATTTGGAGCGCTTTCAGGCCTATGGTGAAAAAGGAAATATCTTCCCATAAAAACGACATAGAAGCTATCTCAGGAACTTGTTTATGATGCATCTAATCAACTAACAGTGTTGAACCTTTGTACTGACAGAGCACTTTGAAACACTCTTTTTTTGGAATCTGCAAGTGGATATTTGGATCGCTTTGAGGATTTCGTTGGAAACGGGATGCAATATAAAACGTACACAGCAGCATACTCAGAAAATACTTTGCCATATTTCCATTCAAGTCACAGAGTGGAACATTCCCATTCATAGAGCAGGTTGGAAACACTCTTTTTGGAGTATCTGGAAGTGGACATTTGGAGCGCTTTCTGAACTATGGTGAAAAAGGAAATATCTTCCAATGAAAACAAGACAGAAGCATTCTGAGAAACTTATTTGTGATGTGTGTCCTCAACAAACGGACTTGAACCTTTCGTTTCATGCAGTACTTCTGGAACACTCTTTTTGAAGATTCTGCATGCGGATATTTGGATTGCTTGAGGATTTCGTTGGAAACGGGCTTACATGTAAAAATTAGACAGCAGCATTCTCAGAAACTTCTTTGTGGTGTCTGCTTTCAAGTCACAGAATTGAACATCCCCTCACATAGAGCAGTTGTGCAGCACTCTATTTGTAGTATCTCGAAGTGGACATTTGGAGGGCTTTGTAGCCTATCTGGAAAAAGGAAATATCTTCCCATGAAATGCGAGATAGAAGTAATCTCAGAAACATGTTTATGCTGTATCTACTCAACTAACTGTGCTGAACATTTCTATTGATAGAGCAGTTTTGAGACACTCTTCTTTTGGAATCTGCAAGTGGATATTTGGATAGATTTGAGGATTTCGTTGGAAACGGGATTATATATAAAAAGTAGACAGCAGCATTCTCAGAAACTTCTTTGTGATGTTTGCATCCAGCTCTCAGAGTTGAACATTCCCTTTCATAGAGTAGGTTTGAAACCCTCTTTTTATAGTGTCTGGAAGCGGGCATTTGGAGCGCTTTCAGGCCTATGCTGAAAAAGGAAATATCTACATATAGAAACTAGACAGAAGCATTCTGAGAATCAAGTTTGTGATGTGGGTACTCAACTAACAGTGTTGATCCATTCTTTTGATACAGCAGTTTTGAACCACACTTTTTGTAGAATCTGCAAGTGGATATTTGGATAGCTGTGAGGATTTCGTTGGAAACGGGAATGTCTTCATAGAAAATTTAGACAGAAGCATTCTCAGAACCTTGATTGTGATGTGTGTTCTCCACTAACAGAGTTGAACCTTTCTTTTGACAGAACTGTTCTGAAACATTCTTTTTATAGAATCTGGAAGTGGATATTTGGAAAGCTTTGAGGATTTCGTTGGAAACGGGAATATCTTCAAATAAAATCTAGCCAGAAGCATTCTAAGAAACATCTTAGGGATGTTTACATTCAAGTCACAGAGTTGAACATTCCCTTTCACAGAGCAGGTTTGAAACAATCTTCTCGTACTATCTGGCAGTGGACATTTTGAGCTCTTTGGGGCCTATGCTGAAAAAGGAAATATCTTCCGACAAAAACTAGTCAGAAGCATTCGCAGAATCACGTTTGTGATGTGTGCACTCAACTGTCAGAATTGAACCTTGGTTTGGAGAGAGCACTTTTGAAACACTCTTTTTGTAGAATCTGCAGGTGGATATTTGGCTAGCTTTGAGGATTTCGTTGGAAACGGTAATGTCTTCAAAGAAAATCTAGACAGAAGCATTCTCAGAAACACCTTCGTGATGTTTGCAATCAAGTCACAGAGTTGAACCTTCCGTTTCATAGAGCAGGTTGGAAACACTCTTTTTGTAGTATCTGGAAGTGGACATTTGGAGGGCTTTGTAGCCTATGTGGAAAAAGGAAATATCTTCCCATGAATGCGAGATAGAAGTAATCTCAGAAACATGTTTATGCTGTATCTACTCAACTAACTGTGCTGAACATTTCTATTGATAGAGCAGTTTTGAGACACTCTTCTTTTGGAATCTGCAAGTGGATATTTGGATAGATTTGAGGATTTCGTTGGAAACGGGATTATATATAAAAAGTAGACAGCAGCATTCTCAGAAACTTCTTTGTGATGTTTGCATCCAGCTCTCAGAGTTGAACATTCCCTTTCATAGAGTAGGTTTGAAACCCTCTTTTTATAGTGTCTGGAAGCGGGCATTTGGAGCGCTTTCAGGCCTATGCTGAAAAAGGAAATATCTACCTATAGAAACTAGACAGAAGCATTCTGAGAATCACGTTTGTGATGTGGGTACTCAACTAACAGTGTTGATCCATTCTTTTGATACAGCAGTTTTGAACCACACTTTTTGTAGAATCTGCAAGTGGATATTTGGATAGCTGTGAGGATTTCGTTGGAAACGGGAATGTCTTCATAGAAAATTTAGACAGAAGCATTCTCAGAACCTTGATTGTGATGTGTGTTCTCCACTAACAGAGTTGAACCTTTCTTTTGACAGAACTGTTCTGAAACATTCTTTTTATAGAATCTGGAAGTGGATATTTGGAAAGCTTTGAGGATTTCGTTGGAAACGGGAATATCTTCAAATAAAATCTAGCCAGAAGCATTCTAAGAAACATCTTAGGGATGTTTACATTCAAGTCACAGAGTTGAACATTCCCTTTCACAGAGCAGGTTTGAAACAATCTTCTCGTACTATCTGGCAGTGGACATTTTGAGCTCCTTGGGGCCTATGCTGAAAAAGGAAATATCTTCCGACAAAAACTAGACAGAAGCATTCGCAGAATCACGTTTGTGATGTGTGCACTCAACTGTCAGAATTGAACCTTGGTTTGGACAGAGCACTTTTGAAACACTCTTTTTGTAGAATCTGCAGGTGGATATTTGGCTAGCTTTGAGGATTTCGTTGGAAACGGTAATGTCTTCAAAGAAAATCTAGACAGAAGCATTCTCAGAAACACCTTCGTGATGTTTGCAATCAAGTCACAGAGTTGAACCTTCCGTTTCATAGAGCAGGTTGGAAACACTCTTTTTGTAGCATCTGGAAGTGGACATTTGGAGCGCTTTCAGGCCTATGGTGAAAAAGGAAATATCTTCCCATAAAAACGACATAGAAGCTATCTCAGGAACTTGTTTATGATGCATCTAATCAACTAACAGTGTTGAACCTTTGTACTGACAGAGCAGTTTGAAACACTCTTTTTTTGGAATCTGCAAGTGGATATTTGGATCGCTTTGAGGATTTCGTTGGAAACGGGATGCAATATAAAACGTACACAGCAGCATACTCAGAAAATACTTTGCCATATTTCCATTCAAGTCACAGAGTGGAACATTCCCATTCATAGAGCAGGTTTGAAACACTCTTTTTGGAGTATCTGGAAGTGGACATTTGGAGCGCTTTCTGAACTATGGTGAAAAAGGAAATATCTTCCAATGAAAACAAGACAGAAGCATTCTGAGAAACTTATTTGTGATGTGTGTCCTCAACAAACGGACTTGAAACTTTCGTTTCATGCAGTACTTCTGGAACACTCTTTTTGAAGATTCTGCATGCGGATATTTGGATAGCTTTGAGGATTTCGTTGGAAACGGGCTTACATGTAAAAATTAGACAGCAGCATTCTCAGAAACTTCTTTGTGGTGTCTGCATTCAAGTCACAGAATTGAACTTCCCCTCACATAGAGCAGTTGTGCAGCACTCTATTTGTAGTATCTGGAAGTGGACATTTGGAGGGCTTTGTAGCCTATCTGGAAAAAGGAAATATCTTCCCATGAATGCGAGATAGAAGTAATCTCAGAAACATGTTTATGCTGTATCTACTCAACTAACTGTGCTGAACATTTCTATTGATAGAGCAGTTTTGAGACACTCTTCTTTTGGAATCTGCAAGTGGATATTTGGATAGATTTGAGGATTTCGTTGGAAACGGGATTATATATAAAAAGTAGACAGCAGCATTCTCAGAAACTTCTTTGTGATGTTTGCATATAGCTCTCAGAGTTGAACACTCCCTTTCATAGAGTAGGTTTGAAACCCTCTTTTTATAGTGTCTGGAAGCGGGCATTTTGAGCGCTTTCAGGCCTATGCTTAAAATAGGAAATATCTACCTATAGAAACTAGACAGAAGCATTCTGAGAATCACGTTTGTGATGTGGGTACTCAACTAACAGTGTTGATCCATTCTTTTGATACAGCAGTTTTGAACCACACTTTTTGTAGAATCTGCAAGAGGATATTTGGATAGCTGTGAGGATTTCGTTGGAAACGGGAATGTCTTCAAAGAAAATCTAGACAGAAGCATTCTCAGAAACACCTTCGTGATGTTTGCAATCAAGTCACAGAGTTGAACCTTCCGTTTCATAGAGCAGGTTGGAAACACTCTTATTGTAGTATCTGGAAGTGGACATTTGGAGCGCTTTCAGGCCTATGGTGAAAAAGGAAATATCTTCCCATAAAAACGACATAGAATCTATATCAGGAACTTGTTTATGATGCATCTAATCAACTAACAGTGTTGAACCTTTGTACTGACAGAGCAGTTTGAAACACTCTTTTTTTGGAATCTGCAAGTGGATATTTGGATCGCTTTGAGGATTTCGTTGGAAACGGGATGCAATATAAAACGTACACAGCAGCATACTCAGAAAATACTTTGCCATATTTCCATTCAAGTCACAGAGTGGAACATTCCCATTCATAGAGCAGGTTGGAAACACTCTTTTTGGAGTATCTGGAAGTGGACATTTGGAGCGCTTTCTGAACTATGGTGAAAAAGGAAATATCTTCCAATGAAAACAAGACAGAAGCATTCTGAGAAACTTATTTGTGATGTGTGTCCTCAACAAACGGGACTTGAACCTTTCGTTTCATGCAGTACTTCTGGAACACTCTTTTTGAAGATTCTGCATGCGGATATTTGGATAGCTTTGAGGATTTCGTTGGAAACGGGCTTACATGTAAAAATTAGACAGCAGCATTCTCAGAAACTTCTTTGTGGTGTCTGCATTCAAGTCACAGAATTGAACATCCCCTCACATAGAGCAGTTGTGCAGCACTCTATTTGTAGTATCTGGAAGTGGACATTTGGAGGGCTTTGTAGCCTATCTGGAAAAAGGAAATATCTTCCCATGAATGCGAGATAGAAGTAATCTCAGAAACATGTTTATGCTGTATCTACTCAACTAACTGTGCTGAACATTTCAATTGATAGAGCAGTTTTGAGACACTCTTCTTTTGGAATCTGCAAGTGGATATTTGGATAGATTTGAGGATTTCGTTGGCAACGGGATTATATATCCAAAGTAGACAGCAGCATTCTCAGAAACTTCTTTGTGATGTTTGCATCCAGCTCTCAGAGTTGAACATTCCCTTTCATAGAGTAGGTTTGAAACCCTCTTTTTATAGTGTCTGGAAGCGGGCATTTGGAGCGCTTTCAGGCCTATGCTGAAAAAGGAAATATCTACCTATAGAAACTAGACAGAAGCATTCTGAGAATCACGTTTGTGATGTGGGTACTCAACTAACAGTGTTGATCCATTCTTTTGATACAGCAGTTTTGAACCACACTTTTTGTAGAATCTGCAAGTGGATATTTGGATAGCTGTGAGGATTTCCTTGGAAACGGGAATGTCTTCATAGAAAATTTAGACAGAAGCATTCTCAGAACCTTGATTGTGATGTGTGTTCTCCACTAACAGAGTTGAACCTTTCTTTTGACAGAACTGTTCTGAAACATTCTTTTTATAGAATCTGGAAGTGGATATTTGGAAAGCTTTGAGGATTTCGTTGGAAACGGGAATATCTTCAAATAAAATCTAGCCAGAAGCTTTCTAAGAAACATCTTAGGGATGTTTACATTCAAGTCACAGAGTTGAACATTCCCTTTCACAGAGCAGGTTTGAAACAATCTTCTCGTACTATCTGGCAGTGGACATTTTGAGCTCCTTGGGGCCTATGCTGAAAAAGGAAATATCTTCCGACAAAAACTAGACAGAAGCATTCGCAGAATCACGTTTGTGATGTGTGCACTCAACTGTCAGAATTGAACCTTGGTTTGGACAGAGCACTTTTGAAACACTCTTTTTGTAGAATCTGCAGGTGGATATTTGGCTAGCTTTGAGGATTTCGTTGGAAACGGTAATGTCTTCAAAGAAAATCTAGACAGAAGCATTCTCAGAAACACCTTCGTGATGTTTGCAATCAAGTCACAGAGTTGAACCTTCCGTTTCATAGAGCAGGTTGGAAACACTCTTTTTGTAGTATCTGGAAGTGGACATTTGGAGGGCTTTGTAGCCTATGTGGAAAAAGGAAATATCTTCCCATGAATGCGAGATAGAAGTAATCTCAGAAACATGTTTATGCTGTATCTACTCAACTAACTGTGCTGAACATTTCTATTGATAGAGCAGTTTTGAGACACTCTTCTTTTGGAATCTGCAAGTGGATATTTGGATAGATTTGAGGATTTCGTTGGAAACGGGATTATATATAAAAAGTAGACAGCAGCATTCTCAGAAACTTCTTTGTGATGTTTGCATCCAGCTCTCAGAGTTGAACATTCCCTTTCATAGAGTAGGTTTGAAACCCTCTTTTTATAGTGTCTGGAAGCGGGCATTTGGAGCGCTTTCAGGCCTATGCTTAAAATAGGAAATATCTACCTACAGAAACTAGACAGAAGCATTCTGAGAATCACGTTTGTGATGTGGGTACTCAACTAACAGTGTTGATCCATTCTTTTGATACAGCAGTTTTGAACCACACTTTTTGTAGAATCTGCAAGAGGATATTTGGATAGCTGTGAGGATTTCGTTGGAAACGGGAATGTCTTCAAAGAAAATCTAGACAGAAGCATTCTCAGAAACACCTTCGTGATGTTTGCAATCAAGTCACAGAGTTGAACCTTCCGTTTCATAGAGCAGGTTGGAAACACTCTTTTTGTAGTATCTGGAAGTGGACATTTGGAGCGCTTTCAGGCCTATGGTGAAAAAGGAAATATCTTCCCATAAAAACGACATAGAAGCTATCTCAGGAACTTGTTTATGATGCATCTAATCAACTAACAGTGTTGAACCTTTGTACTGACAGAGCAGTTTGAAACACTCTTTTTTTGGAATCTGCAAGTGGATATTTGGATCACTTTGAGGATTTCGTTGGAAACGGGATGCAATATAAAACGTACACAGCAGCATACTCAGAAAATACTTTGCCATGTTTCCATTCAAGTCACAGAGTGGAACATTCCCATTCATAGAGCAGGTTGGAAACACTCTTTTTGGAGTATCTGGAAGTGGACATTTGGAGCGCTTTTTGAACTATGGTGAAAAAGGAAATATCTTCCAATGAAAACAAGACAGAAGCATTCTGAGAAACTTATTTGTGATGTGTGTCCTCAACAAACGGACTTGAACCTTTCGTTTCATGCAGTACTTCTGGAACACTCTTTTTGAAGATTCTGCATGCGGATATTTGGATAGCTTTGAGGATTTCGTTGGAAACGGGCTTACATGTAAAAATAGACAGCAGCATTCTCAGAAACTTCTTTGTGGTGTCTGCATTCAAGTCACAGAATTGAACTTCCCCTCACATAGAGCAGTTGTGCAGCACTCTATTTGTAGTATCTGGAAGTGGACATTTGGAGGGCTTTGTAGCCTATCTGGAAAAAGGAAATATCTTCCCATGAATGCGAGATAGAAGTAATCTCAGAAACATGTTTATGCTGTATCTACTCAACTAACTGTGCTGAACATTTCTATTGATAGAGCAGTTTTGAGACACTCTTCTTTTGGAATCTGCAAGTGGATATTTGGATAGATTTGAGGATTTCGTTGGAAACGGGATTATATATCAAAAGTAGACAGCAGCATTCTCAGAAACTTCTTTGTGATGTTTGCATCCAGCTCTCAGAGTTGAACATTCCCTTTCATAGAGTAGGTTTGAAACCCTCTTTTTATAGTGTCTGGAAGCGGGCATTTGGAGCGCTTTCAGGCCTATGCTTAAAATAGGAAATATCTACCTATAGAAACTAGACAGAAGCATTCTGAGAATCACGTTTGTGATGTGGGTACTCAACTAACAGTGTTGATCCATTCTTTTGATACAGCAGTTTTGAACCACACTTTTTGTAGAATCTGCAAGTGGATATTTGGATAGCTGTGAGGATTTCGTTGGAAACGGGAATGTCTTCATAGAAAATTTAGACAGAAGCATTCTCAGAACCTTGATTGTGATGTGTGTTCTCCACTAACAGAGTTGAACCTTTCTTTTGACAGAACTGTTCTGAAACATTCTTTTTATAGAATCTGGAAGTGGATATTTGGAAAGCTTTGAGGATTTCGTTGGAAACGGGAATATCTTCAAATCAAATCTAGCCAGAAGCATTCTAAGAAACATCTTAGGGATGTTTACATTCAAGTCACAGAGTTGAACATTCCCTTTCACAGAGCAGGTTTGAAACAATCTTCTCGTACTATCTGGCAGTGGACATTTTGAGCTCCTTGGGGCCTATGCTGAAAAAGGAAATATCTTCCGACAAAAACTAGACAGAAGCATTCGCAGAATCACGTTTGTGATGTGTGCACTCAACTGTCAGAATTGAACCTTGGTTTGGACAGAGCACTTTTGAAACACTCTTTTTGTAGAATCTGCAGGTGGATATTTGGCTAGCTTTGAGGATTTCGTTGGAAACGGTAATGTCTTCAAAGAAAATCTAGACAGAAGCATTCTCAGAAACACCTTCGTGATGTTTGCAATCAAGTCACAGAGTTGAACCTTCCGTTTCATAGAGCAGGTTGGAAACACTCTTTCTATAGTATCTGGAAGTGGACATTTGGAGGGCTTTGTAGCCTATCTGGAAAAAGGAAATATCTTCCCATGAATGCGAGATAGAAGTAATCTCAGAAACATGTTTATGCTGTATCTACTCAACTAACTGTGCTGAACATTTCTATTGATAGAGCAGTTTTCAGACACTCTTCTTTTGGAATCTGCAAGTGGATATTTGGATAGATTTGAGGATTTCGTTGGAAACGGGATTATATATAAAAAGTAGACAGCAGCATTCTCAGAAACTTCTTTGTGATGTTTGCATCCAGCTCTCAGAGTTGAACATTCCCTTTCATAGAGTAGGTTTGAAACCCTCTTTTTATAGTGTCTGGAAGCGGGCATTTGGAGCGCTTTCAGGCCTATGCTGAAAAAGGAAATATCTACCTATAGAAACTAGACAGAAGCATTCTGAGAATCACGTTTGTGATGTGGGTACTCAACTAACAGTGTTGATCCATTCTTTTGATACAGCAGTTTTGAACCACACTTTTTGTAGAATCTGCAAGTGGATATTTGGATAGCTGTGAGGATTTCGTTGGAAACGGGAATGTCTTCATAGAAAATTTAGACAGAAGCATTCTCAGAACCTTGATTGTGATGTGTGTTCTCCACTAACAGAGTTGAACCTTTCTTTTGACAGAACTGTTCTGAAACATTCTTTTTATAGAATCTGGAAGTGGATATTTGGAAAGCTTTGAGGATTTCGTTGGAAACGGGAATATCTTCAAATAAAATCTAGCCAGAAGCATTCTAAGAAACATCTTAGGGATGTTTACATTCAAGTCACAGAGTTGAACATTCCCTTTCGCAGAGCAGGTTTGAAACAATCTTCTCGTACTATCTGGCAGTGGACATTTTGAGCTCCTTGGGGCCTATGCTGAAAAAGGAAATATCTTCGGACAAAAACTAGACAGAAGCATTCGCAGAATCACGTTTGTGATGTGTGCACTCAACTGTCAGAATTGAACCTTGGTTTGGAGAGAGCACTTTTGAAACACTCTTTTTGTAGAATCTGCAGGTGCATATTTGGCTAGCTTTGAGGATTTCGTTGGAAACGGTAATGTCTTCAAAGAAAATCTAGACAGAAGCATTCTCAGAAACACCTTCGTGATGTTTGCAATCAAGTCACAGAGTTGAACCTTCCGTTTCATAGAGCAGGTTGGAAACACTCTTTTTGTAGTATCTGGAAGTGGACATTTGGAGGGCTTTGTAGCCTATCTGGAAAAAGGAAATATCTTCCCATGAATGCGAGATAGAAGTAATCTCAGAAACATGTTTATGCTGTATCTACTCAACTAACTGTGCTGAACATTTCTATTGATAGAGCAGTTTTGAGACACTCTTCTTTTGGAATCTGCAAGTGGATATTTGGATAGATTTGAGGATTTCGTTGGAAACGGGATTATATATAAAAAGTAGACAGCAGCATTCTCAGAAACTTCTTTGTGATGTTTGCATCCAGCTCTCAGAGTTGAACATTCCCTTTCATAGAGTAGGTTTGAAACCCTCTTTTTATAGTGTCTGGAAGCGGGCATTTGGAGCGCTTTCAGGCCTATGCTTAAAATAGGAAATATCTACCTACAGAAACTAGACAGAAGCATTCTGAGAATCACGTTTGTGATGTGGGTACTCAACTAACAGTGTTGATCCATTCTTTTGATACAGCAGTTTTGAACCACACTTTTTGTAGAATCTGCAAGAGGATATTTGGATAGCTGTGAGGATTTCGTTGGAAACGGGAATGTCTTCAAAGAAAATCTAGACAGAAGCATTCTCAGAAACACCTTCGTGATGTTTGCAATCAAGTCACAGAGTTGAACCTTCCGTTTCATAGAGCAGGTTGCAAACACTCTTATTGTAGTATCTGGAAGTGGACATTTGGAGCGCTTTCAGGCCTATGGTGAAAAAGGAAATATCTTCCCATAAAAACGACATAGAAGCTATCTCAGGAACTTGTTTATGATGCATCTAATCAACTAACAGTGTTGAACCTTTGTACTGACAGAGCAGTTTGAAACACTCTTTTTTTGGAATCTGCAAGTGGATATTTGGATCGCTTTGAGGATTTCGTTGGAAACGGGATGCAATATAAAACGTACACAGCAGCATACTCAGAAAATACTTTGCCATATTTCCATTCAAGTCACAGAGTGGAACATTCCCATTCATAGAGCAGGTTTGAAACACTCTTTTTGGAGTATCTGGAAGTGGACATTTGGAGCGCTTTCTGAACTATGGTGAAAAAGGAAATATCTTCCAATGAAAACAAGACAGAAGCATTCTGAGAAACTTATTTGTGATGTGTGTCCTCAACAAACGGACTTGAACCTTTCGTTTCATGCAGTACTTCTGGAACACTCTTTTTGAAGATTCTGCATGCGGATATTTGGATAGCTTTGAGGATTTCGTTGGAAACGGGCTTACATGTAAAAATTAGACAGCAGCATTCTCAGAAACTTCTTTGTGGTGTCTGCATTCAAGTCACAGAATTGAACATCCCCTCACATAGAGCAGTTGTGCAGCACTCTATTTGTAGTATCTGGAAGTGGACATTTGGAGGGCTTTGTAGCCTATCTGGAAAAAGGAAATATCTTCCCATGAATGCGAGATAGAAGTAATGTCAGAAACATGTTTATGCTGTATCTACTCAACTAACTGTGCTGAACATTTCTATTGATAGAGCAGTTTTGAGACACTCTTCTTTTGGAATCTGCAAGTGGATATTTGGATAGATTTGAGGATTTCGTTGGAAACGGGATTATATATAAAAAGTAGACAGCAGCATTCTCAGAAACTTCTTTGTGATGTTTGCATCCAGCTCTCAGAGTTGAACATTCCCTTTCATAGAGTAGGTTTGAAACCCTCTTTTTATAGTGTCTGGAAGCGGGCATTTGGAGCGCTTTCAGGCCTATGCTTAAAATAGGAAATATCTACCTACAGAAACTAGACAGAAGCATTCTGAGAATCACGTTTGTGATGTGGGTACTCAACTAACAATGTTGATCCATTCTTTTGATACAGCAGTTTTGAACCACACTTTTTGTAGAATCTGCAAGAGGATATTTGGATAGCTGTGAGGATTTCGTTGGAAACGGGAATGTCTTCAAAGAAAATCTAGACAGAAGCATTCTCAGAAACACCTTCGTGATGTTTGCAATCAAGTCACAGAGTTGAACCTTCCGTTTCATAGAGCAGGTTGGAAACACTCTTATTGTAGTATCTGGAAGTGGACATTTGGAGCGCTTTCAGGCCTATGGTGAAAAAGGAAATATCTTCCCATAAAAACGACATAGAAGCTATCTCAGGAACTTGTTTATGATGCATCTAATCAACTAACAGTGTTGAACCTTTTTACTGACAGAGCACTTTGAAACACTCTTTTTTTGGAATCTGCAAGTGGATATTTGGATCGCTTTGAGGATTTCGTTGGAAACGGGATGCAATATAAAACGTACACAGCAGCATACTCAGAAAATACTTTGCCATATTTCCATTCAAGTCACAGAGTGGAACATTCCCATTCATAGAGCAGGTTGGAAACACTCTTTTTGGAGTATCTGGAAGTGGACATTTGGAGCGCTTTCTGAACTATGGTGAAAAGGGAAATATGTTCCAATGAAAACAAGACAGAAGCATTCTGAGAAACTTATTTGTGATGCGTGTCCTCAACTAACGGACTCGAAGCTTTCGTTTCATGCAGTACTTCTGGAACACTCTTTTTGAAGATTCTGCATGCGGATATTTGGTTAGCTTTGAGGATTTCGTTGGAAACGGGCTTACATATAAAAATTAGACAGCAGCATTCTCAGAAACTTCTTTGTGGTGTCTGCTTTCAAGTCACAGAATTGAACATCCCCTCACATAGAGCAGTTGTGCAGCACTCTATTTGTAGTATCTCGAAGTGGACATTTGGAGGGCTTTGTAGCCTATCTGGAAAAAGGAAATATCTTCCCATGAATGCGAGATAGAAGTAATCTCAGAAACATGTTTATGCTGTATCTACTCAACTAACTGTGCTGAACATTTCTATTGATAGAGCAGTTTTGAGACACTCTTCTTTTGGAATCTGCAAGTGGATATTTGGCTAGATTTGAGGATTTCGTTGGAAACGGGATTATATATCAAAAGTAGACAGCAGCATTCTCAGAAACTTCTTTGTGATGTTTGCATCCAGCTCTCAGAGTTGAACATTCCCTTTCATAGAGTAGGTTTGAAACCCCCTTTTTATAGTGTCTGGAAGTGGGCATTTGGAGCGCTTTCAGGCCTATGCTGAAAAAGGAAATATCTACCTACAGAAACTAGACAGAAGCATTCTGAGAATCACGTTTGTGATGTGGGTACTCAACTAACAGTGTTGATCCATTCTTTTGATACAGCAGTTTTGAACCACCTTTTTTGTAGAATCTGCAAGTGGATATTTGGATAGCTGTGAGGATTTCGTTGGAAACGGGAATGTCTTCATAGAAAATTTAGACAGAAGCATTCTCAGAACCTGGATTGTGATGTGTGTTCTCCACTAACAGAGTTGAACCTTTCTTTTGACAGAACTGTTTTGAAACATTCTTTTTATAGAATCTGGAAGTGGTTATTTGGAAAGCTTTGAGGATTTCGTTGGAAACGGGAATATCTTCAAATAAAATCTAGCCAGAAGCATTCTAAGAAACATCTTAGGGATGTGTACATTCAAGTCACAGAGTTGAACATTCCCCTTTCTCAGAGCAGGTTTGAAACAATCTTCTCGTACTATCTGGCAGTGGACATTTTGAGCTCCTTGGGGCCTATGCTGAAAAAGGAAATATCTTCCGACAAAAACTAGACAGAAGCATTCGCAGAATCACGTTTGTGATGTGTGCACTCAACTGTCAGAATTGAACCTTTGTTTGGACAGAGCACTTTTGAAACACTCTTTTTGTAGGATCTGCAGGTGGATATTTGGCTAGCTTTGAGGATTTCGTTGGAAACGGTAATGTCTTCAAAGAAAATCTAGACAGAAACATCCTCAGAAACACCTTCGTGATGTTTGCAATCAAGTCACAGAGTTGAACCTTCCGTTTCATAGAGCAGGTTGGAAACACTCATTTTGTAGTGTCTAGAAGTGGACATTTGGAGCGCTTTCAGGCCTATGGTGTAAAAGGAAATATCTTCCCATAAAAGCGACATAGAAGCTATCTCAGGAACTTGTTTATGATGCCTCTAATCAACTAACAGTGTTGAACCTTTGTACTGACAGAGCAGTTTGAAACACTCTTTTTTTGGAATCTGCAAGTGGATATTTGGATCGCTTTGAGGATTTCGTTGGAAACGGGATGCAATATAAAACGTACACAGCAGCATACTCAGAAAATACTTTGCCATATTTCCATTCAAGTCACAGAGTGGAACATTCCCATTCATAGAGCAGGTTGGAAACACTCTTTTTGGAGTATCTGGAAGTGGACATTTGGAGCGCTTTCTGAACTATGGTGAAAAAGGAAATATCTTCCAATGAAAACAAGACAGAAGCATTCTGAGAAACTTATTTGTGATGTGTGTCCTCAACAAACGGACTTGAACCTTTCGTTTCATGCAGTACTTCTGGAACACTCTTTTTGAAGATTCTGCATGCGGATATTTGGATAGCTTTGAGGATTTCGTTGGAAACGGGCTTACATGTAAGAATTAGACAGCAGCATTCTCAGAAACTTCTTTGTGGTGTCTGCATTCAAGTCACAGAATTGAACTTCCCCTCACATAGAGCAGTTGTGCAGCACTCTATTTGTAGTATCTGGAAGTGGACATTTGGAGGGCTTTGTAGCCTATCTGGAAAAAGGAAATATCTTCCCATGAATGCGAGATAGAAGTAATCTCAGAAACATGTTTATGCTGTATCTACTCAACTAACTGTGCTGAACATTTCTATTGATAGAGCAGTTTTGAGACACTCTTCTTTTGGAATCTGCAAGTGGATATTTGGATAGATTTGAGGATTTCGTTGGAAACGGGATTATATATAAAAAGTAGACAGCAGCATTCTCAGAAACTTCTTTGTGATGTTTGCATCCAGCTCTCAGAGTTGAACATTCCCTTTCATGGAGTAGGTTTGAAACCCTCTTTTTATAGTGTCTGGAAGCGGGCATTTGGAGCGCTTTCAGGCCTATGCTGAAAAAGGAAATATCTACCTATAGAAACTAGACAGAAGCATTCTGAGAATCACGTTTCTGATGTGGGTACTCAACTAACAGTGTTGATCCATTCTTTTGATACAGCAGTTTTGAACCACACTTTTTGTAGAATCTGCAAGTGGATATTTGGATAGCTGTGAGGATTTCGTTGGAAACGGGAATGTCTTCATAGAAAATTTAGACAGAAGCATTCTCAGAACCTTGATTGTGATGTGTGTTCTCCACTAACAGAGTTGAACCTTTCTTTTGACAGAACTGTTCTGAAACATTCTTTTTATAGAATCTGGAAGTGGATATTTGGAAAGCTTTGAGGATTTCGTTGGAAACGGGAATATCTTCAAATAAAATCTAGCCAGAAGCATTCTAAGAAACATCTTAGGGATGTTTACATTCAAGTCACAGAGTTGAACATTCCCTTTCACAGAGCAGGTTTGAAACAATCTTCTCGTACTATCTGGCAGTGGACATTTTGAGCTCTTTGGGGCCTATGCTGAAAAAGGAAATATCTTCCGACAAAAACTAGACAGAAGCATTCGCAGAATCACGTTTGTGATGTGTGCACTCAACTGTCAGAATTGAACCTTGGTTTGGAGAGAGCACTTTTGAAACACTCTTTTTGTAGAATCTGCAGGTGGATATTTGGCTAGCTTTGAGGATTTCGTTGGAAACGGTAATGTCTTCAAAGAAAATCTAGACAGAAGCATTCTCAGAAACACCTTCGTGATGTTTGCAATCAAGTCACAGAGTTGAACCTTCCGTTTCATAGAGCAGGTTGGAAACACTCTTTTTGTAGTATCTGGAAGTGGACATTTGGAGCGCTTTGTAGCCTATCTGGAAAAAGGAAATATCTTCCCATGAATGCGAGATAGAAGTAATCTCAGAAACATGTTTATGCTGTATCTACTCAACTAACTGTGCTGAACATTTCTATTGATAGAGCAGTTTTGAGACACTCTTCTTTTGGAATCTGCAAGTGGATATTTGGATAGATTTGAGGATTTCGTTGGAAACGGGATTATATATAAAAAGTAGACAGCAGCATTCTCAGAAACTTCTTTGTGATGTTTGCATCCAGCTCTCAGAGTTGAACATTCCCTTTCATAGAGTAGGTTTGAAACCCTCTTTTTATAGTGTCTGGAAGCGGGCATTTGGAGCGCTTTCAGGCCTATGCTGAAAAAGGAAATATCTACCTATAGAAACTAGACAGAAGCATTCTGAGAATCACGTTTGTGATGTGGGTACTCAACTAACAGTGTTGATCCATTCTTTTGATACAGCAGTTTTGAACCACACTTTTTGTAGAATCTGCAAGTGGATATTTGGATAGCTGTGAGGATTTCGTTGGAAACGGGAATGTCTTCATAGAAAATTTAGACAGAAGCATTCTCAGAACCTTGATTGTGATGTGTGTTCTCCACTAACAGCAGTTGAACCTTTCTTTTGACAGAACTGTTCTGAAACATTCTTTTTATAGAATCTGGAAGTGGATATTTGGAAAGCTTTGAGGATTTCGTTGGAAACGGGAATATCTTCAAATCAAATCTAGCCAGAAGCATTCTAAGAAACATCTTAGGGATGTTTACATTCAAGTCACAGAGTTGAACATTCCCTTTCACAGAGCAGGTTTGAAACAATCTTCTCGTACTATCTGGCAGTGGACATTTTGAGCTCCTTGGGGCCTATGCTGAAAAAGGAAATATCTTCCGACAAAAACTAGACAGAAGCATTCGCAGAATCACGTTTGTGATGTGTGCACTCAACTGTCAGAATTGAACCTTGGTTTGGACAGAGCACTTTTGAAACACTCTTTTTGTAGAATCTGCAGGTGGATATTTGGCTAGCTTTGAGGATTTCGTTGGAAACGATAATGTCTTCAAAGAAAATCTAGACAGAAGCATTCTCAGAAACACCTTCGTGATGTTTGCAATCAAGTCACAGAGTTGAACCTTCCGTATCATAGAGCAGGTTGGAAACACTCTTTTTGTAGTATCTGGAAGTGGACATTTGGAGGGCTTTGTAGCCTATCTGGAAAAAGGAAATATCTTCCCATGAATGCGAGATAGAAGTAATCTCAGAAACACGTTTATGCTGTATCTACTCAACTAACTGTGCTGAACATTTCTATTGATAGAGCAGTTTTGAGACACTCTTCTTTTGGAATCTGCAAGTGGATATTTGGATAGATTTGAGGATTTCGTTGGAAACGGGATTATATATAAAAAGTAGACAGCAGCATTCTCAGAAACTTCTTTGTGATGTTTGCATCCAGCTCTCAGAGTTGAACATTCCCTTTCATAGAGTAGGTTTGAAACCCTCTTTTTATAGTGTCTGGAAGCGGGCATTTGGAGCGCTTTCAGGCCTATGCTTAAAATAGGAAATATCTACCTACAGAAACTAGACAGAAGCATTCTGAGAATCACGTTTGTGATGTGGGTACTCAACTAACAGTGTTGATCCTTTCTTTTGATACAGCAGTTTTGAACCACACTTTTTGTAGAATCTGCAAGAGGATATTTGGATAGCTGTGAGGATTTCGTTGGAAACGGGAATGTCTTCAAAGAAAATCTAGACAGAAGCATTCTCAGAAACACCTTCGTGATGTTTGCAATCAAGTCACAGAGTTGAACCTTCCGTTTCATAGAGCAGGTTGGAAACACTCTTATTGTAGTATCTGGAAGTGGACATTTGGAGCGCTTTCAGGCCTATGGTGAAAAAGGAAATATCTTCCCATAAAAACGACATAGAAGCTATCTCAGGAACTTGTTTATGAGGCATCTAATCAACTAACAGTGTTGAACCTTTGTACTGACAGAGCAGTTTGAAACACTCTTTTTTTGGAATCTGCAAGTGGATATTCGGATCGCTTTGAGGATTTCGTTGGAAACGGGATGCAATATAAAACGTACACAGCAGCATACTCAGAAAATACTTTGCCATATTTCCATTCAAGTCACAGAGTGGAACATTCCCATTCATAGAGCAGGTTGGAAACACTCTTTTTGGAGTATCTGGAAGTGGACATTTGGAGCGCTTTCTGAACTATGGTGAAAAAGGAAATATCTTCCAATGAAAACAAGACAGAAGCATTCTGAGAAACTTATTTGTGATGTGTGTCCTCAACAAACGGACTTGAACCTTTCGTTTCATGCAGTACTTCTGGAACACTCTTTTTGAAGATTCTGCATGCGGATATTTGGATAGCTTTGAGGATTTCGTTGGAAACGGGCTTACATGTAAAAATTAGACAGCAGCATTCTCAGAAACTTCTTTGTGGTGTCTGCATTCAAGTCACAGAATTGAACTTCCCCTCACATAGAGCAGTTGTGCAGCACTCTATTTGTAGTATCTGGAAGTGGACATTTGGAGGGCTTTGTAGCCTATCTGGAAAAAGGAAATATCTTCCCATGAATGCGAGATAGAAGTAATCTCAGAAACATGTTTATGCTGTATCTACTCAACTAACTGTGCTGAACATTTCTATTGATAGAGCAGTTTTGAGACACTCTTCTTTTGGAATCTGCAAGTGGATATTTGGATACATTTGAGGATTTCGTTGGAAACGGGATTATATATAAAAAGTAGACAGCAGCATTCTCAGAAACTTCTTTGTGATGTTTGCATCCAGCTCTCAGAGTTGAACATTCCCTTTCATAGAGTAGGTTTGAAACCCTCTTTTTATAGTGTCTGGAAGCGGGCATTTGGAGCGCTTTCAGGCCTATGCTTAAAATAGGAAATATCTACCTACAGAAACTAGACAGAAGCATTCTGAGAATCACGTTTGTGATGTGGGTACTCAACTAACAGTGTTGATCCATTCTTTTGATACAGCAGTTTTGAACCACACTTTTTGTAGAATCTGCAAGAGGATATTTGGATAGCTGTGAGGATTTCGTTGGAAACGGGAATGTCTTCAAAGAAAATCTAGACAGAAGCATTCTCAGAAACACCTTCGTGATGTTTGCAATCAAGTCACAGAGTTGAACCTTCCGTTTCATAGAGCAGGTTGGAAACACTCTTATTGTAGTATCTGGAAGTGGACATTTGGAGCGCTTTCAGGCCTATGGTGAAAAAGGAAATATCTTCCCATAAAAACGACATAGAAGCTATCTCAGGAACTTGTTTATGATGCATCTAATCAACTAACAGTGTTGAACCTTTGTACTGACAGAGCACTTTGAAACACTCTTTTTTTGGAATCTGCAAGTGGATATTTGGATCACTTTGAGGATTTCGTTGGAAACGGGATGCAATATAAAACGTACACAGCAGCATACTCAGAAAATACTTTGCCATGTTTCCATTCAAGTCACAGAGTGGAACATTCCCATTCATAGAGCAGGTTGGAAACACTCTTTTTGGAGTATCTGGAAGTGGACATTTGGAGCGCTTTCTGAACTATGGTGAAAAAGGAAATATCTTCCAATGAAAACAAGACAGAAGCATTCTGAGAAACTTATTTGTGATGTGTGTCCTCAACAAACGGACTTGAACCTTTCGTTTCATGCAGTACTTCTGGAACACTCTTTTTGAAGATTCTGCATGCGGATATTTGGATAGCTTTGAGGATTTCGTTGGAAACGGGCTTACATGTAAAAATTAGACAGCAGCATTCTCAGAAACTTCTTTGTGGTGTCTGCATTCAAGTCACAGAATTGAACATCCCCTCACATAGAGCAGTTGTGCAGCACTCTATTTGTAGTATCTCGAAGTGGACATTTGGAGGGCTTTGTAGCCTATCTGGAAAAAGGAAATATCTTCCCATGAATGCGAGATAGAAGTAATCTCAGAAACATGTTTATGCTGTATCTACTCAACTAACTGTGCTGAACATTTCTATTGATAGAGCAGTTTTGAGACACTCTCCTTTTGGAATCTGCAAGTGGATATTTGGATAGATTTGAGGATTTCGTTGGAAACGGGATTATATATCAAAAGTAGACAGCAGCATTCTCAGAAACTTCTTTGTGATGTTTGCATCCAGCTCTCAGAGTTGAACATTCCCTTTCGTAGAGTAGGTTTGAAACCCTCTTTTTATAGTGTCTGGAAGCGGGCATTTGGAGCGCTTTCAGGCCTATGCTGAAAAAGGAAATATCTACCTATAGAAACTAGACAGAAGCATTCTGAGAATCACGTTGGTGATGTGGGTACTCAACTAACAGTGTTGATCCATTCTTTTGATACAGCAGTTTTGAACCACACTTTTTGTAGAATCTGCAAGTGGATATTTGGATAGCTGTGAGGATTTCCTTGGAAACGGGAATGTCTTCATAGAAAATTTAGACAGAAGCATTCTCAGAACCTTGATTGTGATGTGTGTTCTCCACTAACAGGGTTGAACCTTTCTTTTGACAGAACTCTTTTGAAACATTCTTTTAATAGAATCTGGAAGTGGATATTTGAAAAGCTTTGAGGATTTCGTTGGAAACGGGAATATCTTCAAATAAAATCTAGCCAGAAGCATTCTAAGAAACATCTTAGGGATGTTTACATTCAAGTCACAGAGTTGAACATTCCCTTTCACAGAGCAGGTTTGAAACAATCTTCTTGTACTATCTGGCAGTGGACATTTTGAGCTCCTTGGGGCCTATGCTGAAAAAGGAAATATCTTCCGACCAAAACTAGACAGAAGCATTCGCAGAATCACGTTTGTGATGTGTGCACTCAACTGTCAGAATTGAACCTTGGTTTGGACAGAGCACTTTTGAAACACTCTTTTTGTAGAATCTGCAGGTGGATATTTGGCTAGCTTTGAGGATTTCGTTGGAAACGGTAATGTCTTCAAAGAAAATCTAGACAGAAGCATTCTCAGAAACACCTTCGTGATGTTTGCAATCAAGTCACAGAGTTGAACCTTCCGTTTCATAGAGCAGGTTGGAAACACTCTTTTTGTAGTATCTGGAAGTGGACATTTGGAGGGCTTTGTAGCCTATCTGGAAAAAGGAAATATCTTCCCATGAATGCGAGATAGAAGTAATCTCAGAAACATGTTTATGCTGTATCTACTCAACTAACTGTGCTGAACATTTCTATTGATAGAGCAGTTTTGAGACACTCTTCTTTTGGAATCTGCAAGTGGATATTTGGATAGATTTGAGGATTTCTTTGGAAACGGGATTATATATAAAAAGTAGACAGCAGCATTCTCAGAAACTTCTTTGTGATGTTTGCATCCAGCTCTCAGAGTTGAACATTCCCTTTCATAGAGTAGGTTTGAAACCCTCTTTTTATAGTGTCTGGAAGCGGGCATTTGGAGCGCTTTCAGGCCTATGCTGAAAAAGGAAATATCTACCTATAGAAACTAGACAGAAGCATTCTGAGAATCACGTTTGTGATGTGGGTACTCAACTAACAGTGTTGATCCATTCTTTTGATACAGCAGTTTTGAACCACACTTTTTGTAGAATCTGCAAGTGGATATTTGGATAGCTGTGAGGATTTCGTTGGAAACGGGAATGTCTTCATAGAAAATTTAGACAGAAGCATTCTCAGAACCTTGATTGTGATGTGTGTTCTCCACTAACAGAGTTGAACCTTTCTTTTGACAGAACTGTTCTGAAACATTCTTTTTATAGAATCTGGAAGTGGATATTTGGAAAGCTTTGAGGATTTCGTTGGAAACGGGAATATCTTCAAATAAAATCTAGCCAGAAGCATTCTAAGAAACATCTCAGGGATGTTTACATTCAAGTCACAGAGTTGAACATTCCCTTTCACAGAGCAGGTTTGAAACAATCTTCTCGTACTATCTGGCAGTGGACATTTTGAGCTCCTTGGGGCCTATGCTGAAAAAGGAAATATCTTCCGACAAAAACTAGACAGAAGCATTCGCAGAATCACGTTTGTGATGTGTGCACTCAACTGTCAGAATTGAACCTTGGTTTGGACAGAGCACTTTTGAAACACTCTTTTTGTAGAATCTGCAGGTGGATATTTCGCTAGCTTTGAGGATTTCGTTGGAAACGGTAATGTCTTCAAAGAAAATCTAGACAGAAACATCCTCAGAAACACCTTCGTGATGTTTGCAATCAAGTCACAGAGTTGAACCTTCCGTTTCATAGAGCAGGTTGGAAACACTCATTTTGTAGTATCTGGAAGTGGACATTTGGAGCGATTTCAGGCCTATGGTGTAAAAGGAAATATCTTCCCATAAAAGCGACATAGAAGCTATCTCAGGAACTTGTTTATGATGCATCTAATCAACTAACAGTGTTGAACCTTTGTACTGACAGAGCAGTTTGAAACACTCTTTTTTTGGAATCTGCAAGTGGATATTTGGATCGCTTTGAGGATTTCGTTGGAAACGGGATGCAATATAAAACGTACACAGCAGCATACTCAGAAAATACTTTGCCATGTTTCCATTCAAGTCACAGAGTGGAACATTCCCATTCATAGAGCAGGTTGGAAACACTCTTTTTGGAGTATCTGGAAGTGGACATTTGGAGCGCTTTCTGAACTATGGTGAAAAAGGAAATATCTTCCAATGAAAACAAGACAGAAGCATTCTGAGAAACTTATTTTTGATGTGTGTCCTCCACTAACGGACTTGAACCTTTCGTTTCATGCAGTACTTCTGGAACACTCTTTTTGAAGATTCTGCATGCGGATATTTGGATAGCTTTGAGGATTTCTTTGGAAACGGGCTTACATATAAAAATTAGACAGCAGCATTCTCAGAAACTTCTTTGTGGTGTCTGCATTCAAGTCACAGAATTGAACATCCCCTCACATAGAGCAGTTGTGCAGCACTCTATTTGTAGTATCTGGAAGTGGACATTTGGAGGGCTTTGTAGCCTATGTGGAAAAAGGAAATATCTTCCCATGAATGCGAGATAGAAGTAATCTCAGAAACATGTTTATGCTGTATCTACTCAACTAACTGTGCTGAACATTTCTATTGATAGAGCAGTTTTGAGACACTCTTCTTTTGGAATCTGCAAGTGGATATTTGGAGAGATTTGAGGATTTCGTTGGAAACGGGATTATATATAAAAAGTAGACAGCAGCATTCTCAGAAACTTCTTTGTGATGTTTGCATCCAGCTCTCAGAGTTGAACCTTCCCTTTCATAGAGTAGGTTTGAAACCCTCTTTTTATAGTGTCTGGAATCGGGCATTTGGAGCGCTTTCAGACCTATGCTTAAAATAGGAAATATCTACCTACAGAAACTAGACAGAAGCATTCTGAGAATCTCGTTTGTGATGTGGGTACTCAACTAACAGTGTTGATCCATTCTTTTGATACAGCAGTTTTGAACCACACTTTTTGTAGAATCTGCAAGAGGATATTTGGATAGCTGTGAGGATTTCGTTGGAAACGGGAATGTCTTCAAAGAAAATCTAGACAGAAGCATTCTCAGAAATACCTTCGTGATGTTTGCAATCAAGTCACAGAGTTGAACCTTCCGTTTCATAGAGCAGGTTGGAAACACTCTTTTTGTACTATCTGGAAGTGGACATTTGGAGCGCTTTCAGGCCTATGGTGAAAAAGGAAATATCTTCCCATAAAAACGACATAGAAGCTATCTCAGGAACTTGTTTATGAGGCATCTAATCAACTAACAGTGTTGAACCTTTGTACTGACAGAGCAGTTTGAAACACTCTTTTTTTGGAATCTGCAAGTGGATATTTGGATCGCTTTGAGGATTTCGTTGGAAACGGGATGCAATATAAAACGTACACAGCAGCATACTCAGAAAATACTTTGCCATATTTCCATTCAAGTCACAGAGTGGAACATTCCCATTCATAGAGCAGGTTGGAAACACTCTTTTTGGAATATCTGGAAGTGGACATTTGGAGCGCTTTCTGAACTATGGTGAAAAAGGAAATATCTTCCAATGAAAACAAGACAGAAGCATTCTGAGAAACTTATTTGTGATGTGTGTCCTCAACAAACGGACTTGAACCTTTCGTTTCATGCAGTACTTCTGGAACACTCTTTTTGAAGATTCTGCATGCGGATATTTGGATAGCTTTGAGGATTTCGTTGGAAACGGGCTTACATGTAAAAATTAGACAGCAGCATTCTCAGAAACTTCTTTGTGGTGTCTGCATTCAAGTCACAGAATTGAACTTCCCCTCACATAGAGCAGTTGTGCAGCACTCTATTTGTAGTATCTGGAAGTGGACATTTGGAGGGCTTTGTAGCCTATCTGGAAAAAGGAAATATCTTCCCATGAATGCGAGATAGAAGTAATCTCAGAAACATGTTTATGCTGTATCTACTCAACTAACTGTGCTGAACATTTCTATTGATAGAGCAGTTTTGAGACACTCTTCTTTTGGAATCTGCAAGTGGATATTTGGATAGATTTGAGGATTTCGTTGGAAACGGGATTATATATCAAAAGTAGACAGCAGCATTCTCAGAAACTTCTTTGTGATGTTTGCATCCAGCTCTCAGAGTTGAACATTCCCTTTCATAGAGTAGGTTTGAAACCCTCTTTTTATAGTGTCTGGAAGCGGGCATTTGGAGCGCTTTCAGGCCTATGCTTAAAATAGGAAATATCTACCTACAGAAACTAGACAGAAGCATTCTGAGAATCACGTTTGTGATGTGGGTACTCAACTAACAGTGTTGATCCATTCTTTTGATACAACAGTTTTGAACCACACTTTTTGTAGAATCTGCAAGAGGATATTTGGATAGCTGTGAGGATTTCGTTGGAAACGGGAATGTCTTCAAAGAAAATCTAGACAGAAGCATTCTCAGAAACACCTTCGTGATGTTTGCAATCAAGTCACAGAGTTGAACCTTCCGTTTCATAGAGCAGGTTGGAAACACTCTTATTGTAGTATCTGGAAGTGGACATTTGGAGCGCTTTCAGGCCTATGGTGAAAAAGGAAATATCTTCCCATAAAAACGACATAGAAGCTATCTCAGGAACTTGTTTATGATGCATCCAATCAACTAACAGTGTTGAACCTTTGTACTGACAGAGCAGTGTGAAACACTCTTTTTTTTGGAATCTGCAAGTGGATATTTGGATCGCTTTGAGGATTTAGTTGGAAACTGGATGCAATATAAAACATACACAGCAGCATACTCAGAAAACACTTTGCCATATTTCCATTCAAGTCACAGAGTGGAACATTCCCATTCATAGAGCAGGTTTGACACACTCTTTTTGTAGTATCTGGAAGTGGACATTTGGAGCGCTTTCTGAACTATGGTGAAAAAGGAAATATCTTCCAATGAAAACAAGACAGAAGCATTCTGAGAAACTTATTTGTGATGTGTGTCCTCAACTAACGGACTTGAACCTTTCGTTTCATGCAGTACTTCTGGAACACTCTTTTTGAAGATTCTGCATGCGGATATTTGGATAGCTTTGAGGATTTCATTGGAAACGGGCTTACATATAAAAATTAGACAGCAGCATTCTCAGAAACTTCTTTGTGGTGTCTGCATTCAAGTCACAGAATTGAACTTCCCCTCACATAGAGCAGTTGTGCAGCACTCTATTTGTAGTATCTGGAAGTGGACATTTGGAGGGCTTTGTAGCCTATCTGGAAAAAGGAAATATCTTCCCATGAATGCGAGATAGAAGTAATCTCAGAAACATGTTTATGCTGTATCTTCTCAACTAACTGTGCTGAACATTTCTATTGATAGAGCAGTTTTGAGACACTCTTCTTTTGGAATCTGCAAGTGGATATTTGGATAGATTTGAGGATTTCGTTGGAAACGGGATTATATATAAAAAGTAGACAGCAGCATTCTCAGAAACTTCTTTGTGATGTTTGCATCCAGCTCTCAGAGTTGAACATTCCCTTTCATAGAGTAGGTTTGAAACCCTCTTTTTATAGTGTCTGGAAGCGGGCATTTGGAGCGCTTTCAGGCCTATGCTGAAAAAGGAAATATCTACCTATAGAAACTAGACAGAAGCATTCTGAGAATCACGTTTGTGATGTGGGTACTCAACTAACAGTGTTGATCCATTCTTTTGATACAGCAGTTTTGAACCACACTTTTTGTAGAATCTGCAAGTGGATATTTGGATAGCTGTGAGGATTTCGTTGGAAACGGGAATGTCTTCATAGAAAATTTAGACAGAAGCATTCTCAGAACCTTGATTGTGATGTGTGTTCTCCACTAACAGAGTTGAACCTTTCTTTTGACAGAACTGTTCTGAAACATTCTTTTTATAGAATCTGGAAGTGGATATTTGGAAAGCTTTGAGGATTTCGTTGGAAACGGGAATATCTTCAAATCAAATCTAGCCAGAAGCATTCTAAGAAACATCTTAGGGATGTTTACATTCAAGTCACAGAGTTGAACATTCCCTTTCACAGAGCAGGTTTGAAACAATCTTCTCGTACTATCTGGCAGTGGACATTTTGAGCTCCTTGGGGCCTATGCTGAAAAAGGAAATATCTTCCGACAAAAACTAGACAGAAGCATTCGCAGAATCACGTTTGTGATGTGTGCACTCAACTGTCAGAATTGAACCTTGGTTTGGACAGAGCACTTTTGAAACACTCTTTTTGTAGAATCTGCAGGTGGATATTTGGCTAGCTTTGAGGATTTCGTTGGAAACGGTAATGTCTTCAAAGAAAATCTAGACAGAAGCATTCTCAGAAACACCTTCGTGATGTTTGCAATCAAGTCACAGAGTTGAACCTTCCGTTTCATAGAGCAGGTTGGAAACACTCTTTTTGTAGTATCTGGAAGTGGACATTTGGAGCGCTTTCAGGCCTATGGTGAAAAAGGAAATATCTTCCCATAAAAACGACATAGAAGCTATCTCAGGAACTTGTTTATGATGCATCTAATCAACTAACAGTGTTGAACCTTTGTACTGACAGAGCAGTTTGAAACACTCTTTTTTTGGAATCTGCAAGTGGATATTTGGATCGCTTTGAGGATTTCGTTGGAAACGGGATGCAATATAAAACGTACACAGCAGCATACTCAGAAAATACTTTGCCATATTTCCATTCAAGTCACAGAGTGGAACATTCCCATTCATAGAGCAGGTTTGAAACACTCTTTTTGGAGTATCTGGAAGTGGACATTTGGAGCGCTTTCTGAACTATGGTGAAAAAGGAAATATCTTCCAATGAAAACAAGACAGAAGCATTCTGAGAAACTTATTTGTGATGTGTGTCCTCAACAAACGGACTTGAACCTTTCGTTTCATGCAGTACTTCTGGAACACTCTTTTTGAAGATTCTGCATGCGGATATTTGGATAGCTTTGAGGATTTCGTTGGAAACGGGCTTACATGTAAAAATTAGACAGCAGCATTCTCAGAAACTTCTTTGTGGTGTCTGCATTCAAGTCACAGAATTGAACATCCCCTCACATAGAGCAGTTGTGCAGCACTCTATTTGTAGTATCTGGAAGTGGACATTTGGAGGGCTTTGTAGCCTATCTGGAAAAAGGAAATATCTTCCCATGAATGCGAGATAGAAGTAATCTCAGAAAGATGTTTATGCTGTATCTACTCAACTAACTGTGCTGAACATTTCTATTGATAGAGCAGTTTTGAGACACTCTTCTTTTGGAATCTGCAAGTGGATATTTGGATAGATTTGAGGATTTCGTTGGAAACGGGATTATATATAAAAAGTAGACAGCAGCATTCTCAGAAACTTCTTTGTGATGTTTGCATCCAGCTCTCAGAGTTGAACATTCCCTTTCATAGAGTAGGTTTGAAACCCTCTTTTTATAGTGTCTGGAAGCGGGCATTTGGAGCGCTTTGAGGCCTATGCTGAAAAAGGAAATATCTACCTATAGAAACTAGACAGAAGCATTCTGAGAATCACGTTTGTGATGTGGGTACTCAACTAACAGTGTTGATCCATTCTTTTGATACAGCAGTTTTGAACCACACTTTTTGTAGAATCTGCAAGAGGATATTTGGATAGCTGTGAGGATTTCGTTGGAAACGGGAATGTCTTCAAAGAAAATCTAGACAGAAGCATTCTCAGAAACACCTTCGTGATGTTTGCAATCAAGTCACAGAGTTGAACCTTCCGTTTCATAGAGCAGGTTGGAAACACTCTTATTGTAGTATCTGGAAGTGGACATTTGGAGCGCTTTCAGGCCTATGGTGAAAAAGGAAATATCTTCCCATAAAAACGACATAGAAGCTATCTCAGGAACTTGTTTATGATGCATCTAATCAACTAACAGTGTTGAACCTTTGTACTGACAGAGCAGTTTGAAACACTCTTTTTTTGGAATCTGCAAGTGGATATTTGGATCGCTTTGAGGATTTCGTTGGAAACGGGATGCAATATAAAACGTACACAGCAGCATACTCAGAAAATTCTTTGCCATATTTCCATTCAAGTCACAGAGTGGAACATTCCCATTCATAGAGCAGGTTGGAAACACTCTTTTTGGAGTATCTGGAAGTGGACATTTGGAGCGCTTTCTGAACTATGGTGAAAAAGGAAATATCTTCCAATGAAAACAAGACAGAAGCATTCTGAGAAACTTATTTGTGATGTGTGTCCTCAACAAACGGACTTGAACCTTTCGTTTCATGCAGTACTTCTGGAACACTCTTTTTGAAGATTCTGCATGCGGATATTTGGATAGCTTTGAGGATTTCGTTGGAAACGGGCTTACATGTAAAAATTAGACAGCAGCATTCTCAGAAACTTCTTTGTGGTGTCTGCATTCAAGTCACAGAATTGAACATCCCCTCACATAGAGCAGTTGTGCAGCACTCTATTTGTAGTATCTGGAAGTGGACATTTGGAGGGCTTTGTAGCCTATGTGGAAAAAGGAAATATCTTCCCATGAATGCGAGATAGAAGTAATCTCAGAAACATGTTTATGCTGTATCTACTCAACTAACTGTGCTGAACATTTCTATTGATAGAGCAGTTTTGAGACACTCTTCTTTTGGAATCTGCAAGTGGATATTTGGATAGATTTGAGGATTTCGTTGGAAACGGGATTATATATAAAAAGTAGACAGCAGCATTCTCAGAAACTTCTTTGTGATGTTTGCATCCAGCTCTCAGAGTTGAACATTCCCTTTCATAGAGTAGGTTTGAAACCCTCTTTTTATAGTGTCTGGAAGCGGGCATTTGGAGCGCTTTCAGGCCTATGCTGAAAAAGGAAATATCTACCTATAGAAACTAGACAGAAGCATTCTGAGAATCACGTTTGTGATGTGGGTACTCAACTAACAGTGTTGATCGATTCTTTTGATACAGCAGTTTTGAACCACACTTTTTGTAGAATCTGCAAGTGGATATTTGGATAGCTGTGAGGATTTCGTTGGAAACGGGAATGTCTTCATAGAAAATTTAGACAGAAGCATTCTCAGAACCTTGATTGTGATGTGTGTTCTCCACTAACAGAGTTGAACCTTTCTTTTGACAGAACTGTTCTGAAACATTCTTTTTATAGAATCTGGAAGTGGATATTTGGAAAGCTTTGAGGATTTCGTTGGAAACGGGAATATCTTCAAATAAAATCTAGCCAGAAGCATTCTAAGAAACATCTTAGGGATGTTTACATTCAAGTCACAGAGTTGAACATTCCCTTTCACAGAGCAGGTTTGAAACAATCTTCTCGTACTATCTGGCAGTGGACATTTTGAGCTCCTTGGGGCCTATGCTGAAAAAGGAAATATCTTCCGACAAAAACTAGACAGAAGCATTCGCAGAATCACGTTTGTGATGTGTGCACTCAACTGTCAGAATTGAACCTTGGTTTGGACAGAGCACTTTTGAAACACTCTTTTTGTAGAATCTGCAGGTGGATATTTGGCTAGCTTTGAGGATTTCGTTGGAAACGGTAATGTCTTCAAAGAAAATCTAGACAGAAGCATTCTCAGAAACACCTTCGTGATGTTTGCAATCAAGTCACAGAGTTGAACCTTCCGTTTCATAGAGCAGGTTGGAAACACTCTTTTTGTAGTATCTGGAAGTGGACATTTGGAGGGCTTTGTAGCCTATCTGGAAAAAGGAAATATCTTCCCATGAATGCGAGATAGAAGTAATCTCAGAAACATGTTTATGCTGTATCTACTCAACTAACTGTGCTGAACATTTCTATTGATAGAGCAGTTTTGAGACACTCTTCTTTTGGAATCTGCAAGTGGATATTTGGATAGATTTGAGGATTTCGTTGGAAACGGGATTATATATCAAAAGTAGACAGCAGCATTCTCAGAAACTTCTTTGTGATGTTTGCATCCAGCTCTCAGAGTTGAACATTCCCTTTCATAGAGTAGGTTTGAAACCCTCTTTTTATAGTGTCTGGAAGCGGGCATTTGGAGCGCTTTCAGGCCTATGCTGAAAAAGGAAATATCTACCTATAGAAACTAGACAGAAGCATTCTGAGAATCACGTTTGTGATGTGGGTACTCAACTAACAGTGTTGATCCATTCTTTTGATACAGCAGTTTTGAACCACACTTTTTGTAGAATCTGCAAGTGGATATTTGGATAGCTGTGAGGATTTCGTTGGAAACGGGAATGTCTTCATAGAAAATTTAGACAGAAGCATTCTCAGAACCTTGATTGTGATGTGTGTTCTCCACTAACAGAGTTGAACCTTTCTTTTGACAGAACTGTTCTGAAACATTCTTTTTATAGAATCTGGAAGTGGATATTTGGAAAGCTTTGAGGATTTCGTTGGAAACGGGAATATCTTCAAATCAAATCTAGCCAGAAGCATTCTAAGAAACATCTTAGGGATGTTTACATTCAAGTCACAGAGTTGAACATTCCCTTTCACAGAGCAGGTATGAAACAATCTTCTCGTACTATCTGGCAGTGGACATTTTGAGCTCCTTGGGGCCTATGCTGAAAAACGAAATATCTTCCGACAAAAACTAGACAGAAGCATTCGCAGAATCACGTTTGTGATGTGTGCACTCAACTGTCAGAATTGAACCTTGGTTTGGAGAGAGCACTCTTGAAACACTCTTTTTGTAGAATCTGCAGGTGGATATTTGGCTAGCTTTGAGGATTTCGTTGGAAACGGTAATGTCTTCAAAGAAAATCTAGACAGAAGCATTCTCAGAAACACCTTCGTGATGTTTGCAATCAAGTCACAGAGTTGAACCTTCCGTTTAATAGAGCAGGTTGGAAACACTCTTTTTGTAGTATCTGGAAGTGGACATTTGGAGTGCTTTCAGGCCTATGGTGAAAAAGGAAATATCTTCCCATAAAAACGACATAGAAGCTATCTCAGGAACTTGTTTATGATGCATCTAATCAACTAACAGTGTTGAACCTTTGTACTGACAGAGCAGTTTGAAACACTCTTTTTTTGGAATCTGCAAGTGGATATTTGGATCGCTTTGAGGATTTCGTTGGAAACGGGATGCAATATAAAACGTACACAGCAGCATACTCAGAAAATACTTTGCCATATTTCCATTCAAGTCACAGAGTGGAACATTCCCATTCATAGAGCAGGTTGGAAACACTCTTTTTGGAGTATCTGGAAGTGGACATTTGGAGCGCTTTCTGAACTATGGTGAAAAAGGAAATATCTTCCAATGAAAACAAGACAGAAGCATTCTGAGAAACTTATTTGTGATGTGTGTCCTCAACAAACGGACTTGAACCTTTCGTTTCATGCAGTACTTCTGGAACACTCTTTTTGAAGATTCTGCATGCGGATATTTGGATAGCTTTGAGGATTTCGTTGGAAACGGGCTTACATGTAAAAATTAGACAGCAGCATTCTCAGAAACTTCTTTGTGGTGTCTGCATTCAAGTCACAGAATTGAACTTCCCCTCACATAGAGCAGTTGTGCAGCACTCTATTTGTAGTATCTGGAAGTGGACATTTGGAGGGCTTTGTAGCCTATCTGGAAAAAGGAAATATCTTCCCATGAATGCGAGATAGAAGTAATCTCAGAAACATGTTTATGCTGTATCTACTCAACTAACTGTGCTGAACATTTCTATTGATAGAGCAGTTTTGAGACACTCTTCTTTTGGAATCTGCAAGTGGATATTTGGATAGATTTGAGGATTTCGTTGGAAACGGGATTATATATAAAAAGTAGACAGCAGCATTCTCAGAAACTTCTTTGTGATGTTTGCATCCAGCTCTCAGAGTTGAACATTCCCTTTCATAGAGTAGGTTTGAAACCCTCTTTTTATAGTGTCTGGAAGCGGGCATTTGGAGAGCTTTCAGGCCTATGCTGAAAAAGGAAATATCTACCTATAGAAACTAGACAGAAGCATTCTGAGAATCACGTTTGTGATGTGGGTACTCAACTAACAGTGTTGATCCATTCTTTTGATACAGCAGTTTTGAACCACACTTTTTGTAGAATCTGCAAGAGGATATTTGGATAGCTGTGAGGATTTCGTTGGAAACGGGAATGTCTTCAAAGAAAATCTAGACAGAAGCATTCTCAGAAACACCTTCGTGATGTTTGCAATCAAGTCACAGAGTTGAACCTTCCGTTTCATAGAGCAGGTTGGAAACACTCTTATTGTAGTATCTGGAAGTGGACATTTGGAGCGCTTTCAGGCCTATGGTGAAAAAGGAAATATCTTCCCATAAAAACGACATAGAAGCTATCTCAGGAACTTGTTTATGATGCATCTAATCAACTAACAGTGTTGAACCTTTGTACTGACAGAGCAGTTTGAAACACTCTTTTTTTGGAATCTGCAAGTGGATATTTGGATCGCTTTGAGGATTTCGTTGGAAACGGGATGCAATATAAAACGTACACAGCAGCATACTCAGAAAATACTTTGCCATATTTCCATTCAAGTAACAGAGTGGAACATTCCCATTCATAGAGCAGGTTGGAAACACTCTTTTTGGAGTATCTGGAAGTGGACATTTGGAGCGCTTTCTGAACTATGGTGAAAAAGGAAATATCTTCCAATGAAAACAAGACAGAAGCATTCTGAGAAACTTATTTGTGATGTGTGTCCTCAACAAACGGACTTGAACCTTTCGTTTCATGCAGTACTTCTGGAACACTCTTTTTGAAGATTCTGCATGCGGATATTTGGATAGCTTTGAGGATTTCGTTGGAAACGGGCTTACATGTAAAAATTAGACAGCAGCATTCTCAGAAACTTCTTTGTGGTGTCTGCATTCAAGTCACAGAATTGAACTTCCCCTCACATAGAGCAGTTGTGCAGCACTCTATTTGTAGTATCTGGAAGTGGACATTTGGAGGGCTTTGTAGCCTATCTGGAAAAAGGAAATATCTTCCCATGAATGCGAGATAGAAGTAATCTCAGAAACATGTTTATGCTGTATCTACTCAACTAACTGTGCTGAACATTTCTATTGATAGAGCAGTTTTGAGACACTCTTCTTTTGGAATCTGCAAGTGGATATTTGGATAGATTTGAGGATTTCGTTGGAAACGGGATTATATATAAAAAGTAGACAGCAGCATTCTCCGACACTTCTTTGTGATGTTTGCATCCAGCTCTCAGAGTTGAGCATTCCCTTTTATAGAGTAGGTTTGAAACCCTCTTTTTATAGTGTCTGGAAGCGGGCATTTGGAGCGCTTTCAGGCCTATGCTTAAAATAGGAAATATCTACCTACAGAAACTAGACAGAAGCATTCTGAGAATCACGTTTGTGATGTGGGTACTCAACTAACAGTGTTGATCCATTCTTTTGATACAGCAGTTTTGAACCACACTTTTTGTAGAATCTGCAAGAGGATATTTGGATAGCTGTGAGGATTTCGTTGGAAACGGGAATGTCTTCAAAGAAAATCTAGACAGAAGCATTCTCAGAAACACCTTCGTGATGTTTGCAATCAAGTCACAGAGTTGAACCTTCCGTTTCATAGAGCAGGTTGGAAACACTCTTTTTGTAGTATCTGGAAGTGGACATTTGGAGCGCTTTCAGGCCTATGGTGAAAAAGGAAATATCTTCCCATAAAAACGACATAGAAGCTATCTCAGGAACTTGTTTATGATGCATCTAATCAACTAACAGTGTTGAACCTTTGTACTGACAGAGCACTTTGAAACACTCTTTTTTTGGAATCTGCAAGTGGATATTTGGATCGCTTTGAGGATTTCGTTGGAAACGGGATGCAATATAAAACGTACACAGCAGCATACTCAGAAAATACTTTGCCATATTTCCATTCAAGTCACAGAGTGGAACATTCCCATTCATAGAGCAGGTTGGAAACACTCTTTTTGGAGTATCTGGAAGTGGACATTTGGAGCGCTTTCTGAACTATGGTGAAAAAGGAAATATCTTCCAATGAAAACAAGACAGAAGCATTCTGAGAAACTTATTTGTGATGTGTGTCCTCAACAAACGGACTTGAACCTTTCGTTTCATGCAGTACTTCTGGAACACTCTTTTTGAAGATTCTGCATGCGGATATTTGGATAGCTTTGAGGATTTCGTTGGAAACGGGCTTACATGTAAAAATTAGACAGCAGCATTCTCAGAAACTTCTTTGTGGTGTCTGCATTCAAGTCACAGAATTGAACTTCCCCTCACATAGAGCAGTTGTGCAGCACTCTATTTGTAGTATCTGGAAGTGGACATTTGGAGGGCTTTGTAGCCTATCTGGAAAAAGGAAATATCTTCCCATGAATGCGAGATAGAAGTAATCTCAGAAACATGTTTATGCTGTATCTACTCAACTAACTGTGCTGAACATTTCTATTGATAGAGCAGTTTTGAGACACTCTTCTTTTGGAATCTGCAAGTGGATATTTGGATAGATTTGAGGATTTCGTTGGAAACGGGATTATATATAAAAAGTAGACAGCAGCATTCTCAGAAACTTCTTTGTGATGTTTGCATCCAGCTCTCAGAGTTGAACATTCCCTTTCATAGAGTAGGTTTGAAACCCTCTTTTTATAGTGTCTGGAAGCGGGCATTTGGAGCGCTTTCAGGCCTATGCTGAAAAAGGAAATATCTACCTATAGAAACTAGACAGAAGCATTCTGAGAATCACGTTTGTGATGTGGGTACTCAACTAACAGTGTTGATCCATTCTTTTGATACAGCAGTTTTGAACCACACTTTTTGTAGAATCTGCAAGTGGATATTTGGATAGCTGTGAGGATTTTGTTGGAAACGGGAATGTCTTCATAGAAAATTTAGACAGAAGCATTCTCAGAACCTTGATTGTGATGTGTGTTCTCCACTAACAGAGTTGAACCTTTCTTTTGACAGAACTGTTCTGAAACATTCTTTTTATAGAATCTGGAAGTGGATATTTGGAAAGCTTTGAGGATTTCGTTGGAAACGGGAATATCTTCAAATAAAATCTAGCCAGAAGCATTCTAAGAAACATCTTAGGGATGTTTACATTCAAGTCACAGAGTTGAACATTCCCTTTCACAGAGCAGGTTTGAAACAATCTTCTCGTACTATCTGGCAGTGGACATTTTGAGCTGCCTTGGGGCCTATGCTGAAAAAGGAAATATCTTCTGACAAAAACTAGACAGAAGCATTCGCAGAATCACGTTTGTGATGTGTGCACTCAACTGTCAGAATTGAACCTTTGTTTGGACAGAGCACTTTTGAAACACTCTTTTTGTAGCATCTGCAGGTGGATATTTGGCTAGCTTTGAGGATTTCGTTGGAAACGGTAATGTCTTCAAAGAAAATCTAGACAGAAACATTCTCAGAAACACCTTCGTGATGTTTGCAATCAAGTCACAGAGTTGAACCTTCCGTTTCATAGAGCAGGTTGGAAACACTCTTTTTGTAGTTTCTGGAAGTGGACAATTGGAGCGCTTTCAGGCCTCTGGTGAAAAAGGAAATATCTTCCCATAAAAACAACATAGAAGCTATCTCAAGAACTTGTTTATGACGCATCCAATCAACTAACAGTGTTGAACCTTTGTACTGACAGAGCAGTTTGAAACACTCTTTTTTTGGAATCTGCAAGTAGATATTTGGGTCGCTTTGAGGATTTCGTTGGAAACGGGATGCAATATAAAACGTACACAGCAGCATACTCAGAAAATGCTTTGCCATATTTCAATTCAAGTCACAGAGTGGAACATTCCCATTCATAGAGCAGGTTTGAAACACTCTTTTTGTAGTATCTGGAAGTGGACATTTGGAGCGCTTTCTGAACTATGGTGAAAAAGGAAATATCTTCCAATGAAAACAAGACAGAAGCATTCTGAGAAACTTATTTGTGATGTGTGTCCTCAACTAACGGACTTGAAACTTTGTTTCATGCAGTACTTCTGGAACACTCTTTTTGAAGATTCTGCATGCGGATATTTGGATAGCTTTGAGGATTTCGTTGGAAACGGGCTTACATGTAAAAATTAGACAGCAGCATTCTCAGAAACTTCTTTGTGGTGTCTGCGTTCAAGTCACAGAATTGAACATCCCCTCACATAGAGCAGTTGTGCAGCACTCTATTTGTAGTATCTCGAAGTGGACATTTGGAGGGCTTTGTAGCCTATCTGGAAAAAGGAAATATCTTCCCATGAATGCGAGATAGAAGTAATCTCAGAAACATGTTTATGCTGTATCTACTCAACTAACTGTGCTGAACATTTCAATTGATAGAGCAGTTTTGAGACACTCTTCTTTTGGAATCTGCAAGTGGATATTTGGATAGATTTGAGGATTTCGTTGGCAACGGGATTATATATCCAAAGTAGACAGCAGCATTCTCAGAAACTTCTTTGTGATGTTTGCATCCAGCTCTCAGAGTTGAACATTCCCTTTCATAGAGTAGGTTTGAAACCCTCTTTTTATAGTGTCTGGAAGCAGGCATTTGGAGCGCTTTCAGGCCTATGCTGAAAAAGGAAATATCTACCTATAGAAACTAGACAGAAGCATTCTGAGAATCACGTTTGTGATGTGGGTACTCAACTAACAGTGTTGATCCATTCTTTTGATACAGCAGTTTTGAACCACACTTTTTGTAGAATCTGCAAGTGGATATTTGGATAGCTGTGAGGATTTCGTTGGAAACGGGAATGTCTTCATAGAAAATTTAGACAGAAGCATTCTCAGAACCTTGATTGTGATGTGTGTTCTCCACTAACAGAGTTGAACCTTTCTTTTGACAGAACTGTTCTGAAACATTCTTTTTATAGAATCTGGAAGTGGATATTTGGAAAGCTTTGAGGATTTCGTTGGAAACGGGAATATCTTCAAATAAAATCTAGCCAGAAGCATTCTAAGAAACATCTTAGGGATGTTTACATTCAAGTCACAGAGTTGAACATTCCCTTTCACAGAGCAGGTTTGAAACAATCTTCTCGTACTATCTGGCAGTGGACATTTTGAGCTCCTTGGGGCCTATGCTGAAAAAGGAAATATCTTCCGACAAAAACTAGACAGAAGCATTCGCAGAATCACGTTTGTGATGTGTGCACTCAACTGTCAGAATTGAACCTTGGTTTGGACAGAGCACTTTTGAAACACTCTTTTTGTAGAATCTGCAGGTGGATATTTGGCTAGCTTTGAGGATTTCGTTGGAAACGGTAATGTCTTCAAAGAAAATCTAGACAGAAGCATTCTCAGAAACACCTTCGTGATGTTTGCAATCAAGTCACAGAGTTGAACCTTCCGTTTCATAGAGCAGGTTGGAAACACTCTTTTTGTAGTATCTGGAAGTGGACATTTGGAGGGCTTTGTAGCCTATCTGGAAAAAGGAAATATCTTCCCATGAATGCGAGATAGAAGTAATCTCAGAAACATGTTTATGCTGTATCTACTCAACTAACTGTGCTGAACATTTCTATTGATAGAGCAGTTTTGAGACACTCTTCTTTTGGAATCTGCAAGTGGATATTTGGATAGATTTGAGGATTTCGTTGGAAACGGGATTATATATCAAAAGTAGACAGCAGCATTCTCAGAAACTTCTTTGTGATGTTTGCATCCAGCTCTCAGAGTTGAACATTCCCTTTCATAGAGTAGGTTTGAAACCCTCTTTTTATAGTGTCTGGAAGCGGGCATTTGGAGCGCTTTCAGGCCTATGCTGAAAAAGGAAATATCTACCTATAGAAACTAGACAGAAGCATTCTGAGAATCACGTTTGTGATGTGGGTACTCAACTAACAGTGTTGATCCATTCTTTTGATACAGCAGTTTTGAACCACACTTTTTGTAGAATCTGCAAGTGGATATTTGGATAGCTGTGAGGATTTCGTTGGAAACGGGAATGTCTTCATAGAAAATTTAGACAGAAGCATTCTCAGAACCTTGATTGTGATGTGTGTTCTCCACTAACAGAGTTGAACCTTTCTTTTGACAGAACTGTTCTGAAACATTCTTTTTATAGAATCTGGAAGTGGATATTTGGAAAGCTTTGAGGATTTCGTTGGAAACGGGAATATCTTCAAATAAAATCTAGCCAGAAGCATTCTAAGAAACATCTCAGGGATGTTTACATTCAAGTCACAGAGTTGAACATTCCCTTTCACAGAGCAGGTTTGAAACAATCTTCTCGTACTATCTGGCAGTGGACATTTTGAGCTCTTTGGGGCCTATGCTGAAAAAGGAAATATCTTCCGACAAAAACTAGACAGAAGCATTCGCAGAATCACGTTTGTGATGTGTGCACTCAACTGTCAGAATTGAACCTTGGTTTGGAGAGAGCACTCTTGAAACACTCTTTTTGTAGAATCTGCAGGTGGATATTTGGCTAGCTTTGAGGATTTCGTTGGAAACGGTAATGTCTTCAAAGAAAATCTAGACAGAAGCATTCTCAGAAACACCTTCGTGATGTTTGCAATCAAGTCACAGAGTTGAACCTTCCGTTTCATAGAGCAGGTTGGAAACACTCTTATTGTAGTATCTGGAAGTGGACATTTGGAGCGCTTTCAGGCCTATGGTGAAAAAGGAAATATCTTCCCATAAAAACGACATAGAAGCTATCTCAGGAACTTGTTTATGATGCATCTAATCAACTAACAGTGTTGAACCTTTGTACTGACAGAGCAGTTTGAAACACTCTTTTTTTGGAATCTGCAAGTGGATATTTGGATCGCTTTGAGGATTTCGTTGGAAACGGGATGCAATATAAAACGTACACAGCAGCATACTCAGAAAATACTTTGCCATATTTCCATTCAAGTCACAGAGTGGAACATTCCCATTCATAGAGCAGGTTGGAAACACTCTTTTTGGAGTATCTGGAAGTGGACATTTGGAGCGCTTTCTGAACTATGGTGAAAAAGGAAATATCTTCCAATGAAAACAAGACAGAAGCATTCTGAGAAACTTATTTGTGATGTGTGTCCTCAACAAACGGACTTGAACCTTTCGTTTCATGCAGTACTTCTGGAACACTCTTTTTGAAGATTCTGCATGCGGATATTTGGATAGCTTTGAGGATTTCGTTGGAAACGGGCTTACATGTAAGAATTAGACAGCAGCATTCTCAGAAACTTCTTTGTGGTGTCTGCATTCAAGTCACAGAATTGAACTTCCCCTCACATAGAGCAGTTGTGCAGCACTCTATTTGTAGTATCTGGAAGTGGACATTTGGAGGGCTTTGTAGCCTATCTGGAAAAAGGAAATATCTTCCCATGAATGCGAGATAGAAGTAATCTCAGAAACGTGTTTATGCTGTATCTACTCAACTAACTGTGCTGAACATTTCTATTGATAGAGCAGTTTTGAGACACTCTTCTTTTGGAATCTGCAAGTGGATATTTGGATAGATTTGAGGATTTCGTTGGAAACGGGATTATATATAAAAAGTAGACAGCAGCATTCTCAGAAACTTCTTTGTGATGTTTGCATCCAGCTCTCAGAGTTGAACATTCCCTTTCATAGAGTAGGTTTGAAACCCTCTTTTTATAGTGTCTGGAAGCGGGTATTTGGAGCGCTTTCAGGCCTATGCTTAAAATAGGAAATATCTACCTACAGAAACTAGACAGAAGCATTCTGAGAATCACGTTTGTGATGTGGGTACTCAACTAACAGTGTTGATCCATTCTTTTGATACAGCAGTTTTGAACCACACTTTTTGTAGAATCTGCAAGTGGATATTTGGATAGCTGTGAGGATTTCGTTGGAAACGGGAATGTCTTCATAGAAAATTTAGACAGAAGCATTCTCAGAACCTTGATTGTGATGTGTGTTCTCCACTAACAGAGTTGAACCTTTCTTTTGACAGAACTGTTCTGAAACATTCTTTTTATAGAATCTGGAAGTGGATATTTGGAAAGCTTTGAGGATTTCGTTGGAAACGGGAATATCTTCAAATAAAATCTAGCCAGAAGCATTCTAAGAAACATCTTAGGGATGTTTACATTCAAGTCACAGAGTTGAACATTCCCTTTCACAGAGCAGGTTTGAAACAATCTTCTCGTACTATCTGGCAGTGGACATTTTGAGCTCCTTGGGGCCTATGCTGAAAAAGGAAATATCTTCCGACAAAAACTAGACAGAAGCATTCGCAGAATCACGTTTGTGATGTGTGCACTCAACTGTCAGAATTGAACCTTGGTTTGGACAGAGCACTTTTGAAACACTCTTTTTGTAGAATCTGCAGGTGGATATTTGGCTAGCTTTGAGGATTTCGTTGGAAACGGTAATGTCTTCAAAGAAAATCTAGACAGAAGCATTCTCAGAAACACCTTCGTGATGTTTGCAATCAAGTCACAGAGTTGAACCTTCCGTTTCATAGAGCAGGTTGGAAACACTCTTTTTGTAGTATCTGGAAGTGGACATTTGGAGGGCTTTGTAGCCTATCTGGAAAAAGGAAATATCTTCCCATGAATGCGAGATAGAAGTAATCTCAGAAACATGTTTATGCTGTATCTACTCAACTAACTGTGCTGAACATTTCTATTGATAGAGCAGTTTTGAGACACTCTTCTTTTGGAATCTGCAAGTGGATATTTGGATAGATTTGAGGATTTCGTTGGAAACGGGATTATATATCAAAAGTAGACAGCAGCATTCTCAGAAACTTCTTTGTGATGTTTGCATCCAGCTCTCAGAGTTGAGCATTCCCTTTCATAGAGTAGGTTTGAAACCCTCTTTTTATAGTGTCTGGAAGCGGGCATTTGGAGCGCTTTCAGGCCTATGCTTAAAATAGGAAATATCTACCTACAGAAACTAGACAGAAGCATTCTGAGAATCACGTTTGTGATGTGGGTACTCAACTAACAGTGTTGATCCATTCTTTTGATACAGCAGTTTTGAACCACACTTTTTGTAGAATCTGCAAGAGGATATTTGGATAGCTGTGAGGATTTCGTTGGAAACGGGAATGTCTTCAAAGAAAATCCAGACAGAAGCATTCTCAGAAACACCTTCGTGATGTTTGCAATCAAGTCACAGAGTTGAACCTTCCGTTTCATAGAGTAGGTTGGAAACACTCTTATTGTAGTATCTGGAAGTGGACATTTGGAGCGCTTTCAGGCCTATGGTGAAAAAGGAAATATCTTCCCATAAAAACGACATAGAAGCTATCTCAGGAACTTGTTTATGATGCATCTAATCAACTAACAGTGTTGAACCTTTGTACTGACAGAGCAGTTTGAAACACTCTTTTTTTGGAATCTGCAAGTGGATATTTGGATCGCTTTGAGGATTTCGTTGGAAACGGGATGCAATATAAAACGTACACAGCAGCATACTCAGAAAATACTTTGCCATATTTCCATTCAAGTCACAGAGTGGAACATTCCCATTCATAGAGCAGGTTGGAAACACTCTTTTTGGAGTATCTGGAAGTGGACATTTGGAGCGCTTTCTGAACTATGGTGAAAAAGGAAATATCTTCCAATGAAAACAACACAGAAGCATTCTGAGAAACTTATTTGTGATGTGTGTCCTCAACAAACGGACTTGAACCTTTCGTTTCATGCAGTACTTCTGGAACACTCTTTTTGAAGATTCTGCATTCGGATATTTGGATAGCTTTGAGGATTTCGTTGGAAACGGTCTTACATGTAAAAATTAGACAGCAGCATTCTCAGAAACTTCTTTGTGGTGTCTGCATTCAAGTCACAGAATTGAACTTCCCCTCACATAGAGCAGTTGTGCAGCACTCTATTTGTAGTATCTGGAAGTGGACATTTGGAGGGCTTTGTAGCCTATCTGGAAAAAGGAAATATCTTCCCATGAATGCGAGATAGAAGTAATCTGAGAAACATGTTTATGCTGTATCTACTCAACTAACTGTGCTGAACATTTCTATTGATAGAGCAGTTTTGAGACCCTCTTCTTTTGGAATCTGCAAGTGGATATTTGGATAGATTTGAGGATTTCGTTGGAAACGGGATTATATATAAAAAGTAGACAGCAGCATTCTCAGAAACTTCTTTGTGATGTTTGCATCCAGCTCTCAGAGTTGAACATTCCCTTTCATAGAGTAGGTTTGAAACCCTCTTTTTATAGTGTCTGGAAGCGGGCATTTGGAGCGCTTTCAGGCCTATGCTTAAAATAGGAAATATCTACCTACAGAAACTAGACAGAAGCATTCTGAGAATCACGTTTGTGATGTGGGTACTCAACTAACAGTGTTGATCCATTCTTTTGATACAGCAGTTTTGAACCACACTTTTTGTAGAATCTGCAAGAGGATATTTGGATAGCTGTGAGGATTTCGTTGGAAACGGGAATGTCTTCAAAGAAAATCTAGACAGAAGCATTCTCAGAAACACCTTCGTGATGTTTGCAATCAAGTCACAGAGTTGAACCTTCCGTTTCATAGAGCAGGTTGGAAACACTCTTATTGTAGTATCTGGAAGTGGACATTTGGAGCGCTTTCAGGCCTATGGTGAAAAAGGAAATATCTTCCCATAAAAACGACATAGAAGCTATCTCAGGAACTTGTTTATGATGCATCTAATCAACTAACAGTGTTGAACCTTTGTACTGACAGAGCACTTTGAAACACTCTTTTTTTGGAATCTGCAAGTGGATATTTGGATCGCTTTGAGGATTTCGTTGGAAACGGGATGCAATATAAAACGTACACAGCAGCATACTCAGAAAATACTTTGCCATATTTCCATTCAAGTCACAGAGTGGAACATTCCCATTCATAGAGCAGGTTGGAAACACTCTTTTTGGAGTATCTGGAAGTGGACATTTGGAGCGCTTTCTGAACTATGGTGAAAAAGGAAATATCTTCCAATGAAAACAAGACAGAAGCATTCTGAGAAACTTATTTGTGATGTGTGTCCTCAACAAACGGACTTGAACCTTTCGTTTCATGCAGTACTTCTGGAACACTCTTTTTGAAGATTCTGCATGCGGATATTTGGATAGCTTTGAGGATTTCGTTGGAAACGGGCTTACATGTAAAAATTAGACAGCAGCATTCTCAGAAACTTCTTTGTGGTGTCTGCATTCAAGTCACAGAATTGAACTTCCCCTCACATAGAGCAGTTGTGCAGCACTCTATTTGTAGTATCTGGAAGTGGACATTTGGAGGGCTTTGTAGCCTATCTGGAAAAAGGAAATATCTTCCCATGAATGCGAGATAGAAGTAATCTCAGAAACATGTTTATGCTGTATCTACTCAACTAACTGTGCTGAACATTTCTATTGATAGAGCAGTTTTGAGACACTCTTCTTTTGGAATCTGCAAGTGGATATTTGGATAGATTTGAGGATTTCGTTGGAAACGGGATTATATATAAAAAGTAGACAGCAGCATTCTCAGAAACTTCTTTGTGATGTTTGCATCCAGCTCTCAGAGTTGAACATTCCCTTTCATAGAGTAGGTTTGAAACCCTCTTTTTATAGTGTCTGGAAGCGGGCATTTGGAGCGCTTTCAGGCCTATGCTGAAAAAGGAAATATCTACCTATAGAAACTAGACAGAAGCATTCTGAGAATCACGTTTGTGATGTGGGTACGCAACTAACAGTGTTGATCCATTCTTTTGATACAGCAGTTTTGAACCACATTTTTTGTAGAATCTGCAAGTGGATATTTGGATAGCTGTGAGGATTTCGTTGGAAACGGGAATGTCTTCATAGAAAATTTAGACAGAAGCATTCTCAGAACCTTGATTGTGATGTGTGTTCTCCACTAACAGAGTTGAACCTTTCTTTTGACAGAACTGTTCTGAAACATTCTTTTTATAGAATCTGGAAGTGGATATTTGGAAAGCTTTGAGGATTTCGTTGGAAACGGGAATATCTTCAAATAAAATCTAGCCAGAAGCATTCTAAGAAACAGCTTAGGGATGTTTACATTCAAGTCACAGAGTTGAACATTCCCTTTCACAGAGCAGGTTTGAAACAATCTTCTCGTACTATCTGGCAGTGGACATTTTGAGCTCCTTGGGGCCTATGCTGAAAAAGGAAATATCTTCCGACAAAAACTAGACAGAAGCATTCGCAGAATCACGTTTGTGATGTGTGCACTCAACTGTCAGAATTGAACCTTGGTTTGGAGAGAGCACTTTTGAAACACTCTTTTTGTAGAATCTGCAGGTGGATATTTGGCTAGCTTTGAGGATTTCGTTGGAAACGGTAATGTCTTCAAAGAAAATCTAGACAGAAGCATTCTCAGAAACACCTTCGTGATGTTTGCAATCAAGTCACAGAGTTGAACCTTCCGTTTCATAGAGCAGGTTGGAAACACTCTTATTGTAGTATCTGGAAGTGGACATTTGGAGCGCTTTCAGGCCTATGGTGAAAAAGGAAATATCTTCCCATAAAAACGACATAGAAGCTATCTCAGGAACTTGTTTATGATGCATCTAATCAACTAACAGTGTTGAACCTTTGTACTGACAGAGCAGTTTGAAACACTCTTTTTTTGGAATCTGCAAGTGGATATTTGGATCGCTTTGAGGATTTCGTTGGAAACGGGATGCAATAAAAAACGTACACAGCAGCATACTCAGAAAATACTTTGCCATATTTCCATTCAAGTCACAGAGTGGAACATTCCCATTCATAGAGCAGGTTTGAAACACTCTTTTTGGAGTATCTGGAAGTGGACATTTGGAGCGCTTTCTGAACTATGGTGAAAAAGGAAATATCTTAAAATGAAAACAAGACAGA